>NC_000004.12:170796381-171421381 GCF_000001405.40 Homo sapiens | reverse complement strand
AATGAGCTATGTAATTTATCATTATTTCTAAATAATTGCACTATTAGGTCTTATAAAATGGTAGAATGCACTTTTACTGTAATAAATTACTGAGAAATATTAGATTATCTTTATATTTTTATTCATTAAAGTAGCTATTTTATTACATAATCCAATGTAAATAGAACATTACTAAGCTATACTGTATTGAGATAAAAATTTAATTTTTTTCTTTGCACAGATTTTCATACACTGGAATTTAAGAATTTAATTAAAACTGCCATTAGTTGTTCTTGAAAGTAGAAATGGTTCACCAAAACTATAGGTTAATGTATAGCAAATAAGTTAGAAGTTTTTTTCCCAACCATGGAGTATGAACAAATTTTCACATATCACACATTGAATCAACCTGAAGCTGAAACATAACTTTGGATCATCCAACTGAAGACACATTTTTTTTTATGTTGGAATTAAGACTGAAGTCAGTAAAGCCAATTTTACAGAAAAAAAGTTTATCATTTATTAGTTTAGAAAATGTCAAGCAATTATACTAGTATATATTTCATAATATACAATCATTCTATATCAGCGATTTCTTGCTCATACTAGGAAAGGAGGCTGATTTGACATCACTGGAAAACTGTTTCTTATTTAAAATTAGCATTTTTTTGAAAAATAGGAAGATTAATAATTTGGGTTGTTAAAAATATAAATTATCATTAACTATGGCCACTATGTTTGCAATAGATTACTGTTTTGTGTTTTTAAATCATTTTGAAACAAACAATATATTTTACAGAGTAACTATTAGAAGCTTCTATTTTGGTAGTATATATTTCATTCAAATTAAACTATAAGTTAATTAAATTTACTATAGCCTATTGAATAGAACTGTATAAAGTTGGGAAAGTTAAAATGATATTTAAAATTTCAGAAAATATTTTAATGCTTAATTTTATTAACACATTCAATGGCTATACGCTCAAAGGAAACTTTCCAAAAATAACCTTAAGTCTTAATATTGTATTTTAAAATTAGATATTCAGTTGTCTTATCTACGTTTGTGTCTTTCACATAACTGTGGGGTCCCTTAGGGCAGAGATGTATCTTATATGTTTTGTATCTTTTGTAACTACTGCAATACTTATTATATAGGAAGTATATGGTGACTTACGGTTAATGGGGGGATGAGTAGAAATATAAAAACATAAATTAGCAGATAGGAATAGGGAGATAGGCAATTATACGAACACATGAAGAAACTATCTAAATAGATGACATAAATATTTGCACTAATATAGTTGCATCATTAAAAAGTTCCTTCCTTAAGTCAGTCCATTGCATTAACAAATATAAAAGCACATATTAAATAACTAACATTTCATAGTAGGAATTTCTAAATTAAATTGACCCCGGATAATAGTTTTAAGATAGCCCCTTTATACTACAGAGATCCCCGTAAAAACTGTTAGATTGGTGCAAAAGTAATTGAAGTTTTTGCTGTTACCATTTGCCAAAACTGCAATTACCTTTGCACCGCCTATATATATATATGGCCATATATATATATATATATATATATATATATAAAAATAGGCGGTGCAAAGGTAATTGCAAATATATATATATATATAGGCGGTGCAAAGGTGATATATATATATATATATATATGGCCATATGTATATATAGCCATATATATAGCCATATATATATAGCCATATATATATAGCCATATATATAGCCATATATATAGCCATATGTGTATATATATATATAGCCGTGTGTGTGTGTATATATATATAGCCATATATATATGGCCATATATATATAGCCATATATATATGGCCATATATATATAGCCATATATATATATGACTTGAAAAAGTTGCCTGCTAAGGTCATGTATAAACCAATAATAAGATTATAGCTGGAATACACAATTTATATTGTTTAAAAAAGAAAAGTATACACAGAGACTTTGTTAGCAAAATAAAATATCCAGGTTCCTAGTTACCCCCAGTTACCCCAAAAAATTCAGGATCTGGATATTTTAATCAGAAGCAGTAGATAAGTTGTAAATTCTTTAAAATTTTAGTATATTATGTGACAATCGGATACGTAATTTTCTAATTAATTTAAGAAATTCACCCATCTAAGCATATGGTTGTCTTCTTTGTTATATTTGAATCAATATTTGCCAATAAAGTGACACTCAGTTGTATACTGATCTTTTACTGGACATTTGAAATATCAGAGAATTTGGAAAGGAAATTCTGATCTGGCATGGCATCTTAGAGAATGGCCATGAAACTGAGCTCTGAAGTGCACTGACCTGTGTCGTTTATAATATTTAAAAATATTCTATAGAGCTTATTTTAATAAGATTTTTAAGGGGTGGGTTTAAGTTTCCTAATTAGGTAAACCAGTATGATTATGCTCAATTTAGATTATTTTCAGAATATTACATCACTAAGATAGTTTAGAACAAATTAGAATTCTTGTCATTGAATATAAGCTCCCCAAGCCATGAATTTGAGGAATACATAAGACCCAATCTCAATCCTTAGAACAACATGTGAGTTTTAATAGGACATAACTAAGGGGAGCCCAGCAAAATGATATCCTACAGATGAGTAACTGTACGTAAATATTTTGTGTCTGATTTTAAGTGCACTGTAAAACTTTAAACATAGCTGTTTTCAATAGTAGTTGCTGAAGTTATGAATGAGCATTACTCCAATAGCATTAGAAGTCCTCTAATTCAGGAAAACCCACTTCTCAGGACCTGCTGAAGATATGATCCAAAAAGGATACATGTTCCTTAGGCATATCCCTGCATGACAGTAACACTCACTCCACTGCCAACACACGATAACTTTTATCTCTCTATTTATGCATATATGGATCTACACATGCTTACTGTTTTTAAACAACAAAAAGACATCGCAAGAATAGTGGCAGTGTGAAGGCATAGTTTTTGTTGTTTGAGTGCTTTGCCTCCTGTGACCACCATTAGCTTACCAAATCATTTTAATAATGAGTTGTACTTTTCATATTAGTAATAATGATTTTGAAATTTAAATTTTCTTAATCACATAGAAAGCATATTTAGAAACTTCAATTATTTTAATGTTTAAACAACAACATTCATTGTGCTCTGCAAATGAAGTTGCAAAACAATTAACCTATCTTACTTCTCACTTTATAGCAGATTACAGAGCTTCTTAGCCCAGGTTATATAGAATTCGGGAGACACAACCTCATAAACTAAGCTCAAACTATTCTAAAAGGGATCAATACAATAATACATAATCAGAGGTTGCACAAATTATTTTCACTTGTAGATTACATACTCTAACATTTTACGGTGTTTATAGTGTAGCTCTATATACATTTTTTTTGTCTCATTTATAATTGACTATTATGTAATGGCAGCATCCATTGCTTATGAATTTTTTTATCCTCCAGTGTACCTTTCACAGTGATAGACTAAGAGAAATCAACAAACATCTGATTGCGTGTAAACCTATACTACCTAATAAAAAGGTATTTCTAGCAGTATTAAATGAACTTCAAAAGGGCTGTTAAATAGTCCATTCCCAGAACAAAAAGTTTAAGCATATATAATTATCAATTTTCTAATTAGGTAATTCAGTATGATTGTGCTCAATTTAGGTTATTTTCAGAACATTGCACCACTAAAATGGTTTAGAACAAACGAATTAGAGCTCTTGCCAATGAATATAAACCTGTATTTATCTAGCACATGTCAGAAAATCACTAGCCCTGACTCTGCTCCTAACTGTATCAGTGACTTTATTAATGTCTCTTGTACTGTCGTGAATTTAATTTCCTCATATGTAGTTTCAGGAGTTTGATCTGATTTTCCAACATTCTTGTTTCTATGACCTTCAAATTGCTCACTTTTGCCATTCAGCTCAAAGAAGTATATTCAGCAATTAGAGAGAAAATGAACAGAACAGCAGCAATAGAGTTTCCTAAATCTTATTTTGAGGTAAATCTGTAATCAACAAGGAATATTTATAACAGGCAATGTAAAATTGCCTTTTTTCTTTTCTATTAATTGTTACCATTTATTTTATTGATTCAACATATTCTGCTGAAAAGGTGGTGTTTTATTTTAAATCTTACCTCACCTTATCCTCCATAGTAAAAATAATGATCAAAAACTTCTCGTCTTAAAAATGAAAAACATGTATATAACTCACCCATAACAGTTTTTAGTTGATAGCCAAAGAAATACTGTAGTTTGTAGTATTATTTAAAATAATTTATTGGACATTTTAATGACAGTTTAAGAAAATTTATATACATTTTATGGTTTTTTTTTTCTTTAGCAGGGCAGATTTTGGGATACATTGTGTTTTCAGTTTCATTTATCATTTCATTTAGAATTAGAGGTTCTGGGAATATTTACATCTCACACAAAATGCTAAATATTAGCACTGATGTTTGAAATAAGGCAAATTTTAATATAGTCACAAATAATTAAATATAACACTCACCAGATTTTCAAACGTAAAATAATGCATCAAGGAATAATTGTAATGATGATTCAGTTTCAATTTTTTTCTTTGACAATATTCTGTATTTTTGACAATATTAGGCAAAAGAGAATAAGCTACATCATTTTCTTAACAATATTTGTGTATTATACAAAGCAATCAAAGAATTTTTGTCATATAAAAATAAAATTATAACAAATTTTAGAGCAAGTTTTCAACACATTCTATCACAAGAAAGAATAGAAAATATACATTATACTCAAATTATAATCCTGAATCACAAAATTTATATATGCCCTGACTCGGGGGAAAAAAAGCGTCTCAAACGAAGTCTCATCTTTCACTTAAACTCTGTAGTCTTGCCATTTGAGGGCATACTTTGCTTCAAATCTTTTAAGCTAGATTAATCCACTCGGAAAGCTGTTCCTTAGTTTTGAAGCCAGGCTCAATCTTTCAGACCAATTGGACAACCACTTAGAGCTGTGAATCAATCTTGTTTTCCACTCAGCTAAAGGTTCCAGTATCAAAACTATATTGGCATTCTATAAGGTACCATGAAATTCGTCACTGGTTACTTTTACTCACTTAGTTGTGCTGGCTCAGGAAGAATCAAACATCTGATGATCTCTTTTCTGTGCTCTAAGTCTGATAGTTAGAAGAATTTATTCTCAATTTGGTGAGAAAAGTTTATAGCTCTTCCTTACAAGACACTGCGACAGAATCAAAGATATTATGAATGGTTTAGAAAGGAAGCAATCCAGTACTAGGTTGATTTAATCAGGGAAGGAATCCTCGCCCTCACAAAAAACCTGCCTTTGTTTGGGATCTGTCTTGTAGACTGTAAAGGTTAAATATGAATTTATTTGAATAAATACATTAGTAGCAACATCCAAAGTTTTTGACTCAGCTCTACATCTCAGCTCTGAGTTTCATTCCTAGGTAAAGTAGGCTACTTGCCAATTTTATGTTTAGTTTTTATAAAGTATAACCATGAGTTTTTATTTTAGTTTCGCTGCTAAGTTGAATTCCTAGAATGCAGCTTCGTTTCTTAAATATGTTATTTGTAGAGTGTAAATAAAGAGAAAAATTAAGCATTACTATTTTTCTGGAATAAGAACAGGCAAAAGTTAATTTAGTATATTATTAAATATGTATTTTTCCTATCAGTTTTGAATAATATACATGCACTAATGTGAATAATAAATTGCTCCATATATTTTTTCTCCACAATATAATTCTTTAATACTTTCATGTTGATATGAATTTCCAATGTTTCAATCATTTTGTAAAGGCTGTTACTTTTTTCCTCCTTTTACTATTTGATCTTTTTATTGACGGAGTCCAGAAAATACTTCATTCTCCTAGGTGTATGCTTCTTAAACGTGCAAATTCTTCATTCCTAGAAGTCAGAATAATAGGATCCTAGCCTTGGCTCCACTGTATTAGTATATGACTGCTCAGGGCTTGCCAGGTATCCTGTGTTTCCCTAGTAGCAAATGTGAATATAATATGGGTTTTATGAACCTCGCAGGATGTTATAAACACTGTATAAAATGTCATATTCAAAGTCATCTTTAAGAACTAACTTATGAGTTTCACAGTCTGAAAGTCAATAACTTAATATTAACATTGTCATTCATATGAACTTCATTTTCATAATTTTTAAAAAATAGGTCACTCATACCAATGGGTTAATATCAATTCTGTTCATAAATCACCTTGCTTTTTTTTTTTCAAACAAGTGTTATTTTTCAAGTTTACTTGAAATTAAAACAAATTTTGGTTGTGACTCAGTCTGAATTCAACCTAGCAAATGCCCTAAGTACATTCCAAGGATTTTGATAAAAATTTAAAACAAGGATGATTAATAAAATTTGATCTTTGTCCATGCAGGCGTTTTCACATCATTTTAACAGTCCAAATTAGAGAAATATATAATATAAAATTAATTTTTCTTGTGGTTTTATCAGTAGCTATTTTATTTAACACAAATTTCTTAATGACTACTGAACTCTACTCATCAAGAAATTGTTGTGATCTAACAGACTTTAGAGAATACAGACAGAAAACACAAGTGTATTTCCTTCCCTACCTTCACTCGCCAAACAAATTAAAAAGGTAGATCATTTAATATCTTTTTTTTTTCTTTTTTTGAAATGGAATCTCCCTCTGTTGCCAGGCTGGAGTGCAGTGTCGTGATCTTGGCTCACGGCAACCTCTGCCTCCTTGATTCAAGCGATTCTCCTGCCTCAGCCTCCCAAGTAGCTGGGATTACAGGGGCACACCACAACACCCAGCTCATTTTCGTATTTTTAGTAGAGATAGGGTTCCACCATGTTGGCCAGGATGGTCTTGATCTCCTGACCTCGTGATCTGCCTGTCTCGGCCTCCCAAAGTGCTGAGATTACAGGCATGAGTCACCGCGCCCAGCCAGATCATTTAATATCTTAATTTTTGTGGGTTTTGCTTTGAGAATACATTCAACGAAAAAAAAAGCAAGATATTTAAAATTTGAAATAAATATTTCTAAGGCACCTAATACTTTTTAAAAATCATCTCACTTAAAAAATTAGAAATGACTAGCTGTCTGAATACGTCCTAGAAGATTTGACTCTAAAATAAATGAACTAAGTTGTAAAGATCACAGTAACCAGTGTGAGTAATTAATATGAGTAATCACATTGTGTGCCTACTTGTATGGTTTTCTTGTTTTTGTTTTCTTTTGTGCAATACATGATCTGCTGATTCTTCCCCATGTCATAAGTACTTTTTGGGGGGCACTGTTTTTATCCATGTCTTCTCTTTGCCCTCAATTAGTAGCATTCTAGCATATCTGATTCCAAGAGTAGACCATTTTTTAACACTTCATGCTTCTATATAGCAAAATTATTTTCAGTAGTAATTGTGTCAAATAGTTAATAATTGTATTTTCTTGATTTATTAGTTTCACTATGAACAATTTTTAAATAATAAAATTTAGCTTTCAAATATTATTCAATTCCAATGAAATATTTTAGGTATAAACAAAGATTTTCACTTAACAAATAAGTATCACATTTTGTTGTTTATACTCTATTTCACTGTTTTTTTAGAGATAGGAGCTGGCTCCACTACCCAGGTCCCCAGCCTCCCAAGTAGCTAGTACTACAGGGAAACACCACCATGCCAGGCTTGTTTGTTTGTTTGTTTTTGCAAAGATGGGGGTCTCATTATGTTGCCAGGTTGTTCTCAAACTCCTGACCTCAGGGAATGCTCCCATATTGGCCTCCCAAAGCATTTGAATTACAGGCATGAGCCATTACACTTCACCTTATTTCACTGTTTTAAATATTAAAAGGAAAATCACCAAGTGGATAAAAAGAATGATAGAACTGAAGGAAATTAAATCTCCTCCTCCCCTTTACAGTGTTCTTTTTTTCCAAATCTTTCACATAGAACTGTATGTGTTAATAGGGTTTGAAGAGAAATCTCTAGATTGAAAAATTCAGACATAGTCTCAAAATGAATATAGCAGCTGAATCCATATGTATCATTGTTCACAGTGTAACAGGTAGTTCTTTGAATTAACCTCTGCATAAAATATACCATTTATTAAAAGAAAAGTTTTTGAAAAGTGCTGATTTGAAGCTTACATACATGTAATTAAATGTGTGTGTGTTTGTGTATAACGAAAACTCAATTATCATATTAGCAAATCTGTAAAACTTAATAGAACAAAAACTTTTCCATGGAGAAGTATTTCATCATTGTCAATCTTTAGAACTGCCATGATATGGTGATAATAAAAGATGACCACATTTTAGTAAATTTCTTATTGTTTATAAATTCTCTGCAGAAAATGTATACCCTGATTGCCTACACTGTGGAGAAATGCTCCCACTACCTCACTATTATATCCCATTGCTAATTCAAAAAGGTGAGTATGTATCCAAGTAAATGACACTCAGCAGGCTAAATTATAAAGTGTTTTCTAATTACTAAAACGTGTTTTCCTTGAGTGATAAACCAAGGTGCTTATGACTATTAAGTTGTCTTCAATAATTTTGCAGTCACTTCCAAAGAGATTTTCCTTGCTATCTTTTCACATTTCTGGTTTTTTGATGAAATTAGTAAAAGTGGATTTTGCTCTCTTCAGTTGAGAATGCATGGTAAACACAAAGCTTAAGTGTCTTTTCTTAGTAAAATTCAGCCAGAGAACAACACAGAAATGTTGGGGCTCTATTTGTGCCATTATTAACTTACTATATAATATTTTCAATATAATTGTGATGTAAATAGCTGTTGGTTCTATTTTAATTACCTAGGGTTTCACCGAATCGCCATCTACACATAAGCAAAGCTAAAATACCATGCTTAAACTGAGCAATAAATTAAATTAATACATACTACCTGTAAAATATATTAATTGCTATGGTATAAATAATGTAAAATATAAATGTAAAGTATAGCATATTTTATTACATTTTATTATCAGATAAAATAAATTTTCCAATTTTACTTTTTATGTTTAAAAAATACTATTTTTGATCCCTTTATTTTTAAATAACATAATTCATTTATTTTAGAATTCAAATATCTTAGAAAAGCAGAATTCCAAAATAGAAGCCTAGGATTTTATATAATCTCAAATCATTATGTATCACTACATCCTTAAGATTTTTTCCCAATAATACATTTTTCATATGGAACAGTTATAAATAGAGAATGAGACAATATTATCCTATTGAGCTTGTGATTATCTTAAGGGTATTTTTATTTGAATTTGTTTCCAATTATACAGAACAAACAATTTCTAGAAATAATACTTATGGAAAACTAGAGTACACAACTTACAGCATATAAATGAATACATTTGAGCACTGTCACACTCTCATCAGCTACAGCTCAACGTAAAATCACTGCAGTCTGCCTAATAACTTTCTGATTTTATGAAGAAATAGTGTGTTCAAGACCTTGTAATAACAGTCAAGGACAACATGCTGAAAGGAATGAAAGTATATAAATTAAGCTGCAGATCTGATGCCCATAAATCATTTATAAATTTAGTGCTTAGCCAAAATAGCTACATTCATTTTAAAGAAATAACACTCACATTTCACTTTTAATAATGTTCAAAGATATTCTTCAAAGATGTGGAAAAATGAAACAGAGCAAAAAACTTTAAAGGATTTAATTACTAATTCTCTACAATATGTATAAAATCCTTGACATATGAAAATTAATTTCCTTATGATTTCAAATTTGCCTACATTTTATTTCCTGAATACTTTGACTTTAAACTTTGTAATGTGCCATTTTAAAGGTTTTGAACTAGGTTTTAATGCCTGTGAAAGTTTCAGAAGCATATATTTAGATATAACCCTGGTTATTTCCAATAGATTATAACTCATCTAAATATTATTGGATTCTGATTGACTAGAAAATTGGATTAGCTCAGTATAGACTATAAAAATATTGTGCAAAAATTAAGTAAAATTCATTTGGCTTAAACATTTTTGTATTCTTTTTTTTTTTTGAGACAGTTCTCTCTTAGTGCCCAAGCTGGAGTGAAGTGGCACGATCTTGGCTCACTGCAACCTCTGCCTTCCGGGTTGAAGTGATTCTCCAGCCTCAGCCTCCCAAGCAGCTGGAATTACACCATGCCCGGCTAATATTTTGTATTTTTTAGTAGAGATGGGGTTTCACCAGGTTGGCCAGGCTGGCCTTGAACTCCTGACTTCAGGTGATCCGCCCATCTTGGCATCCCAAAATGCTGGGATTACAGGCATGAGCAACTGCACCTGGCCCATTTTTGTGTTCTAAAACTCTTTGGCTTATCATTGTAAATTTATTGGCAAAGAATTTTCAATTTAGCCAATGTTGCATGATGTCAATAGCAACCCTATAAATTTTTTTTGGTTAAACCACACACACACACACACACACACACACACACACACATATATATATATACACAAACATATATATAGTATATATATACACACAAACATATATATGTACATATACGTGTATATATATAAAACATATATATAGTATATATATGTGTATATATGTGTGTGTGTGTGTGTGTGTACATATATATATATGTGAGTGTGTGTATATATATGCTATAAAAATCCCTGGTATTAAGGATTGTTTCAGCATAATGGACACTGTGTCAGTTTCTTAAATCTCATTCAACTACAAGTAAATAAAAATATAAAGGGTCCTAAAAACTTTCTTGTCGACCGGTAGTACCCAAAACTGGGAGAACAAAAGGGCCTATTCAGTGTATTGGGAACTATTCATAAACATTTACATATATATATGCATACACATAAATATGTAAATGTTTATATATAGACAAATACCAGAGAATCCAGATGTTCTAATAGATATGGATGCACACGTGTAACATCCATAGTGTTTTAATTTTCTTATATTGATTTGTTGTCTATTTATTTTTCTATTTTATTAATTTTTCTTATTTTTTTCATTATTATGAATATTTGCAAGGTGTAACTATTTGTAACGTGCAACAAGGATAGGAAAAGAGGCTTGTCTTATCATCTTAAGAAGGAAGATTATTAATATTTCTTTTTTTCATCCATAATGTTCTATATGTACATATGCATGTATACATAAACATACATACACATTTTCAAATAAACAGAAGCAGGTTTTCCTGTGCCTTGCTTTTCTCACCTAATTATGGACCTTGGAGAGTTTTTCATGTCAATACGAAATTCAGAAGTCCTTGTTCTTTAAAATGGCTATGTTGAATTTCATTAATGTATGCACATTTTTAAGCCAGATTTCTGGGTTGTTTGTACTTTATAGTAATAAATTATGTAGTAAACATCCTACTACACATATCCTTGAGTAAAATTATGACTGTGTCTCCAGGATAAAATGGAAGTAAGTTGCTGAGTGAGAAAGTGTTTATATTCAAAATTTTTGAGGTGCTGCCAAACATTCCTCCAAAGTTCACCAACTTACACCCCAAATCATGTGTATGTGGGTACCCATGATTTCCAAAGCCCTCCTATAATCTCTTGGGTCTTCCTTTATCTCTCTGAGCTCATCTCTTCAACTCTTCTTGTCAGTTCACTGCTTACTCCTTCTTTTTGATGTGTTTCAACACACCATTTACTTTCTTAACTCAAGGCCTTCGCGTTTACTATTTTCTTTGTTGTTCTGAATATTTAGTCACTGCCTCATCTGGCCCTTCTTATAGGTACTTAATTCCTTGCTTCTGTAACTGATATTAAGGCTCCAGCTGACATTTAAAGCTTTCATATTTACTTTCTTTTCAATCAGAACCTCAACTGGAGGATTTCTTATTGAAGCCGTGACCCAAATCTTCTTCTGGAAGAGGCAGAGTTCTCTGTAGAGGTTTTTGTTGTTGTTGTCCTTTAAAGATCAATTAATTTTACGATTGGTCATGGAAGTGCAAATAAGGGCCTCAAGTAACACTTGACTTCAGTTTCTAGCATTACTTTATTTAATTTCTCCTTGGTAATCAGGATCATTGATACTATCCCATTGAGTAACATCTTCCTTTCCTTATTTGTTATGGGGTGTGAGATGTTCCAATGGCTAGGAGGCAATCCCAACTTATAGTTCAATGGAACTATTTTTCCCTGGTGAAAACTGTGAACCCCTAAAATTTGAGACAGGTCTCAGTTAATTTAGAAAGTTTATTTTGCCAAGGTTGAGAACACTCACCCGTGACACAGCCTCAGGAAGTCCTGATGATATGTGTCCAGGGTGGTCAGGGCAAAACTTGGTTTTATGCAATTTAGAGTGATATGAGACATCAATCAATATAGGCAATAAGTACACTGTTTTGGTCTGGAAAGGCCAGACAACTCAAAGCAAAGGCAGGAAGACTCGAAGTGGGGAGGAGGTTTCCAGGTCACAGATAGATGAGAGACAAATAATTGCATTATTTTGAGTTTCTGATCAGCCTCTCCAAAGGAGGCAATCGGATATGCATTTATGTCAGTGAGCAAAGGGATAACTCTGAATAGAATGGGAGGCAAATTTGTCCTAAGCAGTTCACAGCTTGAATTTTCCCTTTAGCTTAGTGGTTATGGGGGCCCAAGATATTTTCCTTTCATGAAATCTTCTCTAGTAACCTATGACATCTAAACCAGCAGAACTGAAAGTTGTGGAAGGCAAATTTCTATTATTTTATTATTGGGTTTAATGGTGAAAGAAGCCATTTTTATTTACATACCTTTTTTTCTAATACTTCTACGTTCTGGCTGTAAAAGATACAGTGTCATTTACTGGCTGCTGTTTCAAGCGTATACGAAATTCTGTAAAATTGAATCCTGTGTTCTCAAGGTCTTTTTTACCAACGAGTGCCATAATTAGGTCTTCAGGAGGACATTCCATGGATCTGTTAGTTCAGCTGCTTCCCCGTGAAAGCATAATGGTAAGAAAATCCCACAGATGTGAGCCCACTGCTGCATATTTTCTGCCATGAAATTAATTATATGATTAAAAGCATTATTAGACAGAATAATATGACTAAATAAATAACATATTATTTCACAAGCATTTTTCTTTCTCTGATCCTCATTCAAAATTGGCAGCCTTATGAGTTATTTGATGATATGCGGGTTTAATTAGTACATTTACTGTGTTATATGTTGCCTCTGAAATACATAATGGCTCATCAAGCACTGATTCTTTGGGACTCTTGGGTAGTTCAAGATGTAGTGACTTATCTTTCACTGGAGAGGGGATCACTCCAATTATAGATTTAGATAATTGGACTCCTAGAAACATTACTGGGTTTGTAGACTCCAATCACTAGGTTAATCTCTCAATGTAGGAGAGCTAGTATGGCATCCAACATACAATGGCACCTGAAGTTTTTGCACTGTGTACTTCTTTGTTCTAGTTAACGTATATCATCAATAAAATTATCCAGTGTAATTTTGTGGGATAATTTCAAGATTTTTCCAAATTATGACATGACAGGGAGTAGGATAAATGATGTACATCTGAGGCAAAACGGTGAAAGCATACTGACAACTGTGCCAGGTAAACCAGTTATGGTGGTTCCTGTGAAATTTTATGAAGAAAAAAGTGTTTGCCGGGTAAATAGGTGAATATCAGTTACCAGGGAATTACATCTGGAACTAGAGCCTCTACCTAAATTTACAATAATTTACAGTTATTCTGAAAAACCTATATGATTTACACATAGATGAAGAGAGATGCTGAATTAGTCATAAAACTACCGCATGTCACCGATTACTAATATCCAGTTTCCAATTTGCAAGGGCATTAGCTCTATGGTCAAGCAGGAGGACAAAAGCAAACCCAACTCAACACTTTATATTTCAGATTCTGTTTCTTGGGATGACTCCAAGTACCAATTTCTGTTATTGTCAAAGTGATAGTGACAGAAAACAGACAAATTCCTAGACAGACAGGTATGGGTCCCTGATGAAACTCAACCTTCAAGGCAAGGACAGTCTAAAGCCTGAAAACTGAGCTACCAGTTTTGGATAGAATTCACGGACCAGAGTGAGAACTTCTGTATCCGTTTTACCCACTCTTCCTTGATTGGTTCTTTCTGAATGATGCCTTTTCACCAATCAAATGGTGCCTTTTCCAAGTTTACCCATAAACAAATCAGCAAACACGCCCTCATTCTAAGCATATAGAAACCCCCGACTTAGCCTCACAGATGGCTACCCACTATCAGGTCCTTTCTCACTGTCAAGAGCTTTTCTTATGCACAATAAATTCTACTCTGCCTTATCCCTCTCTGGTGTCCATGTACTTTATTCCTTTTGGTTGGGGGACAAGAAACCAGAACTCACCAAACAGCAGGAACAAAAGAGCTGTAATGCTCCTGCTCGCTGAGCTGCAGGTGGTGGGAGTAAAAGAGCTGTTAACACTCCTGCCCACTGAACTACTGGAGTAAAAAAAGTCACAACAGAAGTTCATTCACTTTTACTAGAGATGAGGTTTCACCATGTTGGTCAGGCTGGTTGGGAACTCCTGTCCGCAAGTGATCCTCCCTCCTTGGCCTCCCAAAGTGCTGGGATTACAGGTGTGAGCCACTGCGCCTGGCCGCTGGCAGGTGCTTATAATCCCAGCTACCGGGAGGCTGAGGAAGGATAATCGATTGAACCTGGGAGGCGGAGGTTGCAGTGAGCTGAGATCGTGCCATTTCACTCCAGTCTGGGTGACAGAGTGAGACTCTGGTTCAAAAAAAAAAGTTCACTCATAAAAGACAAACCAGACCAGTTCTTTGAACAGAAAAAAATTTCCATATGAGAAATTGCTAATCTAATATAAAGTTGTTAACCAGTTAAGAGACAGTAAATAAATAAATCATTAAGTTATCATAGGAAGAAAAAATATTGAAGAAGACAGCTACTACTCTTAGGCTTTGCAGAACAAATGAAAGAGGATATTCCTGTTAAAATTTAATGTTTGACAAAGGGCCCCACAGAGCTGAAACTCAAGGCTCTGAGGAGGAGGTGTTGCTTGGCTGTTGGTGTCTGTCTGTGATGTTGACATTTTCTTGGGCTGGGATCTAGACCTCCATTGAGCAAGCTGCTGTCTCTGAGTGTGATGGGGTTGGTGAGCAGCAGGTGATGGGGTGAAAATGTATGAGAAGGAAATGGTGCTGCTAGGATGAAGATGCATGTGATGCTCAAAGGAAAGAAGGAGGTAGGAATCACATCAGATGCACAGAGGAACAAAACAGGAAAGGCCAAGTTCATTTTTTTTCCACAGCTTTAGCGTCTCTCTGGAGCACCCTGTGGTGGTGGAGCCCAACAGGAGCCCACTAATAAGAAATGTGATTTGCAGAGGCTCAGTACAAAGCTGACTATAAAAAGATTGATTTGGAAAAGAGAGCTAATATCTTATTTGCCCCATCAAAAGTAGATACAATTTTCAGATACCTCATGCAAGACCCCCAAGTACTCAAGAACTTTACTCAAACATCAACAGATTTTGAAGTTGTGTTTATGTTTGCTTTCTAAACTATTATTTAAAAATAAGTATTTACTAAACTGTGCTTAGTCTATTCTTTCTCACTTATTACACACTCAGTAGACTCAGCAAGGAGGTTCACTGGTGAAACAAGAATAGACAAGTTTTTTTTAAGTAAAAAATGAGGTTTTTACTTAATGTATCAGTATATATCAGGAAATATAAATAGCTCTAGTTAATTGAAGAGGAAAATTTAATAATATTGTACATGAATTGTTAACAAACAAAAGATGGTTATCTACTAAAAATGGTAAAATAAAATTCTAATAGGACCAGAAGAAGCAAGTTCAATAAAGCAAATAATATTCTAGGCTGAGGAACATGGACAAAATTGGTACTAATTACTTGGGAGAAGACGCCTACTTCTAACTGGCCAGGCTGAAATTCAATCTTCAATGAAAAATAGCCACCGCTAGAACACAAAACCTGCCAGTGGCCTAGACCTTGCCAGAGACTTTGGGCAAGTGGGATCTAGTCCAGAGAAGAAGACACTCAGTAAGACTGCTTGGTGATTGGGAAAAAGCTCCCTAAGACTGTGGCTGGAACAGCTTTGGAAGCAGCTGCCAGGTAGACAGGAGAGCCAGAAAGTGCTACTGGAACTGTCTCTGAAGGCCACAGGAGTAATGCTGCTAGGCTTCCTGCATAAGAATCCATGGTTCCTGCACTGAAGGAAGGAAGACTGGAAGATTTACAAGTCCTGCTGCTATATCAAAAAACAGAGCAAACAAAGATGGATTTAGAGCTGAGACAATAAATGGATCACTGTCTATTTGCTTATGTTTTATCTCACATAAAAAGAAAAATGGAAAATCAGTCTTGAAACCCTTATTGGTGCATCACTGAATTGGGTCAGTAATATCTCCATCTCTTATCAATTGTATTTCCTAAGCTATTATGTAGTTAGAGCTAAGAGACAATGCTGTATCTCTAACACAATAGATCTGAAATTTCCCCCAGCCTAGCAGCATTAGCACAACAGGAAAGTTTTCAGAAAGCAAATTCTTTAACTCACTACTGATATTTTTAGTCAGTAACTGCAGAGCAATTTGTATTTAAATAACTCCTCCAGATGATTCTTGTATATTCAAAGTTTGAGAACCTTGGCCGGGTGTGGGGGCTCACGCCTGTAATCTCAGCACTTTGGGAAGCCGAGGCAGGCGGATCAGCAGGTCAGAAAATCAAGACCATCCTGGCTAACACGGTGAAACCGCGTCTCTACTAAAAACAATACAAAAAATTAGCTGGGCATGGTGGCGGACGCCTGTAGTCCCAGCTACTCCGGAGGCTGAGGCAGGAGAATGGCGTGAACTGGGGAGGCGGAGCTTGCAGTGAGCCGAGATCGCGCCACTGCACTCCAGCCTGGGCAAAGAGCGAGACTCCGTCTCAAAAAACAAAACAACAACAAAAAAACACAAAGTTTGAGAATCTTTAATCTACACATTCAAAATTGACTTCATGAACCTTTGAGTCTATTTTCTAGAATATCTTATAAACTTGCACAGATACAATATAGAGATTAAATAAATTATATATATATATTTGCATTTGCAATTGAGAAGTTATTTACCACAGCAAAATATCACATTACTTTTGTTTCACATGTTTCAAATCAGAGGAGAAAAAGGGAAAAGCGAGAAAGACAGAGAGAATGAGAAAAAAAGGCAAGAGTGTTAAACCTTATAATGATTACTGAAGAATGATAAGAAGTGATAAACTTCTCTCCTTTTTGTAAAATACTATTAGAAATATGATTCAAAGTTAATATAATGTTAATGTTAAAGAAATGAGGAGTCAAAAAGATTGACTCTGCAACTCTCATTAATAATAAGATAAATTAATACACTAAAGGTCAATCAATAAATCCCTTCATTACTCATCCCTACTATCAAAATCCTAGTGCATCACTATATTCTTCTGTTATAGCAATCTACCTCTTTTAGCAGGAGGTTTGGTAATGGGCAAGACAATATGTAAATGTTAGTGGATTTGATTTTCCATTTAATTTGTATGTGTAAGAAATGGAAAAATTTTTTGAAAAAAAATCTAATTGTATAAAATGCTGGCTTAATGTTTTAAAATAAGTCTAATGATGTGCAGGGGCCAAGGGAAAGCTTTCCCCATTCCTCCTAAGGTTCACTAAAAAGTCAACTCACAAAAGGCAGATTAATTAGTGAAATGAGATAACAATTTATTAATTTTCTCACGGAGGAACCATAGAGTGATTACAGTGTGATTAAGAAGTGTATATACCATCTCGAGTTTACAGAAAGAATGAGGACTTTGGATGGTGGCTAAACAGCTGATGAGATGGGGAGAAGAGGAGGACTGGCTAGCAAACATGGATTCGTTATGTAGATGAAATTTCACAGGTTGTAACCATCAAAGAGAACAGATGGTAAATGTTTCTTTTAGACCTTTAATGATGTCAGATTCTCAGTCAATCTTTCCTAGATCCAGGCAAGGGAAGGGCTCAGGGAAAGCCTGGTAGCATCACTACAGATTCTCTATAGATGCAAATTATCCCTACAAAAGATAATTTTGCAGGGTTACTATTTATAGGTTCTCTGAGCAGCCATCTAAAAATATGTCAAATAAATATATTTTGGGGTAGAGTATTTTTAACTTCTTCAGACACATTACTGTTTACATGTTAGCAATAATATTAAATTTGGCACTTCAGTTATGCTACTCAACTTAATCTTTTATATAATATCTCTATTTTTTTCTAAGACACATTAAGTGGACATCCTTTTCCACAGACATTCATTAAAACATAGTAAGCTAAATTTTAATAGTATATCTGAATGGTATATATTTAGTGTAATTTGTATGATCTTGACTTACTAATATACTTGCTGTAAGAGTCACATCAAATATATTATAATCCCTAGGAAATTAAAAGTCAGCAGGCTGATAAATATGTGAAGAATGGCAAAATGCTATCAAGTTGATAAAATCAATATGAATGGTTACCATTCTCCAATTTCTCTCTTGTATGGGTAAAATTACCTTTTTATTATTACCATAATTTCAAATAGCCTTAATAGAGTAGCCAGCTTGGATCATAATGCATATTATTATATGGGTGTGTGTTTGTGTGTGTGTGTGTGTGTGTGTATACAGAAGTGAACAAAAGAAGCAATTATAGAATGTTCTTTAAAAAAGAATCAAACTTTTGATATTTTTGGATACTACCACAAACAGTAGGGAATATCATTTTTTTTTCAGAAACTGTATCCCTGGAATGCTGCTACCTTTAATGTAAAGATGATCAAATATTTTGGGAAAGAAAAACCTGAAGAGATTTGTTACAGACCCTCAAAAAGTTATTATAGAATCACAAAAAATGAAGTACTAAATTTTTGTTCATGTATGTAAAGATTTGTCTAAAATTACAATTTAAGTGGCTACAGTAAGCTGAAAGACACAGGCCTTCAAATGACTTAAATTCACTACTGTTTTGTTTAAAAACAGAAAATAATTGACAATAGAAACAGTCTTCTAGTATTTTTAAACATTTGATGTATTTGAAGTTGTGTGGTAATGTTATAGCCTGATGGGTTCTTCTTGCCTGCCGCCCAGAAAAGCCAATGCACTGAGAATAGCAAGGATACTGTTGTAGCAAAGAAAGAGATTAATAATCACAGGGTCAGCCAGAAGAATAGGAGGTATTCCTCAAATCCACCTCCCTGAGAATTTGGAAACAAGTATTTTTCAAGGACAGTATGGTGGCCAGGGGACTAATGAATGAAAAATGCAGGTTGGTTGTTTTTTTGATTTTTGTTTTCTTTTTTTTCAGACAGGGTCTCACTCTGTGGCCCAGCACAGCTCACTGTAACCTCAAATTCCTGAGCTCAAGTGATTCTTCCCCCCGAGTTTCCCAAAGTGTTTGGATTACAGGCATGCTCAAATATACCCAACCTTGAGTCAATTTATTGGTATGGGTTACTGGTCTGGGTGGCGCTAGCTAATCCATCAAAATGCAAGTTCTAAAAGATACCTCAAACACCAGTCTCAAATTTATTTATGTATTTATTTAGAGGCAGAGGCTAGCTCTGTTGCCCAGACTGGAGTGCAGTGGCAGTCTCGGCTCACTGCAACCTCTGCCTCCCAGCTTCAAGCAATTCTCATGCCTCAGCTTTCCTAGTAGCTGGAACTACAAGCGCACACCACCATACCTGGCTACTTTTTGTATTTTTTAGTAAAGATGAGGTTTCACCATATTGGCCAGGCTGGTCTCAAACTCTGGACCTCAGGTGATCAACCCGATTTGGCCTCCCAAAGTGCTGGGATGACAAGCATGAGCCACCGCGCCCAACCCAGTCTCAGATTACAATAGTGATAGTGATGTTATCTATAGGTACAACTGGGGAGTTTACAAATCTTGTGACCTCTGGCTACATAACTCCAGAACCATAGTTCTAACCTGGTGGCTAATTTATTAGTTTTACAAAGGTGGCTTTAATCCCTGAGCTAGAAGAGGATTCGTTTCAGAAAAGAACTGTTATCATGTTTGTTTTAAAATTAAACTATAAACTAAATGCCTCCAATAGTCACCCAGGAATGAGCAAGGACAGTATGTGAGGTTAGAAGCAAGATTAAATTAGATGTGTCAGATTGATCTCACTGTTATAACTTTTGCAAAGGCAGTTTCAATCCCCTTTTTAGGCTGGAGCATGCTAAATTCCCAAGTTGTGAGCTACAGAGATGGGAAAACGCCAACATCCACCCTAACTTCTTCCCGCTGATGAGAGGCATATTTAGCGTAGGGTTTGGCTTCAAGGTAAGAGGAGCGAAACCATTTGGCAGTGGTATCTGTGTATTCATGGGTGTCTGATTGGGGGCCCAAGGTTTGCATGACAAAGATGTTAGTACTCTCATTCACAGTTTTAGCACAGCAAGTAAGTGAGCAGCAAACTGAGCCCTACAAAAAGAAGTGTAAGTCCTAGCTTCATATGTCCTTGTAGACTGATCTGAAGCATTGAGGGTTCCAGGGGAACAACCCTGAGAACCAAGCAGATATAGGGTCCTAGGAGAGAGCGAGAGATTTGTGTCAGAGATTGTTCGAAAGACAAGAGAAAAGAGCAGATTTTAATATATCATCCCACATCTTTTTTAGTCGACTTCTAGTCCTAAGAAAAAATTAGTTCAGTTAAACATCTATGTACCATTACAAGAGTGTCATTGCAAATGAGCCAGGATTTTATATATGATGCAGGAAAAAAGATATGTAATAAGAGACATTTCTATAGGAACAGAAGAAAAACAAAGGTTAATATTAGGAACAATCTATAAATTAGTTTCCTTAGATTCTGGAGGGTAGTCAGTTGAAGTATCAGATGTTAGAATTAAAATATCTTTAGTTAAAGAGGAAGAAGGCAGTGGCAATCTAACTAGTTTGTCTCACCTGTATCACAAGGAGTGAGCTTCAATTTGCAGGGCCTCAGGAAAAATGTAGTAGCAATTTAATTGAGTCCAAGTCACAAAAGTGGAAGAGAATTTTGAAAACATTAGCTTGGACACTTATAGCCAGGGAAGAATTCAGGATTCAGTCCAAATTGTAGAACATAATAACTCAAAACATTGAACAAGACTGGAATCTAATAACAAGTGTACCATAGTTTTCTTCTGAAACATAATTTTTCTCTCTACAGACCCCTTAAACACAAATTATAGTAAGACCAATTCACTAGCAAAATAAGTTTTAGTCTTATTATTTATGGCCTGATTATTTGCATAAAATGAATCAAGAATAATTATTTGCCACATAGTTTCTTTTTCAAACTGGCTTTGCTGGAACTTTTTTCATAAGGAATATCAGATTAGACCTCTTTAAAGCCTTGAGTTCAGCAAAGGATTTATCTGTGTCTGCAGATACCTGTATGAATTGGGTGAGTTACTCTCTTCTCTATGTCCCAAGATAACTTGGTGTTTCTGGGCCTGCCAAAAAGTGACACTCTTTGCTTACTAGTTCAGAAGCCCTGTAAAGAACTTGCATAGAGAAGACACAAGATCCCCCTTTCCAAGGTGCTGTTATTGGCTATATAAAGTCAATCTCAATTCCTCAAAGCAGTCTGTTTATATCTGAAAGTGTGCCATTCCGTCAAAGCCTTGGTAAAATAACCAGTATCTCCAACTGTGTTGTGTTACAAAGAAAAACATATTCTCCTTAAATTTATGCAAAGAATTATATTGCTATCAATTAAGAATACTAAGTTTTCAAAATCAGAAGAAATCAGGTAGAAAGAAATATGCTTTAAATTTTGCTCACAAGAGGATACTTCATTAAATATTTAAAAGCTGCAAATGACTCAAATGAAAAAAGTTTTATTGACTGAAAAACAAAACAAAAAGAATCAGTAATGTTTCAAACAAAAAAAAATTACTAAAAGATTGTTTTGGTTTTCTATCAATTTAGTTGGTAAGATTAAGTTTTGTTCTGCTCAATATTGGGCCAGAAGTCCTTATGAACATATCAGCTCTCCAAGAGGGTCCTGGAAGCTTTTCTCTCTATTCCAATGGCACAATATCCAAAGTTATAAGAAATCTGCATTCAAGTCCACCTGTCAGATTGTTACAGCTGATTATGAACTGCTTTTTAAAAAGGATCAAGGTAAGACAATTATTGTGAATGAAAAAAGTCTTAGGACAGCCATAGCCAAAGACACAATTGACAAGGAAAACTGATTATCTCTGTGGCACACAAAAATCTAATATAATAATAATTATTACTGATAATACATACTGAGACATCAGAAATATAGAAATCTTATGTAATTTTGGAACATGTACTAATAATACATTTATATAACTATAACCCAAAGAAAGTTAAGTACTATTTCATATTTGACAATGCTTCCTGTATTATTTAACACACCATATAA
The DNA here is from genome assembly GCF_000001405.40 of Homo sapiens. Taxonomy (NCBI): domain Eukaryota; kingdom Metazoa; phylum Chordata; class Mammalia; order Primates; family Hominidae; genus Homo; species Homo sapiens. The sequence goes on along the minus strand of NC_000004.12, from coordinate 171,398,982 downwards.
GCTAATTATATCTCTTTTGGATGTCAGGGGACCTAACATCTAAAGAAAGTTAATTAGTTCAAAATATTTCATTGAAATTTAGAACTTGAAACTGAAATTTTGATTTTAAAAAGTTTGCAAATATCAAATATCAAAAGTTTAAAACACTTGATATCAACAAAGAGAATCACAGTTCATTTATTTGGTCAAAGTGTGATAACTCAAGATTTTTTTAAAGGCAAAAATCTTTACCCTTTGATAGGGGACTCAGCTTTCCACAAAAAATACAAGACCAAATAAAGGTAGCATAAGGAGGCCAACTGCATTTGTCCCTCCTCTCTCCCTTCTTTTCTTTCCTTTTTGTTGCAGTTCACTCAAAAAGCAAACAGAAATCTTTCAATATTGCATGAAAATCTTGTATAAAAGAAAAAAACAAATTTACCTTTTTATTCATGAATTATTAACATTAAAGCCAATTTTTAATAAAATTGTAGAAAGAAATTAATCCAACCAGTTTGACCACACAATAAGATTTTTGTAAAACTTTCAAATCTTTTATTTTTTTTAAATTAAAGAGTAGATTAGCTCTCCAATAGAACCCTATTATTCTATCATAGAGGTCTAGATTCTGCTGTGCATCAGTATGCTTTTGGTTTTAATGTTTAATTTATAGAAAAACTAAATAATCCCATTTAAATTTTAGCAAACTTTCCACAAAGTTTCTTTTAGAAGATTAATCTTCTACAAACCTCCTACAACTTGCTTAAACCTTCAGTTTTGTCCTATCTTCCTGTAACTTAATTCTTATAGCTGATTATGAACTGCTTTTTGAAAAGGATCAAGGTAAAAACAACTATTGTGCTTTTAACTATTAAAAGCCTCTAAAATATAATTACTTTCTTTTCTGAAAACCAGAAAACATGCTTTCTTATAACTTTTTTTGAAAAGAAATTTTGATTTGTAAAATTTTGCCAAATATCAAAAGTTTAAAACACTTGATATCACGAAATACGATCATACTTTTAATATGCTATGTATGAATGGTAACTCTTAGTAACTCTTACTTTTAGTTAAAAGAAAAAATTGGAGGTAGGTAATTTTAATTAAGTACCAGGTGCAGAGCCCAGGACAGAACTGCAGATAATGTTTTATTCTTCCCAGCATAGCCAGTGGGCATGCCTAGCTCCACATGTCCCCAGGCCTTACCTAGAATCTAATGGCTCTAAAACAAACAAGTCAAACAATTATCAAAAATGTCACAGAAGCAGTTCCTGATCTTAAAACATGTAGCAAAGACAGTATCTGACCTGCCTAATTCAGACCAAATGTCTAAATTCTGAAAATATTTCAATTTTATTTTAACAATAATTTTAAAACTGTATTTACCAAAGATTGCAAAAGTCACATGAACTAAAAGACATTTGAGTTAGTTGGGGTTTTTTTTTAATAAAATATTTAGTTTAAGCACTTATTTTTCTTTCTTTAAGCCAATTAAAACTCTTTCATATATTTTGGTAGTGAAATATCACATACGCATATAAACATATGCGTATCACATACGCATATGTATGTTACATACATATGTATACACATACGCATGTTTATATGAGTATCACATACGCATATAAACATATGGACATAGCAGACACACAGACAGAAGCAGATCTTACAGTTTATAAGACACTTCATTTATAACAGTCCTTATTGGACAGTTTGTAAAGTTTTTCTTACCCATTTTACATTCTCAATCTCTTGATTACTTGTTCACTTCCCTAAACAGTCGTCAGCTGGGCAGCTCTAAATTTACATTTCAAAAAGGACAACTCTTAGGTGAAATGAGATACAAAATTTATATTTTAAAAGCACAGAGTTAAGACATTAGGTGTAAATATTGTAGCATCAGAATTTCTAATGTACACAGGCAGGCACTCCTACATTTAGAGATTTCCTTAAAGATATCAATTTGTTTTACACAGTGGTTTTAAGATAGCCAACTAATTACCAGAGAGTTGCATTTTGGCTTTTTAACTTGTGTCTTAATTAAATTCAGGCTTTAGGTTGGAGCCTTCAGGAAATACAGGAAGAAACAGGGCTAAGAAAGCACAGAAGCTTTTAGCACCTAATATTTACATATGCGAGAAACAAGCATAGCTAGAAGGCAGAATAAATATCCCCAAATCAAGGATCCCATTTTTGCACCAAATCCTGGGTTTTCAAAAAGATGCAAACACTGTGGGATGAGACAGTGCAATATTTTTACAGTGCACTTCACTGTATGGACATTCCCCTGAGGCTGGTGGGCAACTGTATTTAGTCCATTTTCATGCTGCTGATAAAGACATACCACAGACTGGGCAATTTACAAAAGAAAGAGGTTTAATGGACTTACAGTTCCACATGACTGGAGAGGCCACACAATCAAAGAAGATGGCAAGGAGAAGCAAGTCACATCTTACATGGATGGCAGCAGGCACAGAGAGAGGTTGTGCAGGGAAACTCTCATTTTTAAAACCATCAGATCTCATAAGACTCATTCACTGTCATGACAACAGCACAGGAAAGACCCCCCCCATAATTCAATCACCTCCTACCAGGTTCCTCCCATGACATGTGGGGATTGTGGGAGTTACATTTCAAGATGAGATTTGGGTGGGGACACAGCCAAACCATATCAGCAACCCAATGCCAGTTAACCTACTCTGTAATTAGCCCATCTCCCATAGGAATCTTATCCCTCAGTGGGGAGTCAGGATTTTTCTATACCTTCTACATGCTCAAGAGTACACTTTGCTTGAAGCAAATGCCATTAGCTATCTCTGAAGGCATATCTTTAATCTAGCTATTACACATATCAAGGTTAAAAATTTTCTCAAAATACAAAGTAATTACTGGTACCCTCAAAAGCTAAAAAGATGAGACAACACAATGTAAAAGCTTACATCTCTTGAGTTTCCATGATGAAAACAGAGGTTCCTCCAAATGGCATTTTTTTCTGTTTTTCCCAAGAAGTCGCAGGCTGTTAGAAATTATGCTAGGTATGGCTGGGCATGGTGGCTCACGCCTGTAATCCCAGTACTTTGGGAGGCCGAGGCAGGCAGATCACAAGGTCAGGAGATCAAGACCACAGTGAAACCCCATCTCTACTAAAAATACAAAAATTAGCCAGGCATGGTGGCGGGTGCCTGTAGTCCCAGCTACTCGGGAGGCTGAGGCAGGAGAATGGCGTGAACCCGGGAGGCGGAGCTTGCAGTGAGCCAAGATTGTGCCACTGCACTCCAGCCTGGGCGACAGAGCAAGCCTCCATCTCAAAAAGAAAGAAAGTATGCTAGGTCCTCCCATGTGGGCAGTGAAGGTGGCAAGAGAAAGAAGCAACAGATAGAGGTAAATGGGAAAACAGACAGAATTCAATTGACTGAGTTTTTACAGGGAGAGAATAGAGGCCTTAAAACTATATATATACATACATATATATATATATATACACACACACACACACACACACACACATATATATATACACACACACACACACACACACACACACACACATTATTGATATAAATGGCAAAAGTCACACAAATATCAAACCAGAAAGGACTCATTCTCTGAGCCAAAAATTGAATCCCGGCCACCATGGTGAAAGGGCAGAATCTTATTTCATGAACTACATCATGGGGCATTTGCCACTGCTTTTCCCAGAAGGAACCTAGAGCAGCCAGTTTTGAGTTTGTAAAGGAGTTTAGCTGCTCAAGAGAATTCTCCTGGCTAGCCATGGCACTATTATGTGTCTTTTTTAAAAAAAGAAATAATTTTCTCATCAACTGTTTAGAATAAGAGATCTCTAAAATCTATAGTACAAGACTGCTCACACAATTCTTTTTTTCCCCCCATTAATCAAAATCTTGCCAAGGGGACAAACAGTGACTTTTGTCAGTTCCATGGAGAGCACAGAGGGAGAAACCAGGAGCCTGGCTGGTGAGAAATTCTTATCCTTTTGCCAACTCATCAGGCTCCTGGCCCCCAGCAGGGCAGAGTAGCCCTGGTGATCCTGTTCACTGCACCACAGCCGTGGGGGCCAAGCCATGTTATAAAACACATTTTCCACTTCATGGACCGTTAGGAAAAGCCTCCAAGTTTTGCAAGATGCTGCCCAGTGGGTTGCGTGGGGGAACTTAATTAATATTTCTCATTCTGGCTTGAGCTATATGCACATAACAAACCCAGACTCTAGTCGGCCTGTTCAGCACCCAAGTACCAACCTGACAAGCCTCAAACTTGCCACTGTTTGGCCCCTGTTGTCTTAGTTCCATTCAAGGTGGAGAGGGATGACCTCCAACCAGGAGTTTCAATGCGTGGTCTCTGGGCAGGATGGAAGAGCAAATAGTCGCCCTGATTTAGGCCTGCTGAGCTTCTGCTAACAAGTCCTTCAGTGCTCCTTGAATATGACTGATGAGACAAACAAGGAGAGTTTCCTTAGCTTTGCCCGCTGGATTTCCACCAGCAATTCCTTCAGGGGATTTTCTCCACACATACAAATATGTACAACAAGGGAAAGATAAAAGACCTTCAAATCAAAATTGCAAATTAAAAATTTATAAGAATATTCTTCTAAGCAGGCACCCTATTCTCTAATTGGGGAGAAATCTCCTCAAACCAAGACCCTTCCTACTATTTAGTGAGAGCCAACAAAAACCCACAAAGAGCCACAAGACCTTCAAAGAGCCTAACCAACTGAGAGAAGGATATGGTTGTTCATTGTGCTTAGAATATTTACCAGATTTCTTCAAATCCCCTCAAAAATGTATCCACTGCAAAGTAGGTTTAAGCACTGTGGGTTGACTGTGCTCCATTGGCCAAGATGGCACCAGAGGTGGCCCTCAGTCCAACCACTTGGGCTCACCTCCAGATCTGTCATACCAGTGAGAGGCTGCCAAACTGAGGGCAAGTGCCCACAAAGGCTATCCCAGATGAGCCCCCAAATGTGTTACAGCCTAACAAGGTCTTCTTGCCTCCTCCCCAGGAAAGCCAGTGCTCTGAGAACAGCAGCCATTACAGGCAAAACAGCAACAACAAAAAGAGTTGAATAATCACAGGGCCAGCCAAGTGAAAGGATGGGTGTATTTCTCAAATACACCTCCCTAAGAACTCAGAAGCTACAGTTTTTTTAAGGACAGTTTGGCAAGCAGGAGAGTAGGCAAAAGGAATGGTGATTGGTTAGGTCAGGAATAAAATCATAGGTAATTGACGTTGTCCTCCTGCCCTGAGTCAGTTCCTGGGTAGGAGTCACAAGACCAGTTGATTAAGTTACTTTTCTTTCTTTTTCTTTTTAATTTTTAAAATTGAGACAGGGTCTCACTATGCGGCTCAAGCTGGAGTGCAAAGGCATGATCATAGCTCACAGTAACCTTGAATACCTGGGCATAGGGATGCTCTGTCAATCAGTTTCCCAAGGTTTTTGGATTATAGATGTGAGTCACCACGCCGAGCCTTGAGTCAGTTTCTTAGTATGAGTTACCAGTCTGGGTTGCATCAGGTGGTCCATCAGAATGCCAGGTCTAAGAGATACCCAAAACACCTTTCTCAGGTTTTACAATAGTGATGTTATCTATAAGAATAATTTGGGAGGTTACAAATCTCGTCACTTCTGGCTACAGAACTTCTGAACTATTTATTAGTTTTACAAAGGTGGTTTCAGTTCTTGAGTAAGGAAGAGGTTAGTTTCAACAAAGGACTGTTATCATCTTTGTTTTAAAGTTAAACTATAAACTAATTTTTTCCCATAGTTGGAGGAATGAGCAAGAACAGAATGTGAAGTTAGAAGCAAGATGGAGTTAGCTATATTAGATTTCTCCCACAGTCATAATTCTTGCAAAGGTCTTTATTAATCATCATTTTTTGGAACTGAGAAAATCAACAAAAATAAATTTAAATAAAAAATATAGAAATAAGAAAGGCGGGGTTATATTTAATCTTTTAAAAATCTAGGAGGGGAACATTAAACATAAAAATAATTATGCTGATTATCAAGTGAAGTATATTTTGACATATTTTGAAAACATTTACTATTATATAATTAACATTAGTGCCCCCAAACTTACTTTCATCCTTGGTGAATAGAAGCCATTTTCTTTCATTCAAGTATGCGTAAATTGAGAGACCAAGAGGTGTCGTGACACCTAAAATTAAACTGCTTATTTTAAAACACATATTCTTATATGTTTTAGCTAAAATCATCACAGAACATGAGGGGTAAGAAAATTATCAGAGGATATCAGCAATCAGTTTCTCACCCCTATGAAGGATCATTTTACACTCTTAATGAGGCAAAAATTAAAGAAGTATTAAGACAACTACAGTGGAAGCTGGAACAGAGATGAAAGCCTAAGAAGTGTAAAATATATTCTCAGCCAAACACTAACTCCATTAACATAGGAGGATTTGTACTTATATTTTCCTATTCTAAAGTAGCTAATAAATATCCTAAGTCCCATTAGGTCCCATGAGGCCAAATATTTGCTCACTCATCTAGTCCAAACATTCACTGGCTCTACTCTGGACTTGATGTCAATGAGGATAAGTGGAATGAGAAATTCTGTCAATCTCTGAAGTTTTCCTTGAGAGCATTTACCGCAGCTAAAATGGGTAAGAAGTTCATTTAGCAGAATTCACGCTGTGAACTATAACACTGTTCCACTTTTGGACGACAATATTTGGAATAAAATATTTTCTTGAATAAATGTGAAATTAAATTTTAATGTATTCTACTTTTGACTAGTTTGCTGAGCTTCTATAAATTATTATATTTCCCTTTTCTCACTTAAGCTATGTTTTTATGTAACTTTATTTTTCTGCTTTTGCATCTCACTGTATTAACACAGAATTCACCATCATATTTAATAACAAATTAAAATAATCATATTTAAATACTATAGAATAAAGACTACTTTTATTAGTAATAGCCTTAAAGATTTCAAGCTTCTTGTAAAATTATTTTGAAATTATAGTAAAATTATAAATGCAAATGATCAAATAAGCCAATAAAAATATAACCAATAATATCAAATCGGACAAGAAAGGACAGAAAAAGAAAGGTAAGTGGGAGCCGATCAACTGTAAAGTACAAAACAATGCTATAGATTTAAACCTAAAGATTTCAGTAATCACATAAATATAAATGAACTAAATATCTTTGTCAAAAGAAATGTTGGATGAAACAAAAAGGTCATACCCGATAATCTGCAGCTTAAAGGAGGCAGAGGTAAAAATATAGCAGAAAGAAAAAAGGTTGCTATAAACAAACAAAAAATAAATCATGCAAATACTAGCAAAGAGGAAGCTGTGTAGCTACATTAATATTAAACAAATATAATTTATGGGTCACTTCCTGATGATAAATTGTTTAGCCCACCAATGTAACTTCATTTTATTAACAGCAAATACTGAAGCCAGGCAAGGCGGCTTGGCCTGTAATCCCAGCTACTTGGGAGGCTCAGGTGGCAGGATCTCTTGAGGCCAGGAGTTCAAGAGCAGCCTCGGAAATATGGCAAGACTTCACCTCTATAAATAAATAAATAAATAAATATTATATATTAATGTAATATATACATATTTGAAAAGTAAAACAAACAAACAGCAAAAGTTCATAGATTACAATGTGAAAACAAATCCACAATGATGTAAAAATTCTGTTGCTCACTGGTTAAGGTTCATGCCACTGGGAGTAACTTGCTCACACTTCCAGGAGAATCGATTTGCTATCTGGTAACCTCTCATGCAACCAGATGAGGGTGTTTCACTCATATTTGAAAGTGGTGGGCATTCTGGCGTGAGAGGTGTATCAAACAAGAGAGAAAAATAAGGCAAGAGTTGGGAGAAGTCTGAAGGAGCACACAAATTTTGTTTCCAAATGTAAATGCCTAAATGTGCTATTGTACTGAGTATTTTATAATCTGCATGCCTTTTTAGATAAGTTATCACTAAGTAAGTGGAGAAGAAATTATACACTGCTGTCCATAACTCATAAAACATGCAGTAATATGTAATGATTTTATTTAGTTTATTTGGTCACTTCAAGCTCTGATGAAGATAAAAGTTCATTGCCCACAGAATCTACGAAGGAAATATGGGATTGGCCACAAAGATGGAATCATAATGGCCTCTCGAATTACATTATGGCAATGTAAATAAACATTATGCAAAACATCTGCTGCCCTTGCACAACAGCTGCTTGATATAATTAAATACGTTGTGTGCTTCAATGAACAAAATAAGCCAAGAACACAGCAACAACAACAAATCCAGCATTAAGGACACTATGATACACCCACATAGTCAGGTTTTTAAATTGTAAGTCATCATTTATAATTGTCAACAATGTGTTAATATCCCAATCCTCTGTAATTTTGACTTAAATTCTTAAAAATAGTATCACCACAGTTAAAGTGCAAAATCTAAAAAGCAAAGTACAAAATGGACACTGAAAAAGCAGATCAAATACAACAGCAATTGATCTCATTGGGAAAATATAACACTCTCCTCTTGCTGCCCATGAGAATTGAGGCATGTTCTCCTAAATGTAGACGGGCATTGATGCAACCAGAAGTGCTAGTCAACAACCGTTGGAAGAAAGAGGAAAAATTATTAACCACAGGAGGATGCTGAATTCTTTCTTATATTTTCCATTTGAATGTCTAGATTTTAATCCAATTTGAAGGGCTTTTTAAAGGGCAACCAAGATTTGCTGCTGCAAATAAAAAAAAATAAAGAATACAATAGGCAATTCAGAAAAAATCTATTTTCTGATTTTACAAAAAGATGATCTCCACATTTAGTGTATTTTATTCATGTTTAATTAATTTTGAAAACTGCACTAATATTTAGTATGAAATATGTAAAATATAATTAAAATGCAGGTTATAATAAAGTTTTTCTTTAAATAGAACTGAATGTGGATTCTAAGAAAAATCCTATACACAAGTTTATTTACCAAATTACTGTGTCTCTTCAGTTTTTGCATATAACTTTTGTATAGTTAATATTTGCTGTGCCATAATATCAAGCAGGGATACAGATGGAGTAATTTAAACCTCATTCAGAATTCATGTACAGATTAGGAAAATTGTTAATAAATACACTGGAGGGAATAAGGATTATAAAGCATGCTTTAGATCAAGAGATTTTTCTTGCACTATAAATGTCATTCCAGCAAGCACCATATGGCTTAGATTATAAAATCAGGTAAATAAAAAGATTCATGCTGTCAGTGTTTCTATTGTTTAGGGTTATATTAGCATATATTAGCATATATCTGTATATATATGTGTATATATATTAGCATATATATAGATCTATAGGTATATAACTATATCTATATGCTAACATATCTATATAATATAGAGCTACAGATACATATGTGTAGATCTATAAGTATATACTAAGATATCTACTACATATAGATATACAGACATATATTAATTTAAAGATATACATATATCTGCATATCTATATGTACATAGATAGCTTAGCATATACATATAAATCTATATGTAGATATATAGATATATTTATAATCTATACATAAAGATATATATGTACATATAGATATACAAATATATGATAATATATCTATATACATATAGCTATACAGATATATGCTAATTTAAAGGGAGGATTGAATTTAGATAATTATAGATTCTAGATAGCATAAAGCTTATTTCTATTTCTTTTTAAAAATTTTTTTTTTAAAAAGTTTTACTTTAAGTTCTGGGACACATGTGCAGAATGTGCAAGTTTGTTACGTAGGTTTACATGTGCCATGGTGGTTTGCTCCACCTATCAACCCATCATCTAGGTTTTAAGCCCTACATGCATTAGGTATTTGTCCTACTGCTCTCCCTCCCTTTGCCCCCCACCCCCTAACAGGCCCCAGTGTGTGATGTTCCCTTCCCTGTGTCTACATGTTCTCATTGTTCAACTCTCACTTATGAGTGAGAACATGTGGTGTTTGGTTTTCTGTTCCATGTTAGTTTGCTGAGAATGATGGCTTCTAGCTTCATCCATGTCCCTGCAACAGACATGAACTCAGTTTTTTTTATGGCTGCATAGTATTCTATGATGTATATGTGCAACATTTTCTTTATCCAGCCCATCATTGATAAGCATTTGGGTTGGTTCCAAGTTTTTACTATTGTAAATAGTGCTGCAATAAACATACATAAATCTTTATTGTAAAATAATTTATAATCCTTTGGATATATACCCAGTAATGGAACGGCTAGGTCAAATGGTATTTCTGGTTCTAGATCCTTGAGGGATCACCACACTGTCTTCCACAATGGTTGAACTAATTTACAATCCCACCAACAGTGTAAAAGCATTCCTATTTCTCCACATCCTCTCCAGCATCTGCTGTTTCCTGACTTTTTAATAATAGCCATTCTAACTGGCATGAGATGGTATCTCAGTTTTTGTTTTGATTTGCATTTCTCTAATGACCAGTGATGATGAGCTTTTCTTCATATGTTTGTTGGCTGCATAAATGTCTTCTTTTGAGAAGTATCTGTTCATATCCTTTGCCCATTTTTTGATATATTTTTTTTTTGTAAATTTGCTTAAGTTCCTTGTAGATTCTGGATATTCTATAGATGGGTAGATTGCAAAAATTCTCTCCCATTCGGTAGTTTGCCTGTTCATGCTGATGCTAGTTTCTTGTTGTGGGAAGTAAGGGACCCCAAATGGAGGGACCAGCTGTAGCCGTGGCAGGGGAACACAAATTGTGAAGATTTCATCTTAATATGGACATTTATCAGTACTTTTATATACTTTTATATACAATATACTTTTATAATTTCTTATGCCTGTCTTTACTTTAATCTCTTAATCCTGTTATCTCCATAACTGAGGATGTATGTCACCTCAGGACCACTGTGATAATTGTGTTAACTGTACAAATTGATTGTAAAACATGTGTATTTGAACAATATGAAATCAGTGCACCTTGAAAAAGAACAGAATAACAGCAATTTTTATGGAACAAGGGAAGACAACCATAAGGTCTGACTGCCTGCGGGGTCAGGCAAAAAGAGCCACATTTTTCTTCTTGCAGAGAGCCTATAAATGGATGTGCAAGTAGGAAAGATATCACTAAATCCTTTTCCTAGCAAGGAATATTAATATTAACATCCTGGGAAAGGAATGTGTTCCTTGGGGGAGGTCTATAAACAGCCTCTCTAGGAATGTCTGTCTTGTGCAGTTGAGATAAGGACTGAGATACACCCTGGTCTCCTGCAGAACCCTCAGGCTTACTAGGGTTGGGAAAACTCTGCCCTGGTAAATTTGTGGTCAGACCAGTTCTCTGCTTTTGAACCCTGTTTTCTATTGCTTAAGATATTTATCAAGACAATATGTGCACCACTGAACATAGACCCTTATCAGCAGTTCTGCTTTTGCTCTTTGCCCCGTGATCTTTGTTGGACCCTTATCAGTGGTTCTGCTTTTGTCCTTTGTCCTATTCCCTCACAAGCATGTGATCTTTTTTAGACTCTTGTCAGTGGTTCTGCTTTTGGCTCTTTAAAGTATGTGATCTTTGTACCTACTCTCTGTTCTTACACCTCCTCCCCTTTTGAAACCCTTAATAAAAACTTGCTGGTCTGAGACTCAGGCGGGCATCATGGTCCTACCAATATGTGATGTCATCCCTGGTGGCCCAGCTGTAAAATTCCTCTCTTTATATTGTCTCCCTTTATTTCTCAGCCAGCCAACACTTATGGAAAATAGAAAGAACCTACATTGAAATATTGGGGGCAGGTTTCCCCAATAGTTTCTTTTGCCATGCAGAAGCTTTTTAGTTTAATTAGATCCCATTTGTCAATTTTGGCTATTCTATTCTATTTTTAATATTTCTTAGATCAAGTCAATAAATGAGAATGTTTTTTTCAGGGAAAACTATTATTTTTAATGTGAACATATTTTTTAAAGAAATTGTTTACTCAAGTAAAAGGATTCTTAAATTTGTTTTTTGGAAACATTCTAACTTACCATTACAGCCTGTAGATTACCTAATTAAAATACCGCTTTTCATTTAAAATTAAGAGAAAACAATATGTAGAAGTATGTCTGCCTCTATATTTCCACCTGAGTATGTAAAAATAAAGATTCCATCAGTGTGGAGTTTGTTTAGAATAATGACAGTGTGAGTTTTCAATTCTATGTTAAATATATTAGAACACAAAAATGTCATTTTATTTAACTGCATAAATCCTTGTAGCTATGAAATACACATCTTCATTTATAGTCTAAATTTTATAGTAGACTCTGGAAATTTACACGACTTCCAAAAGTATCTAATGACCTCTAGCCACACCACCTCATCAAAAAACAAAAAGAAAAACCACAACAAAGTATTATCTTATAAAGTAATGGAGTTTTCAAAGACAAAATAAAATTTTGGTTAATTTTTATTAAATTATCACAATTCTTTGTATTCATTAACCCAAAGAATATATATTCCTTCAGAATGAGAATAAAATGTCAAGTAATTTCAGAGCCCCAGATTCAGTAAAAGGCCCAAGTTTAATGATCAAAGTTCAATAAAATTCAATATAGTCAGCTCACATTTAACAAATTTAACAGGATGGAAAAAGAATAAGCAAAATATCCCTTTTGATTTCACTTCAGTTAACTTTATGAAAATAATATTAATATTATTTACTAAGGCAACTAGTAGAAATTATGCAATGACAAGCAATTATTTGTGCTTTGTATGGCTGGGCTCTGCTAGGGCCCTTAGAAGTTTATCTCAATTCAACTTTACAACATTTCTATGGGGTAAAATGATGTAATTTTAGTGTCAACTCGATTAGGTTTGGGGATACCCAAATAGCTGATGAAACTTTGTTTCTGCATATGTCTGTAAGTGTGTTTCTGGAAGAGACTAGCTGGCATTTGAATCAGTAGACTAAGTGAAGAAGATTTGTCCTCTCCAATGTGGGTGAGCATCCTCCAATCCATTGAGGACCAGAATAGAACAAAAGGGCAAATTGTCTCTCTGTTCTTATGCTGAGACATTCATCTCGGGTCCTTAGTACTTCTGGTTCTGGGGTCTTTGGACTCAGGCTGAATCATACCAGTGGCTTCCCTGCTTTTCCAGCTTGCAGAGGGTAGATTCTGGGATATCTTGGCCTCCATAATCACCTGATCCAATAGCGCAGTGGCTCATGCCTGTAATCCCAGCACTTTGGGAGGCTGAGGCGGGTGGATCATCTGATGTCAGGAGTTGGAGAACAGCCTGGCCAACATGGTGAAACCCTGTCTCTAATAAAAATACAAAAATTAGCCAGGGCATGGTGGTGAAGGGAGGCTGAAGCAGGAGAATCACTTGAACCTAGGAGGCGGAGGTTGCAGTGAGCCGAGACTGCGCCACTGCACTCGAGCCTGGGTGACAGAGTGATACTCTGTCTCAAAAAAAGAAAAGCGGCCAGGTGTGGTGGCTCACACCTGTAATCCCAGCACTTTGGGAGGCCAAGGTCAGGAGATCGAGACCTTCTTGGCTAACACGGTGAAACCCCATCTCTACCAAAAATACAAAAAGTTAGCTGGGTGTGGTGGTGGGCGCCCGTAGTCCCAGCTATTCAGGAGGCTGATGCAGGAGAATGGTGTGATGGCGTGAACCCAGAAGTTGGAGCTTGCAGTAAGCCAAGATTGCACCACTGCACTCCAGCCTGGGTGACACAGCAAGACTCTGTCTCAAAACAAACAAACAAACTAAAAAACAAACAAAAAAACCCAGAAAAACAAAACAAAACAACAAAAAAAGAAAAGCATCCTTAATTATAATTGAAAGACCTCAATTCCCCATTCTTATCTGCCTCTAAGCTTCAAAGTAAAGAAAAATAATTTATATTCCCCAAACTATTTTTCTCTTATTTGTACCTAAAGTATATCATCAGTGTCAGAAGAAGAAGAAGAAGGAGGAGGAGAAGAAGAAGAGAAGGGGAAGGAGAAGAGGAAGACGAAGAAGAAGAAGAGGGGGAGGAGGAAAAGGAGGAGGAGGAGAATAAGGAGGAGTAGGAGGAGAAGAAGAAGAAGAAAAAGAAGAGGAGGAAGGGGAAGGGGAAGAGGAAGAGAAAGCAGAGGAAGTGGAGGAGGAGGAAGTGGAGGAGGAGGAGGAAGAGAACAAGAAGGAGAAGAAGAAGAAGTAGGAGAGGAAGAAGAAGAAGGTGGTGGCGGAGGAGGAGGAGAAGGTGAAGGAGGAGGAGGGGGGAAGGGGAAGAAGAAGATGGAGATGAAGACAAAGACGAAGACGAAGATGAAGGAGAAGGAGAAGGAGAAGAAGAAAAAGATGTGTCATTCAAATTGGGATTACTTGAGGAGAGTTGGACAAAAGGATTATTTGCAAAGTTGTAGCAGAATGCAGGGAAACCACATAGTTTGGGGCAATATCCTGAGACTAATAAAAAATGAGGAGGAGCAGTGACCTCTCCCAGGCCTAAAGGAAGGAATGAAGGGACCATCACCCTGAACTCTTAAAGAGAGAGACAGAGAGAGACTGAGAAAGAGAGAAAGAGCAAGCGAGAGGATCGCCTGTGACCTGATCAGAGGTTGAAATCATCCACCCTACAGAAGAATACATACCTCAATCTCACTCTGATCCTTTCCTCTGATCACCTTCTTGTCGGTGATTGCCTTTGAATATGGTGTCCACTTAATATGGTCCACACGGGCCCTGCAGCAGCACTCAGCAGGAGGGAGGTGGATGGGAGGTAAATCAAGTGGGTCAAAGGAAGCTGTACCACATCAAGGGTTTTGTCATAGATGATATCATACCAAAGATTATACTCTTTACTTTTCTTTTTTCTACTCTACTCTTAAATAGACTATTTAATGCTATTTTAATTCCACAACAAACATATATAATATATGAATTAATCCAACATTACCTTATAATCCTTAACATGTGGACTTGAATTTCCTATTACAAGAACAGGAACCCATATTTATAGGTTTTAATGTCTCATTTTAAGTACTAGTGTGACTAAGATAATAGTAATTAAAAACTATTTAAGTGGAATGTTAAAGCTATTACAGTATCACAGTAAACAATTGATTCAAGGAAGAAAGAAACATTTTGTATTGACAAGGAATGAATCTAGGAGTCCTGTATAATTGTAATCAAGTAGAATTAAGTTTTCCATTAACACAGTAAAAGCCTAAATGTGTTGTTGCTTTCTTAATTTTAAATATTATTATGGATATAAACTAAATACACCATGAGGGAAACTCTATATTAATTTAATTTGTATTTATTTAGAAACATAATTATGACTTACACACACTGCGGTAAGTGCTTTATAGGTATCATCTCATTAAATTCCCATGATGGCCCTATGAAATGTTATTTATTATGAGTATCATTGCCTATGTACAAAGTCATAGAGACACATGGAAGCCCCATCTGCCTGTTCATTTTTCTCAATTGCTCGAGAACTCCAGAAGAGAAGGGGTACATACATGCATGGGATTCTACAGCCATCATTGCTGATATAAACCCCACATGACATTGACTGACTGAGGATATAGCAATAAACAAAACAAAGTGGCTACTCTCATGGAGCTGACAGTATCAGAGAAATATAAGCAACCCAGATAAAAACAATAATAAAGGTAAAACGTAACGTCAGATATACTGAACCTGATACCTGTCATAAGCATGAAATTCCACACATCAAAAGAGTAATAGACAAATACAAATACTTTCTTACCTGTATTCTTTTAAAATCCTATTTCAAAACAATCAATATGTATTTATCCTTCAAAACTCAGCTTGTGACACTTTGTCATTTATGGCTTCATGATTTTTCTTTCTACGGCCCCCTAACCTGAACACAGCATATATTTGTGTGCAGCGGCATCAAATTTGATATTCTTGGTGAAGCATATATCGATAACTTTGACTTCACATTGAGATCATTGATTCCCATACTGTACACACTGGGTCAGTGACTAGCACACAGTGTGTGTTCAACTCTTCATCTAAACCAGAAAGAATACTACTACTAATAATTACTAACATTAAACTGAGTGCCTAAACATTTGTTTGTGCCAGTAATCCAGTGACAAGTGTCATCATCTTACTGGAGCTGCAGTTGGGAAATATAACCCCCTAGGCCAAATCTGGCTGACTGACTCCACATTAATTTTGGGATTACAGTTTTATTGAAACAGCCTCGGACACTGGCTCTTTTCACACTGCAACGAAGTTGAGTAGATGCCACAGATACCATATAGCCCACAAAGTCAAAAGTATTGACTATCTGCTTTTTTTTACAGTAAATGTTTGCTGAACCCTTCCGCTAGAGTAAAACAGAGGAAATTATTTTATTTATTTACTTCACTTTGTAATTGCATCAGTGGACCTGTTACAGAATTTTGCCATTACAAGGCCAATTATACAAAACTGCGATACATTTGCTTGAACAATGTTGTATCCAGATTATTGACCTTTTTATCCACTATATATAATAATTTAGGTAATAAATTTTTCAAAAAATAAAACTAAATTACATTTTAATGTCATTACACTTATGAGACATTAGAGGAGGTTAATTAACTCATTTTTTTCAGTATTTCAGTATCATGAAATAGTATTTATGCCAATATTTTATTTTCACTCTAAATTACCTATCCCATGGGGATTACAAAAAGAACAGAAAAAAATAACATTGTTTGAGAACACTTTGAAAATCAATGCATATTTTGCACTGGAATCTGTAAATTCAACAATGGTAACAAGTACTTGACGAGCATTATTAAAAAACCTCACATGCACATAAACACCCACTTGTAACTAGCAAATACATTTGCAATGACTGAAAATTAAATGAAGTACAATTGTATGATCAGTTTATCAGCTAATAGATATTTTACAGTTATATATATAATTTCATAAATATGTATTAAAATCGTTTAAATTATACATATGTGTATTGTGTGTGTATAGTGTGTGTGTGTGTGTTAGAGGTAATGCAGGATAGCTTAGAAGACTACAGCATTTTATTAAGACATACTTCAGAGAAAATAATGTAGGAAAGAATAGAAGAGCAATATTTGAATTGGTAATTTTGTTTTCATGTATTATAGAAAGACATGAGTTATGAAATTGAAAGTACGCTCATATAACATGGCATATGGAAACTGCAGATTATATATTTTTCATATGTTTCTTTTTAAATTGTTTATTTTTCCTTTTGATACATAAATATGAACACACACACACACACACACACACACACACACACATCTTTACCGTCTTTTCCCTATATATTAGCAGGCTCCTCCCTTCCCCTAACCTCCTTCCAGATCAGCCCTCTTTCTTTCTTATTTTTTTAGCTTAACAATAATTGCTGAAATAGGAGTTTTTTTCACCCTTATTGAGGTATGATTTTTTTTAAATTTCAACTTTTATTTTAGATACAGAGGGTAAATATGCATATTTGTCACATGGAAATATCATGTGATGCTGTGGTTTGAAATACAGACCTCATCACCCAAGGAGTGAGCACAGCACCCTATAGGTAGATTTTATGCTCCTGCTTCCCTCCGCCCTCTAATAGGCCTAATGTCCAGAATTTATAGGGAACTTAACAAATCAACAAGCAAAAAAAGAAATAACTCCATTAAAAATGGGCAAAGTACTTGAACAGACATTTCTCAAAACAAAATATCCAAGTAACCAACAGACATGTGAAAAAATGCTCAGTGTCACTAATCCTCAGAGAAATGCAAATCAAAACCACAGTGAGATACCATCCCACACCAATCAGAATGGCTATTATTAAAATGCAAAAAAACAATAGATGCTGGTGAGGCCGTAGAAAAAAAAGGAAGCACTTATACATTGTTGGTAGGAATGTAAATTAATCCAGCTACTGTGGAAAGCAGTCTGGAGATTTCTTAAATAATTTAAAACCAAGCTACCATTCAGCCCAGCAATCCCATTACTTAGTATATACACAAAAGGAAATAAATCATTCTACTTAAAAGCCTCATGCACTTGCAAATTCATCACTGCACTATTCATAATAGCAAAGACATGGAATTAACACAGGTGCCCATGGAATATTACACAGCCATCAAAAGAATGAAATTATGTCATTGCGGCAACATGAATGGAGCTGGAGGCCATAATTCTAAGCAAATTAACGCAGGAACAGAAAACCAAATACTGCATGTTCTTACTTAAAAGTGAAAGCTGAACATTGAACACACATGGACATAAACATGAGAGCAATAGACATTGTGGTCAAATGGCACTTAAAAACTCATTAGTTTCAATGTGGAATTTAAAGCCATATCAATGAACTTGTTACCCTGTTACATTAAAATCCACTCATCTTCCCTACTTGTGAATGGATATTGTACCATATATAATTTTCTAGTGTGATTAATCATTTGGAAAATATTGTTTTGATGTGGAAGATTCACATCTTCCAAATGTTGACAGATTTCATTATCCAAAAATAAGAAACAAAATTGTATTTTTAAATATCATAACTCTTTTTATCAGAAAAGCATTAGGTACTAGTGAGCTGTCAAATTCACAATGGCAGATACAAATTTTTAATAATAGGGTTTTCTTTATAAGCTCTAATTCTATCATTGGTAACAAATACTGTTAGTTGTTTACCTTGACAGGCCAGACTCATTTCCCTCATTTTCAATAAGATGTCTGCCAATAATACAGAGATCAGAAAAATTATGTTTTGTCATTTTTTCAAGGTAAATTAAATTGTGTTCTATAAAAACACCAAACACTTATGGGTTTTCCTCGCAACTCACATGATTGCACAGGTGCTTTTCTTGAAATATGCATTCTACATCATTATGCTAAAGTATGTATGCATAGTCTTTTTCATCAAACAGAATATCAAAAGAACATGTACTTAAGGTCAATTAATAAAGTATAATGTGAATTCCTTCATCATGGATATTATTCAGTGAAATGACGTTATTTTTACTATAAGTACATGGCAGTCAACAATACAGTGACTAATAGTACAGCTGGTGCCACGGTTGATTCATGCTGTGAAGCTATTACTTTTGCACCATCCAAACAAATGTCGGTGCAATGGAAAAAGGCAAATATCTTAGTTTTCAAAAAAATCAGAGTGGTAAAAACATCTTCATTTTTTCATGAAAATAATTTTGAACTCATGGACTTGTTGGACCTCAGGACGCCCTTGATTCACAGACCATATGTTGGGTACAAAAGGATGATTTGCCTAAAAGGATTTAAAATGCTAAGTATATTCTGTGCAGATCTAATAAATATTATACTGCATTTATAATATGTATTATTTTGCTTCTTTGAAAAATAAAATGCTGTTACATTTAAAAGTGTAACTGAATGTGAAGGGGCTATTTATATTATTCTCTTCTAACTAACAAATATAAAAATTAAAATATCATATAGCAACCCTCGGCATTCATTTTAAATGTCAAAATTGTTCATCTTATTTAAAAAGTCAAGAATTAGGGAATTTGCTGCTTGCAATGATACTTTCAGCCTTGCTTCTCAAAATGGGTTCCATAGACCAAAATCTCTGCATCACCTTAGATAGAAATTAAGTATGTCAGGCTCTACTTCAGACCTATCAGTTAGACACCACATTTTACCTGGTGCTCCCCAGGTGATTCATCTGCACATTTAAGTTTGAGATACCATGTGTTAAGCTACTTTGTGAAAGAGAGAACAGTCTTTTAAATCCTCTCTGATTTCTTCATTCATCCATTCATTTAGTAATCTATCTATTCTATGAATTACTACAG
The DNA here is from genome assembly GCF_000001405.40 of Homo sapiens. Taxonomy (NCBI): domain Eukaryota; kingdom Metazoa; phylum Chordata; class Mammalia; order Primates; family Hominidae; genus Homo; species Homo sapiens. The sequence continues at coordinate 171,379,179 of NC_000004.12, read as the reverse complement.
TGAGTCTACCTTGTGGTATGCACTCTGATTGGCATTAAATATGTCAATGAAAAAGATTTAGCCCTTATTTTTAAGAGGAGACAGCAAGCAAGCATTTTCACTAAATAGTGCTGAAAGGTGTTTTCCTTTTCTATAAGGTATAAGGGGAAGCAGATAATCTTCTCCAGTAATCTCTGCAAAGAAAGATGTGCACTGAGTTTATTAGTCATGCAGATAATAACCCAACAACATTCTTTCCAGGGTAGGACATTTAAAAAACAGATAAAGTGTGATTGGATATAAGTGAAAGTAAAATAACAATACTTAGCTAAATATCATCACGTAACCATGTTAAATAACAGTTTTCACTCCCACCTACTCTTCAGAAGAATTGAGCAGTGTATTATTGGAATCACAACTCAGTTTCATGGAATTTAAGACAGGGCTTTTCTTTGCAGGCTTTTGGGAAAATCACTATTGTTTTCTTTGTAGCTTTTTATCAGGAATATTCTCAAGTTGTAAAAGACAATCAGGAACCAAGTAGGAAATGATAGGGTCAGACAATAAATACTGAATTCATGAACATTTCTTCTTGTGACAGTAGTTGTCATTTGACAGAAGCAACCTACTGAATGGAGAAAAACTGTCAATCTGCTATGTAGTTGCTGAGATATCCAAACAGGTTGATGTGATATCACTCTGAGTCATTCTTCTAAACCTCAGGGAATGCTGGAAAATTTGCCATTTACAACACAAAATACTTAAGATGGAAAGCTAAGTAATATTATTACCTCCACAACTGCTGGAAAGCTAGCAAATGACCTTTATCTTCACACTGCTTACATGGATATTTTTATAGAATGAATTGCATGGGTGGGAAGTATTGGTCTAACAGCAAAGAAAAAATGCCTTTTCTTGTCTTTTTCTCTCTCTCCTGCCCCCTCCTTTTCACACGTAAACCTAAACTAATAACTTTCTAAGTGCATAACCCATCCCTGCCAAGAAAAGTAGCCAAATATGTTATTGCTATTTCTAGACTTTGGCCCCCTAGCCAAAGGAAAAATTCACATACTGGACACGAGGAAGGCCTGAGTTCTGGGTTGGTCCGACAGAGGTATCTTTCCATTCTTTGATTCCTATTTGACTAAAAATAAATCGACCCAATCATATCTTTGTTCAAGAAGACTGGGGCATGACATACAAAAAAAAAATCTTTAAAATTAGGGTTAGAAATAAAAGCAAAAACAGGGGCAGATAAAGCAAATTTAGACAGTGAAACTGAAACAGAATTATTGAATCTCTAGTGTAAGGAACAGATTTCCTCCCCTGCTTAGTAGTTGCTTCCTAATTATTTTTAAAAATTAAATATATTTAATTGAAAAAAAATTAAATTGGACACTTGCAGCTGCCGTTTGGTTAGTGAAGTTGCTGGTACAAGTTAGAGGTATTGCTGCACGTGTGTGTGTGTGTGTGTGTGTGTGTGTGTGTAAATAAATTTCAACAATCTTCTCTCCTTTGTTCTTTTCAAACTGAAAGCTCTAAACTAAAATAAAAGTAACCAAGAATAGCCAATTAAGTTTGTCCTATACAAAATTGGATGGGTGTGGGGCGTGTTTTCCAATAGAACTACCGCAACTTTGAAGCCTTCCCTTTAGTGGGCAGTCAACACCTTAATAGAGGAATAGGAGGGTAAAGGCCTGGCAGTTATTTTCTTTGATAACAAATCCACAATCAGTTTAATAGTATGTTACTTTTTAAATTTAATATGGCCTGTGCATTAAGCAGTAATTTAACCAAACTCTGTCCAAGCATTTTCTGCAGGTGACCAGCTGCCCTGTGCCTTGCAACAGTGGTTCCCAAATGTAGTGGGTCCTTAGAGAGCAATCGAGTCAGCTTAAGTTGAAGTATTCTGAAGTCCCATCTATTGAGTTCAAAAATTTAAGATATTTGATTCTGTGAGTCTGGGATGGTGGCCCAGGAATATGCATTTTAAAAAAGCATCCAAGATGATGATGTCATAAGTGATCCAGGGGAAAATTTATTGGAACACCATATTCAGATTCATTTTTATCAAAATAAAAAGAGAAGCTAAAGTTTGAGCTATACTGTGTGGAGAATCTGCATCTTTGAGAAGCTGATTTGCAATGTGCTGGCTGGTAACAGAGAAAATAATTATAGCTTTGCACTCTTCTAAGCAATTTCCAGCTCTTTAACATATGGATCCAATATGCCATTAAACAACTTGCTAGCTTGGGGCAATTCCATATGTTTAGAAGAAACATCCTTAGCACCAGCACTCCGTAGTGGTACATCAGTGCAATATGTAGCAGTGGTATCTTTAGGTTATACCAAGCTGCTGAGAGCAGACTGCCAGCAAATGTGTTACTTTCTAGTGATGTATGTTTTCTTCTTTAATCCTGAGGTAGTTTAGGTCTTTAGAAATATGCATAAGATGTTAAGACCCTTTTTCTCTTAGGGAATTCTCTCTCTCTCTCTCTCTCTCTCTCTCTCTCTCTCTCTCTCTCTGTGTGTGTGTGTGTGTGTAAACTATGCAGCATAAGTAACTCAGATCTAGTTGCTTGTTTAAAATGCTTTTATTTTTTATAATTTTTCCTCCTTAATCCTATTATTAACTGAATCACTTTTCTGTTCAAATAGTTTTTCTCTTCCCTTTATAACAGCAGGAGACTTTTCAAATGTCACAAGAAGCCTGGTTTGCTAATGTCTTTTTCTCTCCCTCTTTTTAAACAAGACTTTTGTTGCTTCTAAAATTCAAATCATCAAAAAAAAAATGATAACCATGCCACAGAAAAATCCATCAATTGACCAACAAGGCAATAAATGACTGTACCTTCAAAATGTCTTCAAACATTTGGAGAGAGGAATGGTAGTCAAATACTTGTCGAAATTATGCTTAGTAAATTAGAATGCTTATTAAATAAGTTTACAAATACAATGAGAACTCAATCAATTTTGGTAGTAGAGACATGCTGAAATTTTGGCTATGAGATGTTTCAGGTTGTAATGCTCTGCTGAGTTGCAATAGTAAGTATGAAAAATGCCCTTAGCTGACCCTGAGTTCACAGGTGGAGATAATGATAAGCCACATGAAGGACTCAGTATGAACAAAGCTCATAGGAAAAACTTTTTAGGGTTCAGATTAGCTGGAATTCTTGCAGTCTAAGACCAGTGTCCATTTACTTAATCAGAACAGAAATTAACTGGCACAATGTTGAATGTCGTCGATAAGAAGAAGGCACATTCTTCTAGATTGATCAGGTGAAGTGTATTTTTATTGTTGCTGTTGTTGTTGTCATTGTTACTAAACTAGTGAAGAAATCACAATGCTTAATTAGAAGCTGTCATGCATATTTCATTTCTGAAAGATGTCAATAACATATATAAGACAAGGTCAAACATAGATCCTATTAAAGAGCAGCCTTCCTCCCACATCCATGCCCACCTAATCATTAACACAAGCATGTTTTCTGTGTAGCTCTTTTTCCAGTGATTTGTGAAGGCTATAGCTTTTCTTTACATTAGACTATTGATATGTAAGATGTCTTTTAGGCTATCCAGTAGGACAAAAATATATAGATCAGGCTGGCAGAAGACTTGCTTTTAAGTTGTTACAACTGATTTTTATTATATGTAGCTCTTGATCATAACGTATTTCATTTCTCCCTATTTTGCCCTCTGTGTTCTTATAACTCAGTCACAGATTTGAAGGGATAGGTTCCTTATGAATAGAATGAAATTATGTCTTTTCCCTTATCTGTGTCCATTTAATTACTGATATTTTTATTTAGGGAAATTACCTTAAAATAAGTTTCTGGAAAAAGATTTCTGTTTTTCAGAAAATAACAACAGCATAATAACAACAAGTTACCAACATGCCCTGACGTTAAGGATTTTAATCGAGAAGAGAAGAGAACAAACCATATTAAGGGAATAGCAGGTGTGTGTGTGTGTGTGTGTGTGTGTGTGCACGCACGCTTATACTGCACATGCCTCTTCCCTTTTTTGTTCCTTCTATACAGCTTGGAAACTTAACAGTAGTTTTCTAAGCAGCTATTTTAAAATACCAGATTGAGCAAGAAGCAAGTGAGAGGAAGGGTAACATATCGTATGGCTCTTGTGTATTTTTATTATCTGAAATTGTAGCAACAAAATGAATTCTAATCTGTCCCACTAGCACAGATACCTGAGTCACATTTCAAAGAAGGGCTATAGGCATAAAGATTCCAATTGGATATTGATAAGTTCTAATACCTTAATTTGGGTCTTCTATTTAATTGAAGAACTAAGAGCCAGTAGAGATGTAATCTATGGATACTCATCATTTGTTTAGTAGACATATTATTTAATGTCTGCAGAAATAAATTCCAATACTGCTTAGTTGATTTATTTTCCCTATAGAATCATTTTCATACATTTGTAAGATAATGTTTGATGGGTTGTTTTTCCCTTAGAGGAATCATTTATATTTCTAATAAGATTGCTGACAATTCTTTGTTTTTGTATGACATACAAAACATTTCACAAATTACGTTATGCAAAAGTTTAAATTATACATTCTACTGTTGGAGAAACCTTCTATGAGGAAGGTAAATCAAATGTATCACCAACATGTGTTAGCTTTAATCTTTGCAACAAATTAACTCTCCATTATTCTCTAAACAATAACAACATCCTATTAAAATAAGGTAACTCTATAATTAAGATTCAATTCCAGATGATTACATGTAAAATCATAATGCATATAGCTTCCAATCACAGAAATATATATGCAACCAAATTTTTAAATTATAAAGTGCACAATTAATGTGCAACAGCAGTTAAGATGATATTAATGCCTTTAACATGTGCAAAGTAGTTTTGGAAACAATAGAAAATAGACCCAAATGAATGCTTAGGCTACAAAACTCTTAAGAGGCTTTTAGTGTTTGTAGGTTCTAATATGTTGAAGGAGTTCATCATCACTTATTAAATGTGTGGAAATATAAGTAACTTGTGCATTAGTTCACAAACAAATTCCCACTGATTTGTTTCATGAACCAATAATATGTGCTTTCATTAATATAAAACCTAATTTATGTCCTCTACTATTATGCACACTTCCATGTGATGGTCAGGGATGCATAGTAACTTTAACTGCTATAACTTTAGCACTATCTGATTCATAAATTACTATGGTTGGTAAATTCAGGGCAGGCATTTATGAATTTCAATTTTATGAGAATTACCACCACTGATACATAAAGGGACTCTAATTTCCCTTTAGTACTTTTGATTTGGATGCCAAGAATGTTGGAAATAAACATATCCGATGATATTTTCTTATTATCCTCAAGACATCTTTTTATTACTCCTATTCCTTAACCTATATGGGTTTTAATAAAGTGAAGTGTAACAGTCACCCCAGTGTCCTACAATACGGTTCAGTTAGGACGGGTTCTTAGTGGCAATTTACCAGTCGCAGTGCTAGGTCATTTCATATCATTAGCTTTCTAATAAAAATACTCTTCAGTTGAGAAGTAGGTCAGGGGAAGGCTAATAAAAGAGCAGGAGAAAGAAGAGATAAAAACATGAAAGCATCTGGGAATATACTAAACTCGACTGAATTGTACACTTTAAGTGGAAGAATTGTACAGTATGGGAACTATGTCTCAATACAGCTATTTTTAAAAAAGCATAGAAAGGGCAGGAGGGGTGGAGGATTTTTGAAAAAGCCACAATAATTTCAGTAAATGGTTAGCGTGAACACCTCAGACTCAATTTATGTTGTTTCCATTCCAGTTTTTAACTATATGCATTACAATAAAAATAATCAACTTTTAAACGAAGTCTCACTGGTCTATTCACTTATTTAATATTCTTTTTAGAGTTCTTCGTGTTGAGTATATAATAAAAATAGCAAATATTAATTGCTATAAATATATATTTTGGGCCTCTATCAGGCAAATTATAAAGCTAAGAAGATAATAGAGATTTTTTTCTTTTCTTTTTCAGTTGAACAGTCCCTTTAATTTACTATTATATTATTCTATTATAATTGTCCTTTCTTCAGCCCAAAAATTCCCAAAGTATTTTAAAAGATCTGTCCTTTTGTTAATGTATCCATTATTTTTAGGTAAATATAAATTAAATAATGATATGTAATTAAAGAATAGTCAAGAAATACAAAATGAGAATTAACTAAAATAATGAAAATATTTTACTCTAAGGAATAAAATGTGACGTTACAATTTGTTAGTTTAACTTTAAATTCACGGTTTGCCCTTGCCCAGCCTTTTTTACTATTTTTTACTACTCTATAACAATTTTAACTGATACCTTTTGTGAACAATAACCTTCAGAAATTAATATACTGAAAGTTGAGTGTCAACAACAACAAGAAAAAAGCCTGAATCTGGATTAAATTTTGCATCTTCTAATTATTAGTAATCTTATAAGCCCCTAGTGTGGCTACAGTTTAGAGAATCACTACAGAGGGTCTGCATAGGTCTTGTGTTTTTACACAATGGATTAGAGCAAAAAGGATCCTTGGGAATTCTAAACTAACTCTGAAGAGGAGTACAAAGGATCTCAAAATTTTAAATAATAGCCTTGTTTTGGTGTGTACACACTTCAGATGCTGGAAGAAGTTGAAAATTCAGGCTTAAACGTTCATGTGAACTTTGTAGGTATTTGGAAATGCTAAGACATTTCATTACATATAAACCCAGTCTAGAGTTCAGTAAGTTCATCAACACTTACTGAACCCCTGTGCCTTTTCTTCAGAAATAATAAATTTAATAATTTTTTTTAAATTCCTTAAGAAGGTTCAACATAGTCTTTGCAAATACAAAAGCAGTGGTTAACTATTTAATGCTCAAATGAATTACAAGATATAATTTGCCTCACTAGACACTAGATATATATCACTTCATATATATCATAGAGAATTGTGGCCACTGGGAATAATGTCTCATAATGGCATTTAAGCCATGCCAGGTTTTAACCCATTATCAGGAAATTAGCCTGAATTATTATATAAAGGGGCTACTGTGGGTACCCTGAGGTAGAATGTATACTAATGGAGGCAAGAATTCCAATATGTAGTTGGATTGGATGCTTTCAAACACTTAATTTTATGACTTCATTTTCTCTGTTACATCATCAACTTCTATATTGACAGATAATTTACAGAGGTAAGCATCTGTTGATAAGATCGTTTAGTGGAAATAAGTAGACACGTCTTAATGCACATTCATTAACAGTCAACTAAAAATGAATCAGCATGAGTATCCACACTGATCTAATTAAAGTTCTCCGAATCTATATAAAAAAAAATTTTAAAGTAAGTCTATTTAAAAAAGGATATATGGAAGTAGCTATTTCAGAAGTGGCTTATAATCTTAGAGATTCATACAATAATTATATATTTAATGAAAACATGGTACAATTATTACTGTAGTGGACATAGCATATGTTTAGCCATTGGCATTAAATGCCACTTTAAGTAAAATCAAAGTAAATAGTTGGCAGTGAAGTATCAGAATAAACTGTCTAACCATCATACAATTTTATAAGTAACTGTTTTGTAACTTAACGCTTTTTCATTATTGCAGTCAAAAACAACTACATAATCAAGCATTTTGAAAGAAAAATCATACTTCACAAAATAGTAAAATTAAAAAAACTACCTGCTGCTTGCCAGTGCATATTACAAATGTCAATAACATTTTGTATACTACGCAGCATCTGCAGTACAGAACACAAAGACAGGTGTAAAACACTTCAGTATTTTAAAATGTTTTTGTTTGTGGGCCTCGGGTGTGTGTGTGTGTGTGTGTGTGTGTGTGTGTGTGTGTCTACAGAAAATGTCTTTTTTCCCCTCAGGTTTTGTTATTACCATAAATAAAATTCCACAAAATGATTAAACTAAATTAGCTTATATTGTCTTAGTAAATAAGACAAAAGAAGTGAGTCTGTAATAGACCAAAAAGATTAACTAAACTTTCAAGTGGAGAGAATTTTTATAATGGCATAAAAATGACATTCTGCCCTCCTATCATTATTCTCAAGTTATGATTACATCCTTCCCAAAACAAATGCATAATATTTAACTATACAAGCACATGCACAATTTTTTAAAATATGTAAAAGTGAGTAGCACTCTTATATACAGAAACAACAGGCATACCTAGAGATACTGTGGATTCAGTCCAGACCACCACAATAAAGTCAATACAACAATAAAACAAGTAACAAACTTTTTGGTTTCCCAGTACATGTAAAAGTTGTGTTCACACTAATTGTAGTCTATTGTGTTGTATAGCATTACGTCTAAAGAAACAGTTTACATAGCTTAATTTAAAAATGCTTTATTGAAAAAAAAAACCCTCACAGTCATATGAGCCTTCAGCAAATTATAATCATTTTTTCTGGTAAAGGATGTTGATGGCTGCTGACTGATCAAGGTGGTGGTTGCTGAAGATAAGGGGGTCTGTGGCAGTTTCTTGAAAGGTACAAGAAAGTTTGTCACATCGATTGACTCTTCCTTTCAAAGCAATATGCTTTTCTGCAGCATGGGATGCTGTTCAATAGCATTTTATTCACAGTAGAACTTCTTTCAAAATTGGAGTCAATGCTCTGAAACTCTTCATGTTTGAGCAACTAAGCTTATGTAGTATTTTAAATACTTTGTTGTCATTTCAACAATGTTCATAACACCTGCAGCAGGAGTAGATTCCATCCCAAGAAACCACTTGCTTTGCTCATCCATAAGAAGCAGCTCCTCATCTGTTCAAGTTTTCTCCTGAGATTTCGGCGATTCAGTCACATCTTCAGGCTCCACCTCTAATTCTAGTTCTCTTTCTATTTCCACCATACCTGTAGTTACTTCCTCCACCAAAGACCTGAACCCCTCAAAGTTACCCATGAAGGTTGGAATCTACTTCTTCCAAGTTCCTGTTATTATTGATATTTTAACTTGTTTCATTATTGTTCTTAATGACATCTGGAATGGTGAATCCTTTTTAGATGGTTTTTAATTTACTTTGCCCAGATCCATTAGGAGAATAACTATTAATATCTATATCAGCTATGGCCTTATAAAACATATTTCTTAAACAATAAAACTTGAAAATTGAAATTACTCCATTATCCGTGGGCTTCAGAATGGATGGATGTTGTGTCATCAGGCATGAGGACAACATTAATCTCCTTGTACAACTCCATTAGAGAATTTGAGTGAAAAGGCGCATTGTCAATGAGAAGTAATATTTTGACAGGAAACTTTTTTTCTGAGGAGTAGATCTCAAAAATGGACTTAAAATACTCATTAAATAGATATGCTGTCACTTAGGCTTCATTGTTTGATTTCTAGAGCACAGACAGATTAGATTTATCAGTATTCTTAAGGGAACTGGAATTTTTGGAATGGTAAATGAGCATTGGTTTTAACTTAAAGTCATCAACTGCATTAGCCCCCAGCAAGAAAGTCAGCCTGTCCTAGGATGCTCTGGGGCCAGGCATAGACTTCTCTCACATTATGAAAGTCCTAGATAACATCTTCTTCCAATAGAAGGCTGGTTCATCTACACTGAAAATCTGTCATTACTGTGGCCATCTTCATCAATGATATTAGCTGGATTTTCTGGACAACTTGCTGCAGCTTCTACACCAGCACTTGCTCTTGCTCCTTGATGTTATAAAAAGTTTCTTTCCTTACACTTCATCAGCCAAACTCTGCTAGTTTCCAACTTTTCTTCTACAGCTTCCTCACCTCTCTCAGCCTGCATTGAATTGAATAGAGTTAGGACTTGTTCTGAGTTAGGCTTTGGTTTAAGGAAATGTTGTGGCTGAATTTATTTTCTATTCAGACTATTGAAGCTTTCTCCATATCTTCCATAAAGCTATTTTTCTTTCTTATCATTTGTGTGTTCACTGGAGTAGCGCTTTGGATTTCCTCAAAAACTTTTCCTTTGAATTCACAACTTGGCTAACTGTGGTATAAGAGGCCCAGGTTTTATTCTATTTAGGTTTTCAACATGCCTTCCTCACTACACTTAACCATTTTTGCAACTTTAATAATTTGATTAAAAGTGAGATATGTGTGAAACTTCCTTTCACTTTAACATTCAGAGGTCATTATAGGGTTATTAATTGGCCTAATTTTAATATTATTGTCTCTCATAGAAGAGGGAGGCCCAAGAAAGTGGAGATGGGGGAACTGCCGGAACACACACAACATTGATCACAATTGCCATCTTATATGAGTCCAGTTCATAGTGCTCCAAAATAATTACAATGGTAACATCAAAGATCACTTATTAAAGATCACCATAAAAGATACAAAATGAAAAAAACTGAAATACTGTGAGAATTACCAAAATATGACAGAGACACAAAGCAAGCATACACTATTTGAAAATCTCAATAGAATTGCTAAAAACCTTTAATTTGTAAAAATACAATATGTGCAAAGTGCAATAAAGCAAAGAAAAATCAAAGAGATATACCTATAGCCTAAAACCTTATACCCACAAAAAATAAAAGATCCATGCTAGTAAACACAAAAACAAACGGACTTTAAAATTTCTGCAAAATTGAGGTTAGAAAACCATGGACACTAAAAATCCCTTAATTTGAGAATATTATGTGCTCTGAGTGTCTTAAAAAGTTTATACTCATATTTCTATTCACAAAGAGTTTAAATTGGCTTGATGTAGACTAAAATATTAAAAAATTCTACCTTCAATTTATCATCAAATAAGAATTTTTCTACAAGTATTTGTAGCACTTAGAGAAAGGCAAATTAATAATTTAATGTATTTTAACTTGAAGGCTTAACATTTTTATAATCTTAAGTATGCCTGTGGTTATAAAAAACAAAAACAGCCGGGCGCAGTGGCTCATGCCTGTAATCTCAGCACTTTGGGTAGCCAAGGTGGGTGGATAACGAGCTCAGGAGATCGAGACCATCCTGGCTAACACAGTGAAACACCATCTCTACTAAAAACACACAAAAAAATTAGCCGGGCGTGGTGGCGGGCGCCTGTAGTCCCAGCTACTCTGGAGGCTGAGGCAAGAGAATGGTGTGAACCCGGGAGGCAGAGCTTGCAGTGAGCCAAGATTACGCCACTGCACTCCAGCCTGGGAGACAGTGCGAGACTCCGTCTTAAAAAAAAAAAAAAATCAAAAACAAAAACGATAATGCGCTGAAATTACACGTTAACCCAATGGATCAGAGATGTGTTCATTATTAGAGGAAAGTGCTGTAGAATTTAAAATAAAGAACATTTCCTTTCACCAAGTGATAAAATCTACAAAGAAAAAAACTGATTAGCAAAAATCAAGGTATATGGAGTGAAGTTTCTTTTTTTTTTTCAATTGAATTGGTTATATGTGTTGAGCAGGTTAAAATTGATAGTAGTAAACACTACGAATCAAGGGGAAGTGTGCTAAAAGTGACATTTGAGCTAGTCTTTGCTGAATATATAAATCGACTAATAAAAGCTGTTTCCGGCTGAAAGAACAAGAAAACAGAAACAGAATTGCGAGGCATAAAGAAATATTATTAGGAATCAGGAAGTAAAATGTTTCTAATTCTGTTTCAGCAATGGCAGCCTACAGATACTCCTCGACTTATGATGGAGTTACTTCCCAGTGAGCATATTACAAATTGAAAATAACCTGTTGAAAATGCATTTAATACAACTGAACCACTCAACATTATAGTTTAGCCTTGCCTGTTTGAAACATGCTAAGAACATTTACATTAGCCTACAGTGAAGCAAAATCATCTGGCAACAGTACACTGGAGACTATTGGGAGTTTACCCTTGTCCTTGCCTGGCTGACTGGGAGCTGCAGTTCACTGCAGCTGCCTGCGTGGCAAGAGACTATCCTATCTCATTATTTATTTATTTTTTTCAGTTTCTCCACTATTTTAAGAGCTAACTTTTAATGCTTTTGTATTTTAAGCCTCATTTTCAATCATAACAACACACTAAAACTTCAATAGTGGAACTTTTTTTATGTTCTATATATCAAATAATATGATTAAAGATTTTCAACTCATTTTGTACAAAATTTAAGAAAATTTTGAGTATTAATTTACAAAAAGAAATGTTCTGTATATCTTTAGGTTACTACCATTGATTTAAAAGTTTGAACATCATTTAAATGTTCAAAACTTAGTAAAATTCAGTTGGTGATGGTCAGGAAAGAGAAAGCACATATGCATGCTTAAGTATAATCAGTATTAAATATCAGCTTTATCATCAGATACAATAGAACAATTATTCAGAATATGTGTGTATATACATTTTGAAAACTCCATTTTGTTTCTATTGGTAAAATTTTGCAATTTGAATGCAATTGTGAGTTCTAAGGACACAGGCTTCATACATTTTTAATTTTGTAGAACTATTATTTTTTTCACAGAACTTGGGTTCAACAAAAATTTGTATTTATGTAATTAACAGCTATGCAAATTATTTTATCTTCAATGTTGAAGTTTAAATCTATGTTTATAAGAACACTCACAATACTAAACACTAAATAATGAATAATGACATGGATGAAATCAATCAAAGCATATTTGGAATTAAGTTACTAATTTTTAGTTTAAACCATCTAAACAAACCTATAGAATCTGGCACCCATTCAATGGGGCAAAGTTCAACTGCTAATGGAAGGACATACTAACAGCTAATCTTGCAATTTTAATCATGATCACAAGAAAACTTGAAATGAGTGAAATTAGTTTGCAGCACAGTTATTTGCTCTAAATAAAAAATCCATACTTCATATAGTGATGAACTAAGCCAGCTTTCTACACATGCAAGTGTTAAATCACTATCTACATCTCAATTATTTTGAAATATCTAGTAAATATATATTGATACTTTGCCAGAAGATTTGTGTCTTCTGAATTTCATATAATCAATAACATCACTATAGCCCTCAGGGTAAAGGATAAATGTCAAAGTTTAGGCCAATTTTCATTTGTTATTAATTTTATTTAGGAACTAAAATCCAGCACTAATGTTTAATTCACATTCGAGATATATATATATATCAAATATATATATATATATATAATTTTTTTTTTTCATCTAGGAAGGCAGGGTCCAAAACTCTGCCTCGGATCTGGCTTTCTTTGTCTACCACCTACTTTGGCATTCAAAAGAGTTTGAAATCAAGACCTTTTTTTTTCTATGCCTGTCAGTCTCCTTGAAAATTAACTTGGGCCCCTAACTCTCCAGGTGTTTCTAATCCAGGTATTTTTCTGAACTGCCTGTGGGCTTCTCTATATCCAGCTTGAACTGATCAGAAAAGATTCATTCTAGGACAGCCTTTGGAGTCTGGGGATCTTTTCCCGGCCCACAAAAGCCCACAATGGCCCTCAGTGTAGTTCAATCCTGGCTTGACTATGCCTCCACCCTGGTACCATCTGATGCCATCCACACTAGCACTGCCCCCAATGCAATCTACTAAGAGGTAAATCTAGTCATTTTTCTTCTCCATGAAAAATCTCTTCTCCACCCACTGAAAATAGCTATTGTATGCTAATGTGTAGATAACACTAGGTACTAGTGTGTAAATCATGAGCATCTATTCTCATTAATAGGTTCAGGAGAAGTGGTCTTTTTTTCCTTAAAGGGTGGTGATGTCGCTTGGCATCTAACTTAAAATTTGTGGTGAGGTGTTTGCAGTCAACTTAAACTCACATAAAACCAGCAGGGAAATAGTCCTGTAAAATCTTTAGTTTTCTGATCTACCAACAGGTAACAAAATAGCCCAGTGGTCCCTTGTATAAATTTAAGGGTGTGTAACAGTGAACAATCTGAAATAGAAATCAAGAAAGTAATCCCATTTACAAAAGCTACAAATAAAATAAAATACTAATTTAACTGAAAAAGTGAAAAATCTCTACAATAAAAACTGTAAAACATTGACACAAGAAGTTGAAGACACAAAAAACTAATGACAGTCCATGTTCAGGGACTGGAAGAATCACTATTGTCAAAATGTCCATACTACCTAAAGCAATCTACAGATTTAATGTAATCTCTATCAAAATACCAGTGACATTCTTCACAGAAATAATAAAAACAATCCTAAAATTTATATGGAAAAAGAAAAGACCCAGAAGAGCCAAAACTATCTTAAGCAAAGAAGAAAACATTGCTTGACCTTAAATTATACTACAGTTATAGTAACCAAAATGGCACAGCACTGGCATAAAAACAGACACATAGACCAATGGCACAGAACAGAAAACCCAGAGATAAATGCATACACATCTACAGTCAACTTCATTTTTGACAAAGGCACCAAGAACTTACACTGGGGAAAGAAGTCTCTTTAATAAATGGTTCTGGGAAAACTGGATAACCATATATAAAATAATGAAACTAGACACCGTCTCTTGCAATATACAAAGATCAAGTAAAATGGATTAATGACTTAAATTTAAGACCTCAAACTATGAAACGACTACAAAAAAACACTGGGGAAACTTTCCAGGATACTGCAAAGGGCAAATATTTCTTGAATAATACCTCACAAGCACAGGCAACCAAATCAAAAATGGACAAATGGGATCACATCAAGTTAAAAAGCTTCAGCAGAGCAAAGGAAACAATCAAAAAAGTGAAGAGACAACCCACAAAATGGGAGAAAATATTTGCAAACTACCTATCTGACAAAGGATTAATAACCAGAATATATAAGAAGCTCAAATAACTTCACTGGAAAAAAATCTAGTAATCCAATTAAAAATGGACAAAAGACCCGAGTAAACATTTCTCAAAAAGAAAAAGGCTTACAAATGGCAAACAGGTATAGGAAAAGGTACTCAACATCATTGATTGTCGGAGAAATGCAACTTAAAACTACAATCTTATCTTAACCCAGTTAAATGGCTTTTATCCAAAAGGCAGGTAATAAAAAATGCTGGCAAGGTTGTGGAGGAAAGGAAACTCCTGTACACTGTTTGTGGGAATGTAAATTAGTACAACCACTACAGAGAACAGTTTGGAGGTTTTTCAAAAAACGAATAATAGAGGTACCCTACAATCCAGTAATTCCACTCTTACTTATTTACCCAAAGAAAGGAAATCAGTGTTTCAAGGAGACATCTGCATTCCCATGTTTATGGCAGCACTATTCATAATAGCAAGAATTGGAAACAACTTAAGTGTCCAAAAACAGATGAATAGATAAAAGAAAATGTGATACATATATACAATGGAGTACTATTCAGCCAAAAAAAGAATGAGATCCTGTCACTTGCAACAATATGAATGGAATTAGAGGTCATTATATTAAGTGAAATAAGCCAGACACAGAAAGAGAAACTTTGCTAAACATTAAAACAATTGAACTCATGAAGATAGAGAGTGAAAGGATAGTAACCAGAGGCTTGGAAGGGTAGTTAGGGATGGGGGGCGGTAAGGAAAGTAAATGGGTACAAAAAATAGTTAGAAAGAATGATTAAGATTTACTATTTGATAGCACAATAGGGAGACTATAGTCAAAATAATTTGATTATTCATTTTAAAATAAAGAGTATAATTGGATTGTTTGTAACACAAAAGAGAAATGCCTGAGACGATGGATACCCCATTTACCCTCATGTGATTATTTTACCTTGCATGTCTGTATCAAAATATATCATGGATACCATAAATATATATACTTACTATATACCCACAAAAATTAAAAACAACTACTTTTAAAAATAAAATAAATGTAAAGATAACTGTGTTTGTTTGTGTCGATCTGTTTACTTGGGTTTGTGTGTTAGTTTTGTCTTTTTCTTATGTATATACAGTCTTATTTATAGATGTTATTATGCACAGATTTATATATGCATTTGTCTCATTTTTATGTATATTTTTATTTATGAATATATGTAATGTATATACATTAATATGCTTATATTCTTCTGGCTTGCCTAGGAAAACATGCACTATTTTTGATTGTTGTTTTTGAAATATAAAATAATTTCAGAATAATATAATAAGTAGCTGTCAATTTATATCACAAACTAGATTTTAAAATCCCTGTAGGAAGTACATTCAGACCACTGTCTATATTTTCTATAGGAGGACTTATTAATGTCTATTTCTTGTATATATTTTACAAACACTTGTTATATGATTTACTATTTTCACTGCTGATACTGACTGATTACCCAGTGTGTTAATAATATGGACCACTTGACCATTGGCTGTAGAGACAGCAGGATGGAATACTCCCTCTCTACCTGTATACCTGAAGAACTAACTGTCCCTGGACTCTTGTGTCTAAGAACACTTTGTAGACTCAGAAAATGTCCTTGAAAAGATGATGTTGCTTACATTATGTCTACAAAGATATGGAAAAGAGATATGGTTTACTACTACTCATCTTTGATCTTTATGACTTAATCATGGATTAAAATGCATCTCACACACTACTAGATGAGATCAAGGCAGAAGTTATAAGTATCAGTGGAGGTCTGCTGAATATATTATGGCACATTTTAAAATATTTTAAATAATAATACTTTTATTTAAAGCAACAAATAATCCAGAACAATAGCAATTCACATAGAATACCAAGGCCAAAAAACTAAATCAAGAATATTGCAGGCAAAAATGGGGTGCCTGGTCACCCTAGCTGTAATGCATTTGCATATGGTTTCATGCAGAATGTTTAGCTAAATATTAGGGGACTAGGTTGACATTTTAGTACTATATCAGTATTTTGATTTAATGCTTACTAAGGTATTCTGAAATATTCTAGGCTATCAACCTGCTACATTTTAAAACCTTTAAATATAGAAAGATTGCTTTTCATAAAATATTCTATTATCTTTCTTAACAAATTTGGAAACTATCTTCACAGAGCCACTGCCTTTATATTGATACCCTTGGGAATCCAGATCCACAAGGTATCTACCATTGCATACACTTCTCATATGTCAGATTGTGGCAGGCCAGGTCTCACTAACCCAGGCCTCCATAACAACTGTTTCAGCAGTAACTGAGTGGTTAAGTTAAATATTAAAAGCTGATAGAGCCTGTGCTTTTATACAAAGGCTGGAACGTAATAAAAGCCCACCAAGAGTTTTGCTCAAGCTTTTCCTGGGCCTTGAAGCATGATAAGGTAACAAAGGAATCCTTAACGGGACCGGTTTAGGATTAAAAATGTTTTATTGGGGGTCTGAAGAAACTCCCAAGGCCTCCACAAACAAGTTTACTGGGGGTCTGAAGGAACTCTCCAAACTTCCAAGATTTAGCAGGAGACAAGATAAGGGTAATCACCCCAGCACCTGGACCCGTTTAGATTAAGTAAATGTACTGAGGCTCCAGAGGAAGGTCTTCAGGACTCAGATCTTAGTTATAGATTAGAAGAAGTTAATCACTTATGTCTTTAGATGAATGCACACTTACACGTAGACATATAGCTTAGAAGGTATATAAGCTCTGAAAAATTTGTAATTTTGAGTCGGTCTGGTGATATTTTCCAGACCTTCTCCCTGTACCCAGTTACAGAAATAAGCTCCCTTCTTTCCCAGTTCATCTGCATCTCATTATTGGGCTGCAAAAATAAGCAAACTGACCCTAAGTGCGGTCAGGGAACAAGATGACATTGAACACAGGCATGGTTAATCATAGTCTTATTTGAGTTAGAGTGACTCTGTTCTCTAGGCCTCTTCTCTCAACACTAGGTTTAGAGTAACCCCCATAAAAATGAAAATAATAGTAGAAACTATCATGTATTTAACTCTCATTATTTCTCAAGTACCATGTTATCTAAACTATACATATGATTGCATTTTTTTTCTTGGAAAAACCCTCTTGGGATGCTGTTATTTAAAGCAGCATACAAAGCTCTGTTGGGAGATTACTAGCCTGCTTGTCGTTGCACAAACATCAGAAAAGAGGAATGCTTCAGGCAGCTGAGTGAAACTAGTAGAGGATATTCTGGAGTACTGAGATACTTATTGGTCACTTTCATATTTAACAACATGTAAGTGTCAATATTAAAGGTGAAATAAATGCAAAACCATTGGTACTACCCCTAGACATATGTTTAATATGTCAGCAGATATATTCTTAGCATCAATATTCTAGAGAGATGCTAAAATGTGTACATCTGTGCATGATTAGATATTTCAATTTTAGGGATCATAAGTCTAAAATATGTAGTGCTACCGGATCTAGAGAGATTTTCCATAATACACAAATCAGTCTCAACCATCATATTTCCATAGGTTGAGGAGGACATTTTAAATGTATTCATTCTCTAATCAGACTGTTCTCTATTTTAGAAGATAAAACTGTCTATACGATTATCTATTTAGTCTTTTGTCCCCTTTTCCTTGAGTGTAGCACTCCATGGAAACATGACCTAGTTAACAGCAGAAAAGAAACTATCAGAGAACACACCCATTCCTCATCATTTGAAATCTTTACAAAAATGCCTTTTTAAATAAATCATTCTTGTGGTTTAGGCTTTCCCAATGTCAATGTCATATCCAATCACAAATTTGCATATGGTAAGAATTGTCAGTTTGCTGTCTAATTATAAGTTTACTTATCTTCCAGCTGCAAAGTTTTCATATGTAAAATTTACAAAAGTTTTTTTGATCTACTCCTAAGATTTTAAAAATGAGTGTTTTATATTCTTTTAAATGCTTGTAAGTTAAAATTCAGTGCAAAATGAACAAATGAATCAGAACTAAGATACAGTAGTATATATAATATAAAAACATACATTTTCTTTTAAAGGACTAACCATTATCTCATGCAGAAAACATTTGTAATATCAAACTATCATTTTATCATAGAGCATACTTATAATATCAAGGAATTTAAATATTAATTGACCTTTTATATCTACCACCAGTCAGATACATATTTGATCATACTGAAGTAATGCAGCTTAAAGTTTCTTCTAAATATGGTTTGTAAAATGAAGTTAAATGAATTGAACTGTCATTTTAAGGTTCTTATTATGTAAGAAAAACTATGCTGAAATTGAAATATCAGTAAATCAAGGTCTCATGCTTTGAAGTGGCTTAAAATTTCATGAAAAAAGCAGTAACATATATGCACACTAATGAATATATAAGCAAGATTTTTATGGTCCCATCAAAGAGGGAGAGAAAAATTTATTTTCATGAACCAACAAGCTTCATTTAACACATAACATTTTAACTAGTGGATCAATGCAAAGAAAAGAAAGGCTATTTTAACCCACGAACTAAGGCATAGAGACAAGAAAATATACGATCCATTAAAAGTATTTCCTATACTTGTGTTTGGCTTACTTACAAACACAAAAAGCAAAGAAGAGAAGATGCATTAAATGTGACTGAAAAGATAATGTAAATTTTATTCAGCGGGAATTGGTGAGTATTTGCCTCCCTTTGTTTTCTGTGTTGTGTTTGTTTTTGGAACATGCAAGAGGCAGTGATGATAACTATCACTTAAGGATACTTTTGGTATAAAGATTTCTTAGAGGCAGAGCAAACAGGTAGCAGTCATGTACAATAAGTATTTACGTCCTTAAGTAGGACCATAGCTTCTCAGGAAAAATAATACATACTTTGTATTTTGATAAACCCATGACATATAAGGAAGAAAGATATCAAGCAAAATGACAATTAATCATATACATTGCTAAATCTACAAAAATGCTGAGAACAGCGTAGTGAAGTACTTAATGATTATGAAGGAAACGCATCTTACAAATTATGTACAAAGATTGTTAGTGAGAGTAGCAGAGGAACTAATGATCTCATCACGGCAATGTCTCATGTGGAAACAACATGAGAAGATTCCAAGAAGTTCTATAAGAAAATTATATCCCAAGAAAAAGACTTAAGAACAGGGACTATTGCTAGGGATAAATATGGCTGAAAGAGCTATAAAAATGAGGTCTCAACTAAGATGGATTAAAGTTTTATGCTAGCTATATATATTCTGTTTCTACTTTTCACCTGTCTGGAAAAATAGATCTAATTTTCATCTATTCAAAAAATTTTTTCTTCTCCTTCGTCTCCATATAATTAAACATGAGTTGCTATTTTATTTGGAAAATCAAACTGAGTGCCCTCTTGTAAGGTAATTGCCTCCAAGGATTGACAGACTAAAATCTTCTTAATCACTAACAGGTTTACAGACAGTGATTTCCTTTATGCTGTTAGGCAAGACAAGAGTTTTGCCTTTTTAGACTTACAAAGTAGTTAGCATTAAAGCCTTTGAAAGCTTGTAGGAATGCTAATTAGAGTAATTATGACTTGTTTCACTTGTCTTGGTACACACGTACTTCAATAAATTGATTGGGTGATGCTTGATTCTTCATGCAATCACTTGTATATTTTGTCGGTCTATTTCACAAGCCATTGTCATGTAGAGCAATGGTTCTTAGTACCAGATGTATATTCTGATAACTGTGGGGCTTTAACAATAATGTCAAACCAATCGCAAATTAATTATTTCAGAAAGTCTGGGGATTGTACCTGAGAGCTAGTGTGTTTTGAAATTTCTTCCAGATGACAACAATGTGCAGTCAGAGTTGAGAACAACTGATACGGAAGCAGTAAATATAGCACCAAAGAGTAAGGATAAGGTTTTGAGTTATGCTGTATGAGTTCAAGTCCAAAGGTTGGCATGTATTACTCTATAATCTTGAGCATATCATTTAAATTGTCTATGCTTCTGGTTTGTTGGATTGTTACTGTTTTGTTTTTTCTTGCCTATAATCTCAGTGCTTTGGAAGACGGGCAGGAAAACTGCATGAGCACAGGAGCTCAAGATTAGCTTGGGCAGCATAGAGAGATCCCTATCTTTACAAAAAATTAAAAAAAAAATTAGGCATCGTGGTGCAAGCCTGTAGTCCTAGCAAATCAGGAGGCTGAAGCAGGAGGATTGCTTGAGTCTAGGAGTTCAGCGCTGCAGGGAGCTATGATTATGCCACTGCACTCCAGACTGGGCCAGAGTGAGACCCTGTTCCTCAGAAAAAAATAAATAAATCATTTAAAAAAATTTTAGTTGTGAGATTACATAAAATTTAATACTTTAAATTTGAAATACCTAGAATATTTCAAGTTCTCAGTAATTGAGGAATTATTGTTCTCTATAAACAAAGAGTTGGGCTGGGCGCAGTGGCTCACGCCTGTAATCCCAGCACTTTGGGAGGCCGAGGTGGGTGGATCACCTGAGGTCAGGAGTTTGAGAACAGCCTCAACATGGAGAAACCCCATCTCTACTAAAGATACAAAATTAGCCGGGCGTGGTGGTGCATGCCTATAATCCTAGCTACTCAGGAGGCTGAGGGAGGAAAATTGCTTGAACCTGGGAGGCGGAGGTTGTGGTGAGCCGAGATCGTGCCATTGCACTCCAGCATGGGCAACAAGAGCAAAACTCCGTCTCAAAAAAAAAAAAAAAGAGTTGATATGAATAAAAAATAAGGCGCAAAAATTAAATTTATGCATTACTATAACCATTACTTCTCTCGAACCAAAATTATTTTGTGAAAATACAACTCTATTTAATTTGAGAGTAACAAGAAAAATAGATTGGTAAGATGATACACCACAAGCCAGTTGTCGTGTATGAAACTACATAAATATATATGCACACTACAACTGGCTTGTGATGTATCATCTTTCCAAGGCATTCTTCTTGTTAATATTAAATTATGTATCTGTTCATACATATCTTAGTCTAATATTTATATCTATCTATATATTGAGAAAGATAAAAAATGTTAAACTGGAACTTATACTTTTATACAAAGTAGAATAAAAGGGACTTGCTTAGTTCTATCTGAAACAATAAGAAATTGGACAAAATATGTTATGATGACAATTAAAACATTGGACATAAACTAGTGAAAAAAACAGTAATCTCCCAAAGACAGGAAACAAATGAAGTGAATCCTATAAGTGCCTCAGAATCATGAAAGCGGAGCTGTGAGAGACTACCGGGAGGAACGGTGCGTTCTGGCCCAGATACTGCACTTTGGTGTGCTGTATTCAGGAGACCCATCTCACGTGCAAAGAGACACATAGGATCAAAATAAAGGGATGAAGGAAGATTTACCAAGCAAATGGAGAGCAAAAAAAAGCAGGGTTTGCAATCCTAGTCTCTGATAAAACAGACTTTAAATCAACAGAGATCAAAAACAAAGAAGGTCATTACATAATGGTAAAGGGATCAATGCAACAAGAAGAGCTAACTATCATAAATATATATGCCCCCAGTACAGGAGCACCCAGATTCATAAAGCAAGTTCTAAGAGACCTACAAAGAGACTTAGACTCCCACACAATAATAGTGGGATACTTTAACACCCCACTATCAATATTAGATCAACGGACAGAAAATTAACAAGGATATCCAGGACTTGAACTCAGCTCTGGACCAAATAGACATCTACAGAATTCTCCACCCCAAATCAACAGAATATACATTCTTCTCTGCACCACATTACACTTATTCTAAAGTTGACCACATAATTGGAAGCAAAACATTCCTCAGCAAATGTAAAAGAATTGAAATCATAACAGTCTCTCAGACCACAGTGCAATCAAATTAGAACTCAGAATTAAGAAACTCACTCAAAACCACACAACTACATGGAAACTGAACAACCTGCTCCCGAATGACTAGTGGGTAAATAACAAAATGAAGGCAGAAATAAAGATGTTCTTTGAAACCAATGAGAACAAAGACACAATGAACCGGAATCACTGTGACGCATATAAAGCAGCATATAGAGGGAAGTTTATAGCACTAAATGCCCGCAAGAGAAAGCAGGAAAGATGTAAAGTCGACACCCTAATGTCACAATTAAAAGAATTAGAGAAGCGAGAGCAAACAAATTCAAAAGCTAGCAAAAGACAAGAAATTACTAAGATCAGAGCAGAACTGAAGGAGATAGAGACATAAAAATCCCTTCAAAAAATCAACAAAACCAGGAGCTGGTTTTTTGAAAAGATCAACAAATAGATAGACCGCCAGCCAGACTAATAAAGAAGAAAAGAGAGAAGAATCAAATAGATGCAATACAAAATGATAAAGAGGATATAACCAGTAATCCCACAGAAATACAAACTACCATCAGAGAATACTATAAACACCTCTATGCAAATAAACTAGAAAATCTAGAAGAAATGGATAAATTCCTGGACATGGACACATACACCCTTCTAAGACTAAACCAGGGAGAAGTCAAATCCCTGAATAGACCAATAACAGGTTCTGAAATTGAGGCAGTAATTAATAGCCTACCAACCTAAAAAAGTCCAGGACCAGACGGATTCACAGCTGAATTCTACCAGAGGTGCAAAGGGGAACTGGTACCATTCCTTCTGAAACTATTCGAAACAAGAGAAAAAGAGGGACACAACAAAAAAAAAGAAAATTTTAGACCAATATCCCTGATGAACATCAATGCGAAAATCCTCAGTAAAATACTGGCAAACTGAATCCAGCAGCACATCAAAAACATTTATCCACCACAATCAAGTCAGCTTCATTCCAGGGTTGCAAGGCTGGTTCCACATATGCAAATCACTAAACTTCATCCATCACTTACACAGAACCAATGACAAAAACGGATTGGTTATCTCAATAGATGCAGAAAAGGCCTGTGACAAAATTCCATTCTCATGGATAGGAAGAATCAATATCATAAAAATGGCCATACTGACCAAAGCAATTTATAGATTCAATGCTAACCCCATCAAACTACCATTGACTTTCTTCACAGAATTGAACAAACTACTTTAAAGTTCACATGGACCCAAAAAAGAACCTACATAGCCAAGAAAATCCTAAACAAAAAGAGCAAAGCTGGAGCCATCACACTACCTGACTTCAAACTATACTACAAGGCTAAGTAACCAAAACAGCATGGTACTGGTACTAAAACAATAGAACAGAACAGAGCCCTCAGAAATAACACCACACATCTACAACCATCTGATCTTTGACAAATCTGGCAAAAACAAGCATTGAGAAAAGGATTCCCCATTTAACAAATGGTGTTGGCAAAACTGGCTAGCCATATGCAGGAAACTAAACTGAAGCTGGATCCCTTTCTGACACCTCAAATGAACTCAAGATGGATTAAAGACTTAAACATAAGACCTAAAACCATAAAACCCTACCAGAAAACCTAGGAAATACCATTCAAGACATAGGCATGGGCAAAGACTTCATGACTAAAACACCAAAAGCAATGGTAAGAAAAGCCAAAATTGACAAATGGGATCTAATTAAACTAAAGAGCTTCTGCACAGCAAAAGAAACTATCATCAGAATAAACAGGCAGCCTACAGAGTGGGAAAAAATTTTTGCAATCTATCTATCTGACAAAGGGCTAATATCCAGAATCTACAAAGAACTTCAACAAATTTACAAGAAAAGAAACAAAGAACCCCATCAAAAAGTGGGCAAAGTATATGAACAGACACTTCTCAAAAGAAGACATTTATGCAGCCAACAAACATTTGAAAAAATGGTCATCATTACTGGTCATTTTTGTATCACAAAAATAGACTTTAACTCAAAAACTGTCATAAGAGAGAAAGAAAAACATTATGTAAACATAAAAGCAACAATTAATTAGAAATATATAAATTATAAATACATGTACAACTAACATAAAGCATATAAAGCACATGGTGAAAAAAACTAAAGAGACAAATAGCAATTAAATAATAGCAGGAAGCTAAAATATTCTACTTCTAATTATGGATGGGAGATTCAAACAAAAAATAAATAAGGAAATAATGGACTTGATCAACACTGTAGGTCAAATGAACCTATCAGAAATATACAAAACATATCATCCAACAGCAGCAGAACACACTTTCTTCTCAAGGAAACATGGAAAGCAAAACCACACATGTGGGGCTTCTGTAAATACATAATTTAAATTAAATATGTAATTTTTATTTACATAAGTAATTTGCTTTTTTCTAAAATTGTTACAACTTAAACATGGAAAGTTTATTCTCCTGTCAAGAACTGTTCAATACATGCTAAAATTACTACTCCAAGCAGAACAATCAACTTTTAAATGGCCAAGTCACTGAGTCTTCTCTTTTTTGTAATAGGAGGATGACAGAATGAAAATTTCTAGATGGGGTTTTATTCGTAGAATAACTCGGATAGTATCTTTGTGGGTTGATTTAGGGGGGAAAAAAAGAAGTCAACATGAATTTGAATATTGCTGTGTCCGCTTTATGGCTACTGGACATTTAAGTAGGAAGAAACATGAAGTCAAAAAAATGATTCCCAACTTCACTTAGCTAGCCTGTGATCTTGGGTATTCCCTAAGGTCATTTTCCTAAGCTTTACTCATTTTTTTTTTTAAATGAGGATAAGAATTTCTGTTCTCATGTACTTCCTGTGATTGCTGTAAGAAACTAATAAAGGAGAGATTAATAGAGAATTTTTGGAAACCCTCCAAAAGCACTAAACAATTTGAATAAATTCAAGAAATCTCTATTTTCTCTAGAACTCAATATCACTTTTGTTTATGCCACTCCTTTTAGTGTAAAATGGTAGTACTGTTTTACTGTGATGTTTACTTCTGTTACACATTAGCATGTGCTTGAATTAGTATCACTCACATTTTTCACAGGAGAAAAACTGAGCTGACTGAGGGTAAAATAATATTGAAGGCTACATAGCTAATAGTAAAAATCAAAACTCTCCTTTATCTAGTTATGAAGAGTGAAGTCCTTCCATATTTTTGTGAGATGACTTTGGTTTTAAGATATGTTATTTTTCCTTCCTCCTCTTTTCTCTATTTATCTTCCTCTTTCCTCTGATATTGACTATAAATTAAATAATCATTCTTTGAACCAAAGAAATAGAAATCACTTTCTTCGTTTTACTACAGGATTTGGTTTGTCTCAGCCCAGTGATTTTTTATTTGCTTGATATAGTGACTGCATTTTCTGGCCAAACTTCAATTTTTATGCCTTTTATAATCTCAGATTCCACCATCTCTGCTAGGAATATACTTAATATGACATGTGAACAATATTCCTTTGAATATATTTTAAATTACCTCTCTTAAGCTTACCAACCTAATGTTCTAGATTTGGTTAATGAACAAAGATGCAATCTAGTCTTATCTAGTTTTATTTGTATAACTTTATTTCCTTTTTCTTTTTCTTTTTTTTTTTCACAAGGAGGGGCATGGCTATTAAAGTCTATGAAAAGCAATCTTGATCTCTCCTTCCTTTCCTCCCTTCCTTTTTGTTAAGATACAATAATAAACAACACAATTTATTCCTGGCAACTGTGAGCTACCATTATTTCTAAGGTGTTTTGTAAGAATTTGTGTGTTTTATTTCAAATACTTTTCTTTTTGTCATTAAAATTATATAAAACATTTTATTTAAAACTAAAAATGCTTCAGCAGAATGACAGTCCCATCTTTGTACAATGGTACAACATTTTTCAAGCCACTCCTCTGCCTTTTTTATATGATTTCCTTAGATTTTTGCATCCCTTTGTTTTCTGTTACACTAATATTTCTCAGTTTCACCATGAACATTCCCTGACACAGAATAGAATAAGCTATTTCTTTAATGAATCCTGATAACTTAGAGTGGGCATATTATTTAGCAATGAAATTGTGTTACGATGAAGTGATATTCAAGATGAGATATTATTGCTTTCATGTTCTCTCAGTAAGTGAAGTTAGAATTTTAAAAATCACATATGCACATTGATAGTTTCAATTCACTTTGATAGTTCATGCTTTTTAATTGAATGCAGTATCCAATCAAAATAAAAAACCTCTAGAAGTTATAAACACTGAACATTTAGGTTACAATAAATATATTTGAAAAATTTCTTTCTGCAATAATAAATTAACCTTAGATTACTGTAACTTTTTACTTTATATAATTTAAAGATATTTTTAACTTCTTAAAATATTTTGTAATAACATAGCTTAAAATACAAATGCATTTTACACCTGTATAAAAATATCTTTTTCTTTTTTACCCTTATTCTATAAGTCTATCCTCATAGAATAATTATTCTATAAGTCTATCCTCATAGAATAATTATTCTATAAGTCTATCCTCATAGAATAATTATTCTATAAGTCTATCCTCATAGAATAATTATTCTATAAGTCTATCCTCATAGAATAATTATTCTATAAGTAAACAACAAAGTGTAGTTTTAAAAATGTATTACTGAAAACAAAGACACAAACACACACATTGGCCTAGGCCTACACAGGGTCAGCATCATCAATATCACTGTCTTCCACCTCCACATTTTTTCCCACTGGAAAGTCTTCACGGGCAACGACAGCCATGGAGCTGTCATCTCCTATGATAACAATGCCTTCTTCTGGAATACCTTCTGAAGGACCTGCCGGAGGCTGTTCTACAATTAACTTTTTTTTTTTAATAAATAGGAGTATTCTCCAAAATAATGTTAAGTACAAAAACCAGTAACATAGTCATTTATTATCACTATCACATATTATATACTGTACATATTTTTATGTGCTATACTTTTATATGAATGGCAGCACAGTAGGTTTGTTAACACCAGCACAAATACAAAGACATGAGTAATGCATTGCGTTATGATACCACAAGGTGACTGAAATTTTTCAACTTCATTCTAATCTTATGGGACCATCATAATACATGTGGTCTGTCGCTGATCAAAACGTCATTATGCAGTGCTTCACAGTATTGTTAACTGCAGGAAATCTCTACTTTGCCAGGTGATGCTGTGGTTGAAAACTTTTTCCTTGAGCAAGGAGCCAGGAGTCCTTGCCTGTAAGTCATGCTGCTGCAGCAGTTAGGACCACTGCTGTCATATTTTGCTATACAAAGTTTTAAATTTTATATACTAAACATTATTGATATTTTCCTTTATTGCTTCCAGAGTTTGAGCAAAGAAAGGCTTTATCTATCCCTCAGTATAAAGGAATTTTGTGCTTTTTCCTCAGCTAAATCAATGGTTTCAATTTTGCATTTAGATCTAGAATGAGTTGGGAATTTATTTATTTATTTATTTATTTATTTATTTATTTATTTATTTATTTGATAGAGTCTCACTCTATCAAATGCCAGGCTGGAGTGCAGTGGCGCAATCTTGGTTCACTGCAACATCCGCCTCCCAAGTTCAAGTGATTTTCCTGCCTCAGCTTCCCGAGTAGCTGGGACTACAGGCGTGTGCCACCATGCCCAACTAATTTTTGTATTTTTGGTAGAGATGGGGTTTCACCATGCTGGCCAGGATGGTCTTGATCTCTTGACCTCATGATCCACCCACCTTGGCCTCCCAAAGTGCTGGGATTACAAGTATGAGCCACCATGCCCGGCCAGGAATTTATTTAGTGTAAGTTACAGAACCAATGATATCTTCTAACCAATAGTTATACACTTCCCTCAGTATCATTTAACTTAATAATTCTTTGTTGCCCATAGATGTAAGACATTGTATTTATAATAAATTAAATTCCCAAATGAATTTGTTTAGACACAATTATTCGCAGGTGCCTGCATTTCTGTGTCTTTTTAAGGATATTTGCATAGCAAACAAATTTGGGGGACAGAAACATCTCCCCTTGGAGCAAAGGACTGCTATGTTTGCTTTCTATTATAAAAGATTTGGGTTTCTATGCTCAGGGTTATCCTCCTGTAGGCCAACCCCTTTTGAGAGCAGACATCATCTGTCTATTTTTACGTTGTTTTGTGGAAATTTGGATTTGAGGAATAGACACAAATAATGCTGCTGCGACTACTGTTATTGCTGTGAGAAATATACTATCTTTCATCTCTGACCCAGAAGTCTTCTACTAGCATTAATGAAAATATGGCAGGATTACCCATTAGTTTGAATATAGGTTCACTGTTTGTCATTGTAGTTACTTAAATTACTTGTGAACTTGGTTTTGTATTTTACTAGTTTTGTATAAAAGGATAAATACTATATCATTTGAATTCTAGGGTCTTTATGGTAGGCCGTGACATCTTGTAAGGCTAGAACTTCTTCATGTCCCTGTTTTCAGATTTTCCTGGCTATTATTATTTTATTTTATTTTATTTTATTTATTTTTGAGACAGGGTCTCACTCTGTCACTCAGACTGAAGTGCAGTGGTGTAATCTCGCCTCACTGCACCCTCCACCTCCCAGACTCAAGCAATTCATCTGCCTCAACCTCCCGAGTAGCTGGGATTACAGACAAGTGCCATCACGCCCAGCTAATTTTTGTATTTTTAGTAGAGATGAGGTTTCACCATGTTGGCCAGGCTGGTCTCAAACTCCTGACCTCAAATGATCCACCCACCTCAGCCTCCCAAAGTGCTGGGATTACAAGCGTGAACCACTGCGCCCGGCCCTGGCTATTATTTTTTTTATTGGGTTTTAAAAATATACCTAAAATAAACTTATAAAATATCAGGGGAAAACAATAATATTTTATTGGCGCCTTAATGTACTAAGGTAATTAATTAATTTGGGATAATTAGCTTTATGAAATTGAATCATTCTAACCATCTTCTAAAACCCCCATTTTTTCCCAGTTTTACAGTTGCAACATTCACCATAGTTTAAGAATTTTCTTATACATATTTACCCATTTCTCAAAATATTTCATATTATTTTATGTTTTTAAATGTATGCGTTATATAGGTATTCTACTAATACATCTTACTAGTTATCTGTATATATGAAGAATACTGATTGTTATAGTTTTTAAATGTAATGTTACCTTATTGAATTTTCTCATTGTTTATATTTTCAATTGTTCAATAACTGCTTCGGCTCTTCAGGCATACCACCATGTCAAAGATATGTAAAACTAGAGAAAGTTTTCTCTAGTAAACTAGGGAGTTTTACATATCTTTTTACCAGTCATTTATGTTTAACTTCTTTTTCTCCTATAACTGTCTTGGCAAATTCTCCCCACAAAATATCAAATAGTAATGATTATATTGAGTGTTCTCACCTTTCCTCTTTTTGGTAAGAAAGTCCCCAGTTTTTCTCCATTAATTAAGATGTTGCCCTTTGAGGTCGATATATGTAATACACAAACATTCTCAAATACGTAGGTAATCAAGCTTAGAAAGCATCTATTTAGTCCCATTGAGTGCTTTTAGCATGGATATATATTGAATTTTCTCAATGATTTTCAGTATCCATGGGAGTAAGTGTTTCTTTAATTTATAAATATAATCAATTTTAATGGATTCCTATATATCAAACAGATTAAACAGATTGGTATTATCTGAATTTCTAAACCTTGGTGGAATTCTTTTTTGAAAGTATGTAGGGCTGATTCTACTTGAGGAGACTCTTCTGACAACTTTATCGATGTCTTTTACGGATGTGCTCAGGGATACCCTATTTTTGAGTTCTTACATGGTCAGTTTTTTAGTAGCTTTGATATATACAAGACTGCTTGGCTAGATATCCAGTTCTTGATACACATTTTCTTTTCTTGAGCTTTTTGAGATATGGATCCCCTTTTATTTTACTGAAACTTGTTGAAAAGCATGGTATCAACCTGATTTTGTTTTTTAGTCGTTTCTTTGAAAGTTAGTTTTTTTGTTTGTTGTTTGCGTATAGGCCTAGAGTAGTTTTTAAAATATTGTTAAAGTGATAAAGTATAATAATTTTCCTAGAGTATGTTTTGGGTCTGGCTTTTTTGGGTGACTTTTCTCTTACAATTGTGTTTTTACAGGGAACCTTTTATTTTAAGATACTTGTACACTCTGAGGGTTTCTACTTTCTCAGCTTCATTCTCTGAGGAGATGTGTTGATAGGCGGCCTCCTTATTCAGTAAGCAATAGACCAGTGGAGTGTGAGACTGGGCTGTCCATTCTATCTGCAGACAGAAGTGGACTCTGGGGAAATCTCAAGGCGCAGTGTTCCTGGGAACAACAGAGTCATAAATTCTAACCAGGTCAAAGGAAACAGCATACTGCAAAAGGCACTAGCTCAGAATAGACAAGTATGCATGATAGGTTCCTGATGCTAGGGGATCTTGAAAACATCCAACTGAAAGAGAATAGGCTTACAGGTAAAAAGAAGCTAGAATTCCACAAATATTATATGGTTTTGTTCACGTTATCTAATGTACTGAAATCCACCATGGCTTCTATTTTTAGACAAATTCTGATTTGCCTCAGTTTTATAGGAGAGGGCAAGGAGAAACTTTGCTGAGACATGGTAATACCTCATATAGAGACAAGAGGCTTTCTGTAAGATGGACGAGCTGGCTAAATCCCTCTGACTACATCTAAATTGACTGTTTTCCACATTCTGGAAGGCACATCTGCTCTGTTTTGGTTGGCTTATACACATGTTCTCAGAGCGAGGACAGTGGGGTTTCTCCAACCTTCTGAGTTTTTCAGAAGATTTAGGGTGTTTTGTTTCAGACATTGGCTGATCTTATGCTACTACTTTTATTCATAATTTCTCTCCTTTTGATTACAGGAATTGTGTCAACAAGTTGACTTAGACCAATGTAAGTGACAATTCAAAATGTTGTTAATATGTTTTCCTTTCCCCAAATGCACCTTTCATACTTTTAGACCCTGACCCGCATCTACATTTTGCCAATAAAGGCACCTTAGCAAACTTGATCAATAGTTTTTCTCTTTCTTTTTCATTAAGGTAAAGTCCCTATGAAATATTCCTTATTTATGTGTCTTGAACACTGTTGAAAATATTATTAAAATGAATTGATGTGGAGGTCCAGAGAGAGAGAATAGAGGATCAGCTAAGTGCCAATCACTAACTCTATACTTACCCTACCTTGTCCCATCATGGAATTTGCCACTACAGTGGATCCACCATATATAAAAGTCAAAACAAAGAGAAAAATTAATAAACAGAAAGAAATATTGATAGTTGCCACTTTGCTTGAATGAAAGAATCTAGAATCTGTAAGGTTTAATTTGAAACCAAGGATAAGTTATGGTGGTGAACAGAATTGTCTCCCCAAAGAGATCCACATGTTAATACCTGGATCCTATGAATATGTTATGTTATTGGCAAAGAGGAATTAGAGTATGAAAGTACACTTGCTAATCAGCTGACCTTAAAATAGGGAGATTATCTTTCATTATGTAGCCAGGCACAATGAAATTGCTAGGTTTCTAAGGGGAAGGAATGGGGCATAAGAGGAGTAAGAAAGATGTGACTATGAAAGAAATGCAGACAGAGATACAATATTGCTGGTTTTTACATTGGAGGAAGGGGCCTCCCTTTGCCCTAAGGAATGTGGCAAAGTTTAGGAGCTGGAAAAGGCAAGGAAACGGATTCTCCCCTAGAACCTATGAAAGGGAACACACCCTGCTGACAGCATGATTTACTCTAGGTAGACCAATGTTGAATTACTCATCTATAGAACCGTAAGACAACAAATTTGTGTTGATGTAAGCCACTCAATTTGTGGTAACAACAATAGAGACCTTAACACAGTTAAGTGTTAATAGAGAAGTTAACGCAGTGATTACTGAATTAATACTGAGTGAAACCATCTTCTTCAGTAAATGCTATTGTCCCCTAGATTTAAATTGTTTAATTGTATCTAGAGATGTATTCTTTATGGAAAATCATGTTTTTAATCTTTTATTTTTAAGTGGCTTTAATCTTAATTATAATACTTTGAAAGTACAAAAGCAACAAAATTGTTACCAATATTTATTTATTTTTACGTTTAGATTTTAACATCTAGCTTGGGATTTAAGTTGTGTATATATATATATCAACTTTTACTATATAAAAACCAGATTTTATTTTTTACCAAAATTGCAAAATAGAGAAAATTAAAGCATTAAAACATACATCTGAGAAAATAGAAAATGCATGTTTAAATGTGAAGTTAAAACTTTATTTATGTCAGTCAGTAACAATTAGGTAACACAATTTATGCAGGAAATTTAATTTATAGCATTTATTCTGTACTTGCAAATGTTGCTAAAAGCACTGAGGTGAAAATAACTTACAAGTGTAAATGTTTTTTCTCACTTATTAGAATAAGACCAAATAGGGAAAAGGGTATAATTTCCATTACCTAATCTTTTCACAGAACCAAAATCTTTAATTAGTGCTATGATAGTGTTGAATGCAATAAATATTTTACTAAAATTAGATAAAATTTAAATAACTTGGACATTTTACTTTTTGTAAAGCTCTACTTTAAAATATATATAAAAGATAAAGGCTAACAAGAGTATGTTGATAACACAGTTATGCAATATTCTTATTGAATGTTAACTAATTTAAAATTTAACATCCATCATGTAAAGTCAGGACATATTTATTATGTATTTTTTAATTATGTAGCACAGTGATTAGGATTACAGGCGCTGGAGTCATTTGGCCTTGTTTTAAAGCCTGTCTTCTCCACTTTCTAAATGCATGAGTATGGATGTGTTCCTATAAAACTTTATTTTCGGACACTGAAATTTGAATTTTATACAAATTTTACGTGTTGGGGAATATTATTCTTCTTTTGATTGTTTCAGCCATCTTAAAATGTATAAACAATTACTATCTGGGTTGTCTGCACACATTTAAGCAACAGACTGGATTTGGCCTGCAGGCCCTAATTTGCCAGACTTTAATTCAGAAGCTGTATCATCAGGCTATCAGATTTATAGTCTTAAAGATCACTAACTCCCCTTGTTTTTCTTCTTAAAGATGACTTTCAATAATAATCATTCTTCACGCATCTTGTCCATCATAAATAGACATTCTGGGTAGCAAGCACAGGTTAGATTGATTATAGTACTTTGAAGAAAACAGTCATTCTGAATATTATATTAATGGGATTTCAACAAAAATGAGTCAGTGGAAAAGAGCTGGATCACCTCGGAAGACTAACAAAATCAAGTTGCCTGACCTACAAACATGTATACTTAGCTCTGAAATGTAACACCCATTCCATTATATTGTGTCCTTGTAGGTCGTGGGTCAGCCAGCTGACTTCCACCAGGGCATTATTTTCTAAACATAATATAAGCTATTGCGAGAGTATGCCAAGAATTATATCACTATTTCCAATAGATATTCTCATCTGTGACAACAATATTACTGTTTTGAAATATACTATATTTTTAAGGTATTTGTATTCAAACAAAGTATCTCTAAAACATAAAATGTAGTTCTTCTTCTAATTATTAAATACAGGAGAAATAACTGATTTTCAAAATTATGCATCAAATGTAAGTTGCAAAGTTGTGTTGCTTTTATATAATTTATAGTAACCAGAAATGTTAAGCCTATTCCTAATAGCACAATAAAGATAATTACAACATGCATTAGGCAGGTGAGTTTTATAATTTTAAAAACAGGATGAGTAAAATTCTGGAGGATCAAAGCAGGAAAAAAAACAAATATACATTTTTTGAAGTAATTTTCTGATTGAATAACAATATCAACATTCATACTCTATGAATTAAAGATTCATAAAAAGCCAAATTCTCTAAAAGGATTACTTGATCAAATGGACTATACTGTTAGTGGAGATTAGAATAATAGCTATATAATAAGCATATTCATTTATTGAAAAATAGCTACTGAATACTCAGTAAGGCCAGGCATTGAGCCAGATTTAGAAGATAAAATGCCTCCCACTCTTTTGTATCTCATAGTTTAGTAGGAAATATAGATTAGAAAAAAAATTCCAGGAGGAGACACTGGGATTAACATTTTGAAGGTTGGATAGAAGAACACATAGAAATGGCAAATACTGCAAAATGAAATATAACATATTTTTACTGAATATATTTCAGGTTATTAGTTTATTCTTTTTGAATGTTAGAGGTTTACTACTCAAATTAATGAATAATTCTAAAATATAGAAAACATTATTTTTTAAAGAACCAAGAAATATTTCAGCAATTAATATAATGTCACAGCTTCTTCCACTGTGATCTTTAAACTAAATAGCCAAATGCTTAAATATTCCCATATACTTGATATTATTCCTATAAAAACTGTAATTTGTTGAATTCAAAACTGTTTCCAGGACACTTGTCAATAAAACTGACAGTCTAATTTTCACTGAAAGTGAGACTGACAGTGAGGAAGCCCTACATTTTATTTTTAGCTCACTATTCATTTACTTTATTCTCTAGATAAGTATGTGTATGTATATGTATGTGTGTGTATATATATATGTTGTGTGTTATATCTAAACATATATATATAGAACCTATTCCATATCAAAAATATGATCTATTTTTCAAATGTTATTTGCACAGTATTGTGTAGATATTTTATTGTACAGTGTTCTGCAGTATTATGGAGTTTGGTTTTATAACTGCATAGCCAGTAGTGCTTAGGGAGGCATAACCATGATTTTAAATTTATATTGTAAATGATAGAATAATTTATAAATATAGAGCTGGTAAAAATGGGAGTTGCTTAATATGTAACATTGAGAATTTTACATTTCTGTTTTATTTTAAGGTCTTGTGTGGTCCTGGGAACATAGTCAGCCCCGTTTACACATTGCTAAATTTAGATGATATTGTCATTAAAATGAATTACATATTTGAATACACTAAAGATATGGATTAATTCCTCTTCCCTTAATATTGGTCAAATTATATTAAAACAATGTTTGGTTAAATTATATTAATATATTATTTCCAGTATTTCTTATGTGTTCACTCCATTGTTGCAGATACCCCCAGCTTCAAAATAAAATGTTGATCATTGCTTTAATAAAAATGCTGAAATTAAAAAGATTTCCAATCTATGTTGAATCCTATTAAAGTATAATTTTATTTACTAATTATTTTGATATATATTAGCATCCTTAGATTTCTAAACCCATAGTATTGAAACAGTTAAACTCTTATTGTTCATTCAATGCCTAGCTTCAAATTACTTACTTTACTGAGAATAATCACAAATAACACCTCACAGATAAACTGTGTGGATTCCAGTTACCCTCTAACTAAATAAAGAATCCCTTGACTTTATCATCCTACTTCCTAACTCAATCATTAGCATATTAACATTTTTTCTGAAATTTGCAATGGGATTTTGATTATTTGTTTAGGTGTGTTAAGGGGAGTCTAAATTGGATAGTAATGGCAGTTAATGTAGGATTTTCTTCAGTAAAAATTGGGACTTCTGTTTACTCAGTGGTGAATATAGATTTGAATTATGAGAGCCAGAATTTATGGTTTGCATGAAGAGGATGGTATGGGATTAGGCAATGTGTTTGGTTTTCCTCAGGATGCAGAGCTTCCTGTCATACGGAGGGCCATATGTAGCTGTCGCCTAATCCTGTTTCTCAAGTTCCAACTCCAACTGTGAAAGTCTTCTATGACATAATGTCCATTTCAGAGGACTGGATTTCTGGCTTTAATCTTAAAGAAAAGTGCTGGGGTGCCCCATAGGTAGGAGCTCCATGGTCCACGGATTGGTGATGGTAGAACAGCAGCAGGAGTTAGAGGAAATTTGGTGACAGATGGAGGACACAAAGCTTCTCCTGCAGCTGTCAGCAGAAGACTGCAGACTGCCTGCTTGGGGAGTCCTGAGCCGTGGCCAGGATATTTTAGTTTTTAAAATAACAAAAGGCATTAAATTTTTTATAGAAACAAACAAACAAACAGCAAAAGCTATGCTGAATCCTGCTGATTTTTTTTTTTTTTGTAGATTATTAGGTAAATTTCAGTGCATTCCACCTGTGTCTTAATACTTCTTATGGAGAGAGTTCAGATTTGGGATGAAACTGACACAAAATACATTATGGAACACAAAAGAGATTAACAACACTCAAATGTCAAATGACTCAAACCTAAATAGTCTAATTTTCTTATAAATACCCAGGTTCGAGGATGGGTTATGTATTAGCCAATATGGGCATTGTCTATTAGGAAAAAAATGATTAAATTCTCACTCTTTGTAACTAAAAATATTTTAATGAAAAATACATGAAATTAACTTTCTCATTTAAAAGACAATTTTATATTTCTGTTTTATTTTTAGCACCTCTGTGGGCATGGGGGCATAGTCAGCTCAATTTAAACACTGCTACACTTTGTTGATATTGTTATTTAAATTAATTACAGGTTTGAAGTACAATAAAGGCATGGATTAATTCCCTTTCCCTTAATATTGGTGAAATTATATTAAAGCAAATGTTTATTTAAACTATATTAAACCACGTTTTCAGTATTTCTTATGTGTTCCATCCATGATGTGCTCTATCCTAAAATTAAATGGTGCCTGGGTGCAGTGGCTCATGCCTGTCAATCCAGCACTTTAAGAGGCCAAGGCAGGAAGGAGTTTATCAATTGAGCCCAGGAGTTTGAGACCAGCCTGGACAACACAGTGAGACTTTGTCTTTAAAAAATATTTTTAAATTAGCCAGGCGTGGTGGTATGCACCTGTAGTCCCAGCTACTCAAGAGGCTGAGGTGGGAGCATCACTTGAGGAATTCGAGGCTGCAGTGAGCTATGATCACGCCACTGCACTCCAGAGTGGGAGACAGAGCAAGATTCCATCTCAAAAAATAAAAACCAATCAATCAATAAATAAATGGGAACTAATTTACCTAATTCTAAGTCCTTATTTAAAAAAAAATCTGTATAGGTAATACAAGCCTCTTTAATAGAAATATGTTTTTGAGCCAAATAATGCATATCAATAACCAATGGAGCATGAATTATTAATGTGATTTTTTAAAGACAATTTGACTAAAACTTAATCAGGCCCTTAGATTTCCATAGCAAATTGTTCCCTGATATGGACTCCTTAAAAGTACAGTAGAGTAAAATTTCTTTTGCAGATCCAAGATAGATTGAGACTGTTAAAAACTCATAAAACTTTGCAAATGTCCTGAAAAGTTAGGAAAATGAAACCCAAAAGAGCACCCATTTCAGCATAGCACATGGATTTTTATTTAGCCATTTTTTTATTTTAGTATTTAAATGGTTAGTAAGGAACGTAGTAGGTTGTAAGGTGACAATTTAAATAGTGGAAACTTTGAACACTAGATACAAAATCCTCATAGGTCCCACTCCATATGGTCAGAAATGAAAATGGGATAGTAGGTTTATAATATTGTCTTGAAATTATAGTGTTTCATATTTTCAGAGAGCAACCCTATCTAAACCATACAATACCGCTGTGCGATAGGTAAGTATTATTGTCTTTTTGCTGAGGAATAAGATGTTCCATAGACGTTAAGTGACTTGCCAGAAGCCATAGTGCATTACAGCTGCCAAGCAGGGATTGGGCCATGAAAGCCTTTGATTCTCAGGAATATGCTTAGAATCTACTGGCAGTTGAATCAAGACAGTAGCTGTGCAACTATAATATCCTCCTTTTAGTGTTCACATTTAAAGACAGCTTTTACAGAAGATTTCTATTAGGCAATAATACTAAGAAGTAAAGGAAAGTAGAAAGAGTGGGAAAATGGCCCTGCAATATATAAAGGATCCCAGGAACACTTGGACAGCACAGCACAGCCTGTTATAAAATGTAATACAAAAATTTCTTTGTATTTATCTATTGCTAAGTAACAAATAATGTCAAAACTTATTAGCTTGAAACAATTGACTTATTATCGCTTACAGCTTCTGCATGGTAGGAGTTTAGGATGGACTAGGCTGGGTAGTTTTGGGTCAGGCTCTCATGTGCAATTGTAATCACGTGGTGGCTCACGCGGGAGCTAATAATGGCTAGCCAGGCATTTCTCTCCCTTAATGTGGTCACGTGACCTCTCTATGGGATCTTTCCAGATGAACTATTTGGCCTGTTAGCCTCAGGGTAGTCATAATGCTTATACACTGGCTCAGGGCTTCAAATAGAGTGTTCCAGCAAGCAAGGCATAATTTGCATTGCTTTTTCTAATGTATTATCAGAAAGCATGCGGTGTAACTTCTGCTGCATTCTATTGGTTACAAATGAGTCATGTCAGCCCCTGCTCATTCAAATGAAGGTACATATATGAGGATTTCTGGGAACAATATCGAGGTCCCATTATATATTAATTTGCAGAATGAAAGCTATGCTGCAGCCGTATTTGTATAATAAAATCCACTATAACATCTCACAGAAATAATTACATAAATGATTGAGGAAGACATTTCATAGGTACAAAATACATATGTCATATTGACAATGGCAGATGTGTAATTGCAGGATCCTGCTCTGAAGAAAGCCTATGAGGATAGGAAGCTTATACAATTATCCTAAGATTACTGGGATACTAATTCCTTTGTAAAGATGATAGTTCGAAGTAGATTGTAGTGTAGGAAACAGGGCAGAAGTTGAAAGTTGTAGGGAATGGAGCTTTGGTTCCAACTTGGTATTAATGGTGTTTAGTAGGCATTAAAAGAGGTTTGAAATGCAGAAATGTTAAAGGAAGGCGAAAATAAACCCCTTCTCCTTTTGAAAGTGATTGAATGTATATTTTGGGGGTATTCTACCAAATGTGAATTTCTGAATATAATCTGCTATCCACTAGACTTTCCATGCTCTCTGCAACTTTACCTTATATGAGAAAATTCAACTGATTAGTTCTCCCATACCTAAAAATTACCAGTTATTGAAGAACTGTGTAAACTCTTATAACAATGTCCAGCAATAAGTAACCACAAAGAGAGTGTTGATTATTATTTTTCATGTCATCATCATCACAATAATCATAATCACTCCTCAGAGTCTTCACTGATCCTTCAGTTGCAATATAGGTTTTCCCATTGTGTGCACCTGGTGTCCTCCAAATGTTGGCATTTATGAGAATTGTTTGTTTTTCTCTTCTGCTACATGGGAATCTTTATAACATTAAGGAGAGTATCTGCCTTGTCTTACATTTTATTCCTAATGAATACTGAAGACTTTTTCTTTTATTCTATTCCTTAAAGCATATCATATCATATCATTCTTTAAAATAATATTAAGAATTATAGGAAATGTATATAGTTTTTATATAGTTTTCCTTACTAATAAGATGAACATAGCATATATAGTATGTTTGTGTGTATATATATGTATATATACATATGTATAAATATCTGAGTTCAGGTTGCACACAAGTTGCAAAGAACAACTCTCTAGAGAAATGATCTTGATAAATGCGCTTATGAAGCATCTCCCCTGATGTTAGTAAAATATGAATGCCCAATGTTTTAGTTATCTGAGCTTTAGGTAAGATTTTATATGACTACTATAATGGCTTAAATAACCTTTTTGTTTTTCATGTCATAAAAACACATTCTGTCCCTGCAAATATAAATTATACAAATTTACTGTGATTCTGTGGGACAACAATCTTTTCAGGTCACTCCACTCATAATTACAACTAATTAAAATGTGCCAAAAAAAGGATAGAAATTTATCACTGCTCATTAAACCTATAAAGACTGTGTTAATTAGATGTCAGGCTCCATAACTCATTTCAGTGTTTGCTGCCAGTCTAATTTTAGAGAAAAAGGAAAGTGAGCTTTGGAATATTCTGGTTGGGATTTTAAAATTGTTTTAAAAACATGTATCTTTGGAGAGACAACAAATTTGCAGCTTTCTTATGGACATACTCATCATCAACCATTGGCCTAAACAAATGACATAAATTAGCATAATATTTGTTGACCTTTAACTGATTTATGTCTACAGAAAGTCTGCAACACATTTGCAACATTTGCAAAAATTTTAAGAGTCTACATATTTTAAACACCTTATCTTTTTAAAAGTCAAGCAAAAATATTGTTCAGGGTCATTGTATTCAGAAAAATAAGTATTTTAATTGAAGAAAAAATTTTTTCTTCACACAGGATACTATATATATATATACATAAATATACTATATATGTATACACACACAAACGTATATATTCTAGTATTAAATTCTGCTATAAAAAGTATGCTTTGTATGAATAATAAAGAACTACATGAGAAAAGTAGAGTGAAGTTGCAGGAGACTCTGATGTGGTTATGGATAACAAGGCTAGTAATATGATAATAAGCAAAGTATAAAAATGGCTCATTTTCTTTACCCAAAAAGCAGGTGTAGAGTGAACCATCATGTGCAGGACATATAAGAATTCCAGAGCCACAGATGTGCCAGGATCCAGGCAGGAAGCACTGTGAGTCTTTAAATTATTGGTTAAGTATTTCATGTATCTGACTTTTTAGACCTAGATATCAGACATATTCTATCATAATTCCTTGGCCTTTTTTCTTATGTCTTTTCTTCATATGTCTCAAACAATTTAGGTACTCTTTTTTGCTGTTTAAATATAAATATAAATATCCAACTGTTTATATATTTCTTTATACATATATATATTTTCTTTATTATACTTTAAGTTCTAGGGTACATGTGCACAACGTGCAGGTTTGTTACATATGTATACATGTGCCATGTTGGTGTGCCGCACCCATTAACTCGTCATTTACATTAGGTATATCTCCTAATGCTATCCCTCCCCCCTCCCCCCACCCCACAAAAGGTCCCAGTGTGTGATGTTCCCCCTTCCTGTGTCCAAGTGTTCTCATTGTTCAATTCCCACCTATGAGTGAGAACATGCGGTGTTTGGTTTTTTGTCCTTGCGACAGTTTGCTGAGAATGATGGTTTCCAGCTTCATCCATGTCCCTACAAAGGACATGAACTCATCATTTTTTATGGCTGCATAGTTCAAACACAAACAGTTTTTGTACAATTTATACAGTCACTCTCCAAGTATAAGAGGCACCAGAAGGCCTGAGATCACCTAAGCATGAATGTATGAACTTACGTATTTGCAGAATATTTCTGTAACTCAACATGGCTGTCAGAGCTGAAATTCATATCTTATGTTTAGCATGATTTTTATCAATTTGGATGATGTAGGTTATAGACATAGGCAGCGAACATGGAAAGAGGGCAGTCAACCATTCATTTGTTGAGATTTTTAACATGATATTTTTATCATTGTTCAAAATGATGGCTTTAGTTCAGTTGATTTTTTCACATAATAATAATCTTTTTTAAAAATGTCTTGAGTGTATATTATGAATGAAGAATTAGTTAATTCTCCTTTGTTTTAACCTGTTATCCTTGGAAATGATATTTTCTCTAAGATAAACAAAAGACAAAGGAGGTGTTAAACTGAAAGCCAAAGGACTCTTTTTCTAAGCTATTAAATGCCAGCAGCAGAACGTAATTAATTATCTCAATTTTTCATTATTTTAGTAGGATAGCCATGTTTTCTTGTTTTGTTTAGTCTTTAGGTTTCTAATCTGATTTTGGTTTTTGATCTCTACCTCTCCACTTAACCATTCTTGTAGAGACCTCTGAGACTTTTCTGCTGACACAATCAGTGGACCATTGAATAATCACAACCTTTATGTTACTCTACCTGACAGTATTAGTTAATCCAGGCAAAACTTCTGATATGTGATATGACGTATCACATTGATTTACATAGCTTGAACCATACTTGCATCTCTGGGATGAATCCCACTTGATCATGATGAATAATCTTTTTAATGTATTGTTGAATTCAGTTTGCTAGTATTTTCTTGAGAAGTTTTATAACCTTGTTCATCAGAGATATTGGCCTTTAGTTTTCTTTTTGTTGTTGTTGTATATTTTTGTCTGGTTTTGGTGTCAGGGTGACGTTTGCTTCATAGGATTACTCTGGAAGTACTCCTTCCTCCTCAATGTTTGGATAGTTTCAGTAGGATTGTTATTGGTTCTTTAAATTTGGGGTCAAATTCATCAGTAAAAACATTAGGTCCTTGGCTTTACTTTAAAGGAAGACATTTTATCACTGCTTCTGTCTCATTATTTTGGATTTCTTCATGATTCAACCTTGGTAGATTGTATGTGTCTAGGAATTTATACGTTTCTTCTAGGTTTTCCAGTTTATTGACATACAGTTGTTTATAATAGCCTCTGATTCTTTGAATTCCTTTGGGATCAGATGTACTGTGTCATTTTTCATTTCTGATTTTATTTATTTGGGTCTTCTCTCTTTTTTCCTTAGTTTGGCTAAAAGATTGTTGATTTTTTAAAAATCTTTTCAAAAACCCCACTTTTTGGTTCATTGATATTTGCATTCTAAGTCTTAATTTTATTTATTTATGCTCTCATCTTTTGGTTCATTGATATTTGTATTCTTTTTTAAGTCTCAATTTTATTTATTTCTGCTCTCATCTTTATGATTTATTTTCTTCTACTAGTTTTGGGTTTGGTTTGCTCTTATTTTTTTAGTCCTTTAAGATGCAGTGTTAGGTTGTTTATTTGATTTTTATTATTTTTGATGTAGCTGTTGATGGAAATTGCTAGAAATTCCC
This sequence comes from Homo sapiens, assembly GCF_000001405.40. Lineage (NCBI taxonomy): Eukaryota > Metazoa > Chordata > Mammalia > Primates > Hominidae > Homo > Homo sapiens. Next base: position 171,335,887 of record NC_000004.12, on the reverse strand, counting down.
CTCTTAGTATTGCTTTTGCTGTATCCCATAGGTTTTGGGTATGTTGTGCTTCCATTGTCATTAGTATCAAGCATTTTTATTTTTTAAAATATCTACATAGATTTAGTGGTTGATAAGGAACATATTGTTTAATTTCCATGTGTCTGTGTAATTTCCAAAGTTCTTCTTGATATTGATTTCTAGTTTTATTCCATTGTAGTCAGAGAAGATACTTAATATGATTTCAAATTTTTTGAATTTTTGATACTTGCTGTGTGGCCTAATATATGGTGTATACTTGAGAATATTCCATGTGCTGAGGAGAATAATGTATATTCAAGAGTTGTTGCATGAAATCTTCCTAAATGTCTGTTAGGTCCATTTGGTCTGCAGTGCATATTAAGTCTGATGTTTCTTTTTTGATTTTCTGTCTAGATGACCTCTCCAGTGCTGAAAGTGGTGTGTTAAAGTTACAAGCTATTATTTTATTAGAATGTATCTCTCCCTGTAGCTCTAATAATATTTGCTTTATATGTCTGGATGCTCCAGCATTGAGTGCATATATATTTAAAATTGTTTTATCCTCTTGCTGAATTGAACCCTTTATCATTATATAATTACTATACTTGTCTCTTTTTGGTTTGTGGGCACTTGGGAAGGTTTGTAACATAGGTAAACATGTGTCATGGGTGTTTGTGGTACATATTATCACCCAGATATTAAGCCCAGTACCCAATAGTTATTTTTTTTCTGCTCCTCTCCTTCATCACACCCTGCCCCCTCAAATTGACCTTATTTAGCTCCCACTTATAAGTGAGAACATGCAGTATTATTTGGTTCTCTGTTCCTGCATGGGTTTGCTAAGGATAACTGCCTCTACCTCTATCCATGTTTCTGCAAAAGACTCTTTTTATGGTTGAATAATATTTCATGGTGTATACGTAGCACATTTTCTTTATCAAGTCTATCATTGATGAGCATGTAAGTTGATTCCATGTCTTTGTTATTGTGAGTAGTGCTACAAAGAACATTTGCATGCATATCTCTTTATGGTAGAATGATTCATATTCCTCTGGGTATACGCCTGGTGATGAGGTTGCTGAGTAAAATGGTAGTTCTGCTTTTAGCTCTTTGAGGAATCGCCATGGTGCTTTCCACAATGGTTGAACTAATTTATACTCCCACCAACAGTGTATAAGTGATCCTTTTTCTCTGAAACCTTGCCAGAATCTATTTTTGACTTTTTAATAATAGTCATTCTGACTTGTATGAAATGGTATCTCATTGTGGTTTTGATTTGCATTTCTCTAACGATCAGTGATGTTGAGCTTTTTATCGTATGCTTGTTGGCCACATAAATGTCTTCTTTTGAGAAGTGTCTGTTCATGTCATTTGCCCACTTTTTAATGGGGTTGTTTATTTTTCTCTTGTAAATTTGGTTAAGTTCCTTATAGATGCTGAATATTAGACCTTCGTCAGATGCATACTTTGCAAACATTTTCTTTCATTCTGCAGGTTGTCTGTTTACTCATCAATAGTTTCTTTTGCTGTGCAGAAGCTCCTAAGTTTAATCTGATCCTACTTGTTAATTTTTTGTTTTGTTGTGATTGCTTTTGGTGTCTTTGTTATGAAATCTTTGCCCATTCCTATGTCCAGGAGGTTATTGCCTAGGTTGTCTTCCAGGGTTTTTATAGTTTTGGGTTTTACATTTATGTCTTTAATCCATCTTGAGTTGATTTTTGTGTATAGTGTAAGGAAGGGGTGCAACTTCAATCTTCTTCACATGGCTAGCCAGTTATCTCAGCACCATTTATTAAATAAGGGGTCTTTTTCCATTGCTTGTTTTTGTCAGCTTTGTCAAAGATCAGGTTTTTGTAGATATGCAGCCTTCATTCTGGGCTCTCAATCTATTCCATTGGTCTATGTACCTGTTTTTGTACCAGTAAAATGCTGTTTTGTTTACTGTAGCTTTGTAGTATAGTTTGAAGTTGGGTAACATGATGCCTCCAGCTTTGTTCTTTTTGCTTGGCATTGCCTTGGCTATTCAGGCTTTTTTTTTCCAGATGAATTTTAAAATAGTTTTTTTCTAGTTCTGTGAAGAATGAAGAATGTCATTGGTAGTTTTATAGGAATAGCCTTGAATCTGCAAATTGCTTTAGGCAGCATAGCCATTTTAATGATATTGATTCTTCCTGCTTTCCACAGTGGCTGAAACTAGTTTACATTTCCACCAGCAGTGTGTAAGTATTCCCTTTTCTCTGCCATCTTACCAGCATCTGTTATTTATTTTTTCTTGTTAATAGTAGTCATTCTGGCTGGTGTGAGTGGCATTTCATTGTATTTTTGATTTGCATCTTCCTAATGATTAGTGATAATGAGCATTTTTTCAATATATTTGTTGTATATATATATGTCTTCTTTTGAGAAGTCCCTGTTCATGTCCTTTGCTCATTTTTTAATGAAGTTATTTGCTCATGCTTGTTCAGTTGTTTACATTCCTTACAGTTTCTGGATATCAGACCTTTGTCAGATGCATAGTTTGCAAATATTTTCTCCCATTCTGTAGGTTGTTTGTTTACTCTGTTGATAATGTGTTCTACCATGCAGAAGATCTTTTGCTTAATTAGGCTCCATTTGCCAATTTTTGTTTTTCTTGAAATTGCTTTTGGTGTCTTTGTTATAAAATCCTTTTTACGTCAAGGGTGATGTCCAGAATGGTATTTCCTAGGTTTTATTCTAGAATTTTTATAGGTTTAGGTTTTACATTTAAGTCTTTAATTTATCTTGAGTTAATTTTTGGTTTTGTTGATCCTTTTTATGGATTTTTGAATCTCAATTTTATTCAGCTTGGCTCTGGTTTTGGTTATTTCTTTTCTTCTGCTATCTTTGGGCTTCATTTCTTGTTGTTTTTCTAGTTCCTTCAAGTATGATGTTAGATTGTTTATTTTAGATCTTTCTAACTTCTTGATGTAGGTGTTTAGTGCTGTAAGTTTCCTCTTTACACTGTTTTGTCTGTTTCCCAGAAATTTTGATATTTCTCTGTTTTCATTTATTTCAAGAAATTTTTAAATTTCTGCCTTAATTTCATCTTTCACCCAAATATCATTCAGGAGTAAATTCTTTAATTTTTATGTAATTGTGTGCTTTTGAGATATCTTTTCTGTAATTATTTCTATTTTTATTCCACTGTAGTCTGAAAGTATGATTGGAATGACTTTGATTTCTGTGAATGTATTAAGACTTGCTTTATGGCCAAGCATTTGGTCAATCTTAAGAGTATATTCTGTGTGCAAATGTGAAGAATATATATTCTATGGATGATGAGTGGTAGATTCTGTAGTTGTCTACTAGGTCCAATTGGTTAAGTGTCAAATTTAAGCCCCAGATTTGTTAGTTGTCTGCTTTGATCTGTCAAACACTGTCAGTGGGGTGTTAAAGTTCTTCACTATTATTTTGTGGCTGTATAAGTCTTTTTGTAGGTCTGGAATTATTTGTTTTATATATCTGTGTGCTCCAATGTTGAGTGCATTATGTATTTAGGATAGTTAAGTCATCTTGTTGGATTGAATCCTTTATTATTATGTAGTATCCTTCTTCTTGTTTTCTTACTGTTGTTGGCTTAAGTTTATTTTATCTGATATAAGAATAGAGCCTCTGCTCTTTTTGTTTTCTTTTTGAATAATCAGTCTTTCTTCAACCCTTTACTTTGAGTCTATTAATGTTGTCACACATGAGATAAATCTCTTGAAGGCAGCAGACAATGGGTCTTGTTTTCAATCCAACTTACTACTTACTCTGTGTCTTTCAAGTGGTTTGTTAAGACCATTTACATTCAAGGTTAATATTGATATTTGAAATTTTGATTCTATCATGAAGTTATTAACTGGTTGTTTTGTAGTTATTTTGTGGTTTCTTTAAAAGGTGTGTGTGCTATGTACTTTGGTGTGGTTTTGCGGCAGCCAATATTGTTATTTCATCTATGTGTTTAGAATTCCCTTAATGATCTCTTGTAAGGCTGGTCTAGTAATGAATTCCATTAGCAATTGCTTATCAAAAATATTTTATTTCTCCTTTGCTCAGGAAGCTTAGTTTTTCTGGTGTATGAAATTCTTCACTGGAGTTTATTTTCTTTAAGAATGTTGAAAACAGGCTCCCAGTCTCTTCTGGGTTGAGAATTTCTCCTGAGAAGTCTGCTGTTAGCCTGATGGTTGCCCTTTGTATGTTATCTGACCTTTTTCTCAAGCTGTCTTCAAAATATTTTTCTTTAGCATTTATCTGACATAGTCTGGTATCTACACATCTTGGTGAAATTCATTTTGTATAGTATTTGGAAGGCCTTTGGATTTCTTATATCCTGATGTCTACTTCTCTAGCAAGATTAGAGGAATGATCTTAAAATTTTCCCTCAAATGTTTTCCAGGTTATTTACTATTTCTCCTTCTCTGTCAGGAATGCCAGTAGTTCACAGGTTTTGACACTTTGCATCAGCTCATATTTCTGAGATTCTTTGTTCATTAAAAAAAAATCTGTATTTTTGTCTGGCTAGATGGATTTGAAAGCCCTGGAATCTTTTCTTTCATTTGGTTTACTGTATTGGTTGTTTTGTAGTTTTCTATTGTATTGGAAATTACTTAAGTGAGTTTTTTAGTTCCAATAGCTCTGACTGATTTCTTTTCAAGATATTTACCTCTTCATTTCATGGATTGCTTTACAGGTGTCTTTGCATCGATTTTCAACCTTATTTTGGAGCTCATTGAGTTTCTCTACAATCTGTGCTTTGAATTATCCATCTGTCATTTCTCTGGCTCCTTTTTTGGTTAGAGATCACTGCTGAAGAGCTAGAGTTAGCCTTTGGTGATGCCTCAACATTTATATTTTTCAGTGACAGAATTCTTATGCTGATTCCTTCTCATTTGCTGAGGGTTGTGTTAGGTAGTGTCTTTTCATTTTAATACTATATTCCTATTCACTTCTGTCAGCAAGTTTTGTGTTGGGTTGTGCAATTTGACCTATAGAATAGTAGATGGTGTTTACAAGTATGAGCCAGCTATTACACAAGCAGGTGACCTTTGTTTACTGTAAGGCACTCTCTTGTTGTTTCAGGTGAAGAGTTGGACAATAGAGTGCCTGGTGTCCTGAGCTACTTGTTTCAGTGTAGCAGGCTTTCTGGGCTCCACGTGGGCCTGAGCGGTACCTCTTTAAAAATTCCAGAAGGCTCTCTGAGTCAGTCTAGATGTCTGTGGGGCTCAAGAGCATTCTTCTCTCTTTCCCATGCTCAGATTTGCTAAAGTCTGTGTGGAAAGTGTGGATCCCCGGTGGCTTTCACTCACTCACCCTTTCCCCATGTCAGGGTGCTTCTCCCAGCTCCAGGCCAGTGCCGGGTGGGCAGCTGCGTGACTTTGCTCCTGTCTGTTCTCTGTGGATCCTCTCACTTCTTTGATGAATACTGATGTGGTCTCCAAGATGAGAAACTTGAAGAGCCACTATTTTCTCAACACTTTGTTTCCTCTCCATGACACTGGTGCACTCTAGCTATGTCTGATCAGCCATCTTGAACCCACCTTCTGAACTTTATTATATGTCTTGAGGTTGAATCTGCCTGGTATCCTTTGTCCTTCTTGTACGTGGATATTAATGTCTTTCTCTAGGTTTGGAAAGTTCTCTGCTATTATTTATTTGAATAAATTTTCTACCCTGATCTATGTCTGTCTTTCTGCTCACAGCCTCTTTAAGGCAAGTAACTTTTAGATTTACCCTTTTGAGGCTATTTTGTAGATCTTTTAGACATGCTAATCCTTTGTACTTTTTTTTTTTTTTTTGGTCTTCTCTAACTGAATATTTTCACATAGCCTGTCTTTGAGCTCATTAATTCTTTCTTCTGCTTGATCAATTCTGCTGTTGAAAGACTTTTATGTATTTTATTTTTCATTTTCCCAGTTGAACATTTTGGCTCCCAGAATTCCTGCTTGATTTTAAAAATTATTTTAATCTCTGTTAAATTTCTCTGATGAAATTCTGAAATCCTTCTCTGCAATATGTTGAAATTCATTGAACTTGCTCAAGACAGTTATTTTGAACTTTTTATCTGAATGGTCACATATCTCCATCATTTCAGGATTGGTCACTGGTGCCTTATTTAGTCCATTGGTGAGGTAATGTTTTACTGATATACTTAATTCTTGTGGACATTTGTCAATGTCTGGTATTGAAGAGTTGGGTATTTATTGAATCTTCACAGTCTTAGCTTCTTTGTACCTGTCCTCTTTGAGAAGGCTTTCCAAGAATTCAAAGGGAATTGAGTATTGTGACCTAAGCCTTTGCAGCTGTTTCAGCACTAGAGAGCTCCCTTAGCCCAGGAACAGCGACTCCCACAGACCCCCACTAAAGGCACAGCCTTAGTGGACTTCAGGACCATAAAGGCAAATTATCTGAGTTACCAGGCAAAGTCTCTCACTCTTTTCTCTCTTTTTCCCTTAATCAGAAGGAGTCTCTCCTCACTGGGCTGCTTGGAGTCAGAGAAAGAGTGATCTGGGCCCTACAGTGGCCACCGTGGCTGACACAGCACAATGTTGCACCTAAGCCTTGCAGGCCAGCATGGAACTGGGGCTCACCCAGTGCCTGTGGCCACTCGTCTGGCTGCTGCTAACATTTATACAAGGCTCAGGGCCACTTCAGTTAGTAGGTGGTAAATCCTGCTGGGACTGTATTTGTCCTATCGGGGTGGCAGGTTCCCTTCTGGCCCAGAGTGGTTTTAAAAATATTGTCCAAGAGCAAAGTCCTGGAACTGGGGGCTTCAGGAATCTCTCTGGTGTTTTACTATATTGTGGCTAAGCCCAAAATATAAGACAAAGTCCTCTGTACTCTTCCCTTTCCTTTCCCCAAGTGGAAGGAGTTTCTCCCTGAGTTGAATGGCCTGGATTTGGAAGAGGGGTAATGCAGAAACTTTTCGACCACCACAGCTGGGTCACACCTCACATCTCCTGCCTCTGAGACCATTGCAGCATCAGGAATTTTCCAAGGGCTTCAGTCTTTGTGGCCTGACTGCCGATCAAATTCATTCTGGGTTCCAGGCCAATGTAATCATTTGGTGATGAAGCAAGGACTTGAGTTTCTTCTGCTTGGGTGGAGAATTTACCTCTGGCCTCCAGCTGGTGTAAATGTTCCTTCCATAGGTGCTGGTAGAAATCTGCCCTGTGCTGTGTTCTGCTGTGACAGCTCTGAGTTCCAATGCGAAGTCCCACACTCACTTTGCTCTTCCTCCCACAAGTACACAGCTTCTCTCTCCACATGGCCCTGCCTGGGGTTGAGGGAGGGGTGATGTATATTGTGCAAAGCTCTCTAAGCTCTCTTTCCTACCCTCTTCAATGTCTCTTTCCTTGATATTATGTTACAATCATATACTGTGATTGCTTAGCTGATTTTTTTTTTTGGAGTCTTATGAAGGTGCTTTCTTGTGTGGATCTTTGTTCAATTTGGTATTCCTGTGGTGCAATGATCACTGGAGTGTTCTATTTGGCCATCTTGCTTTGCCTCCTCCCAGAAACCACTAGAAATAAGTTTTTGTTGTTGTTGTTGTTTGTTTTGTTTTGTTTTTTGAGACAGAGTTTTGCTCTGTCACCCAGGCTGGAGTGCAGTGAGGCAATCTTGGCCCACTGCAAACTCCGCCTCCCGGGTTCAAGCAATTTCCCCTGCCTGAGCCTCCTGAGTATCTGGGATTACAGGCATCTGCCAATATACCTGGCTAACTTTTGTATTTTTTAGTAAAGATGGGGTTTCACCATCTTGGACAGGCTGCTCTTGAACTCCCGACCTCAGGTGATCCACCCGCTTTGGCCTCCTAAAGTGCTGGGATTACACGCATGAGCCACTGCACTCAGCCAGAAATAAGTTTTTAGATACAACACTAAAGGCAGGATCAGTGAAAAAACAAATCAGTAAGTTGGACTCATTAAAATAAAAAACTTCTGCTCTGTAAAAGAGAATGTCATGGGAAATGAGAAGACAAGCCACAGATTGCGAAAAAGTACTTTCAAAAGACACGTGATAAAGAAGTGTTATCCAAAACATACAAAATATTCTTAAACCTCAACAATAAAAAAACAAAAACCTAATTTAAAAATGGGCCAAAGACCTTAACAGACACCTCATATAAATAAGAATATATACATATGTCAAATAAGCACATGAATAGATGCTTTTCATCTTATGTTATCAAGGACATGAAAATTAAAATAACAATGAGCTACTTCGTCTGTTACACAGCTATTGGATGACCAAAATGTGCAACACTGACAACACCAAATGCTGATGGGAATGTGGAGCAACAGGAACTCCCACTCGTTGCTGGGAAAAATGCAAAATGGTGCAGTTACATTGGAAGATAGTTTGGCAATTTATTACAAAGTTAAACATACACTTACCTAATTGTCTAGCAGTTCAGCTCTTTGGTATTTACCTATGTGAGTTGAAAACTTATGTTCACACAAAAACCTACACACAGATGTTCATAAAAGTTTTGTTTATAATCCCCAATACTTGGAAACAACCAAGGTGTCCATTAGTAGATGAATAGATAAATTATGTTGCATCCATACTATGAAATATTATTCAGTGCTAGAAAGAAATGAACTGTCTAGCCACAAAAGCTATGGAGGAAACTTAGGTACACATTAGTAAATGAAAGAAGTCAATCTGAAAAGTCTTGATATGGTCTGGCTGTTTGTCTCTTTCTAATCCCATGTTGAAATGTAATCCTCAGTGTTGGAGGTGGGGCCTGGTGTGAGATGATTGTATCATGGGGGTGGATCCCTCATGCATGGCTTAGTGCCATCCCCTTACTGATGAGTGAGTTCTCACTCTGCATTCACATGAGATCTGGTTGTTTAAAAATGTGTGGCACCTCCCCTGCTTCTCTTGCTGCCATGCAACTCACCTGCTCCTTCTTCACCTTCCACCATTATTGTAAGCTCCTTGAGGCCTGTCCAGAAGCAGATGCCAGCATCATATGTCCTGTACAGCCTGAAAAATTGTAAGCCAAAAAAAATCTCTTTTCTTTATAAACTCACCAGTCTCAGGTATTCCTTTATAGCAACAACAACATAAAAAAGGACTAATGTAAAGCTACATACTGTGATTCCAGTTACATGACATTCTAGAAAAGGCAAAACTATGGAGACAGTAAATAGTTCAATGATTGCCTGAGGTTGGGAGTTGGATGAAGGGAAGGATGAATAGGCAGAACATAGAGTACCTTTAATACAAAATACTATGTATGATACTATAATGATACATATAAGTTACTGTGCATGTGTTCAAATCCATAGAACTTACAACACTAAGAGTGGATTCTAATGTAAAATTGTGGACTTTGGGTGATTATGATGTGTCAATATAGGTTCTTCAGTTGTAGCAAATGTACCAGTCTAATCAGGTTTGTTGATAATGGGGAGGCTGTGCATATACAGGGCAGAAGTTACACTGGAATCTCTTTACCTTCCTCTTAATTTTGCTGTGAACCTAAAACTGCCCTAAAAAAGTCTTTGGTAAAAAAAAATGTACGTGTATATTAGGGAGGTTCTGAGTCTATCTGTATTCCAGTTTCCTCATCCATTAAGGGGGATAATAGATGAATTCACCTTACTGAGCAATTATAGAGATTAAATCCATTAATATGTATAGAGAGCTTAGAAGATTGCTGTCTGGCATATGCTGTTTACATGATAGTTATCATGATCATGGAGTCGTTACAGTTATGCCACATCACAAGATTGTTACGTTTCTCTGCTGTAAAGGAAACATTTCACTGCATAGAGGTAGAAACAGGTATGGCAGACTATTCAACACTGTTGAAATATAAGCCAAGACAATTGCAATAGGAGAGAGATTAAACTCAACTTCAACAAAACAAAAGGCAGGAGAGTTAAGTTTTATAAAAAAGTTTCCTTGAACTTTATTCCTGAAATTTCAGTTCCTTTAAATATTTACGTATTTATTCACATATCATTTTTTTATTTCGATGAATTTTTTGGGGAACAGGTCATGTTTGATTACATGAATAAGGTCTTTAGTGGTGATTTCCAAGATTTTGGTACACCCATCACTCAAGGAGTGTACACTGTACCCAATGTGTACTCTTTCATCCCTCACCCCCCACCCACCCTTTCCCCCAAGTCCCCAAAGTCCATTCTATCATTCTTATGCCTTTGCATCCTCATAGCTTAACTCCCACTTATGAATGAGACCACACGATGTTTGGTTTTCCATTTCTGAGTTACTTCACTTAGAATAATGGTCTACAATTCCATAGAGGTGTCTGCAAACGCCATTATTTTGTACTTTTTTATGACTGAGTAGTATTCCATGGTATATATAACTACCACAATTTATTTATCCACTCATTGATTGATGGGCATTTGGGCTGGTTCCATATTTTTTCAATTGTGAATTGTGCTGTTATAAACATGCTTGTGCAAGTATCTTTTTGGATAATGACTTCTCTTCTCAGTAGATACCCAGTGGTGGGATTGCTGGATCAAGTTGTAATTGTACTTGTAGTTTTTTAAGGAATCTCCACACGGTTTACCATAGTGGTTGTACTAGTTTACATTCCCATCAACAGTTTAAAAGTGTTCCCTTTTCACCATATCCACACCAACATATATTATTTTTTGATTATATGACTATGGCCATTCTTGCAGAGTAAGGTGCTATTGCATTGTGGTTTTGATTTGCATTTCCTGATAATTAGTGTTGTCTAGTATTTTTTCATGTTTTTGGCCCTTTTTATATATTCTTTTGAGAATTGCCTATTCATGTCCTTAGCCCACTTTTTGATGGAATTGTTTGTTTTTTTCCTGCTGATTTGTCTGAGTTTCTTGCAGATTCTGGGTATTTGTCCTTTGTTGGATGTATAGATTGTAAAGATTTCCTCCCACTCTGTGGGTTGTTTGCTTACTCTGGTGATTACTTTTTTGCTGTGAAGAAGATTTTTAGTTTAATTAAGTCCCATATATTTGCCTTTGTTTTTGTTGCATTTGCTTTCAGGTTCTTGATCATGAATTCTTTGCCTAAGCCAATGTCTAAAAGAGTTTTCCAATGCTATCTTCTGGGATCTATATGGTTTCAGGTCTTAGATTTAAGTCTTTGATATATCTTGAGTTGATTTTTGTATAGGTTGAGAGATGACGATCCAGTTTCACTCTTCTACATGTGGTTTGCCAATTATCTCAGCAGCATTTGTTGAATCAGATGTCCTTTCCCCTCTTTACATTTTTGTTTGTTGTGTTGAATATCTGTTGGCTTTAAGTTTTCGGCTTTATTTCTGGATTCTCTATTCTTTTCCATTGATCTGTATGCCTATTTTTATACTAGTACCATGCTGCTTGGGTGACCATAGGCTTATATTATAGTCTGAAGTTTGTTAATGGGATGCCTTCATATTTGTTCTTCTTACTTAGTCTTGCTTTGGGTATGCAAGCTCTTTTTTTGGTTCCATATTAATTTTAGGATTTTTTTTTTCTAGTTCTGTGAAGAATCATGGTGGTATTTTGATTGGAATTGCAAGGGATTTGTAGATTGCTTTTGGCAGTATGGTCCTTTTCACAATATTGCTTCTATCCATCCATGTACCCCTTTATTTGTGTCATCTATGATTTCTTTCAGCAGTGTTTTGTAGTTTTCTTTGTAGAGGTCTTTTACCTCCCTAGTTAGGTATCTTCCTAATTTATTTTTTCTTTTTGCAGCTATTGTAAAAATGATTGCATTCTTGATTTGATTCTCAGCTTGGTTGTTGTTGGTGTATAGCAGAGTTACTGATTTGTGTATGTTAATTTTATATCCTAAAACTTTGCTGAATGCATTTACCAGTTCTAGAAGGTTGTGGATGAGTCTGTAGGGTTTTCTAGGTATACAGTCATATCATCAGTGAGCAGTGACAGTTTTACTTCCAGTTTACTGATCTGGATGCCCTTTATTTCTTTCTCTTGTCTGATTGATCTGCCTAGGACTTCCAGTACTATGTTGAACAGAAGTGGTGAAAGTGGCACTCTTGTCTTCTTCCAGTTCTCAGTGGGAATTCTTTCAACTTTTCCCCATTCAGCAGAATGTTGGCTGTGGGTTTGTCATAGATGGCCTTTATTACCTTAAGGTATGTCCCTTGTCAATTTTTCTTAAGGTTTTAATCATAAAAGGATGTTGGATTTTGTCACATGCTTTTTTGTGTCAATTGAGATGATAATGTGATTTATGTTTTTAACTCTTTTTATGTGGGGTATCACATTTATTGACTTGCAGAAGTTAAACCATCCCTGCATCTCTGGTATGAATCCCACTTGATTATGGTGGATTATCTTTTTGATATGGTTTATCATATCACACATTTATTATATCTTTTTGATATGGATTATCTTGGATTTGGTTTGCTAGTATTTTTCTGAGGATTTTTTGCATTTATATTCATCAGGGATATTGGTCTGTAGTATTCTTTTCTTCCTATGTCCTATTCTGGTTTTGGTGTTAGGGTGATACTAGCTTCATAGAATGATTTATAGAGAACTGGATTGGTATCAATTCTTCTCTGAATGCCTGATACAATTCAGCTGTGAATTCATCAGGTCCTGGACTTCTATTGTGGGTAACTTTTTAATTACTACTTCAACCTTGCTGCTTGTTATTGGTCCGTTCAGAGTTTCTATTTCTTCCTGGTTTAATCTAGGGGGGTTGTATATTTTCAGGAATGTATCCATCTCCTCTAGGTTTTCTAGTTTATGTGTGTAAAGTTGTTCATAGTAGCCTTGAATGATCTTTTATATTTCTGAGGTATGAGTTGTATAAATCATATCACCCATTTTATTTCTAATTGACCTTATTTGGATCCTCTCTCTTCTTTTATTGGTTAATCTTGCTAATGGTCTATCAATTTTATTTATATTTTTAAATAACCAGCTTTTTGTTCTATTTATCCTTTGTTTTTCTTTTGTTTGTTTCTATTTTATTTAGTTCTACTCTAATCTTCATTAAATTTATTTTCTTCTGCTGTGTTTGGGTTTGGTATGTTCTTGTTTCTCTAGTTCCTTTAGGTGTGACCTTAGATGATCCCTTTGTGCTCTTTCAGAATTTTTGATGTAGGCATTTAAGGCTATAGCTTTTCTTTTAGCACTGCTTTTGCTGTATCCCAGAGGTTTTAATAGTTTGTGTTACTTATCACTCAGTTAAAATAATGTTTTAATTCCCATCTTGATTTTGTTGTTGATCCAACAATCATTCAGGAGCAGGTTATTTAATTTTCATGTATTTGCCTGGTTTTGATGATTTCTTTTGGAGTTGATTTCCAATATATTTCATTGTGGTCTGAGAGAATACCTGATATAATTTCTGTTTCCTTAAATTTGTTGAGACTTGTTTTGTGGTCTATCATATGGTCTATCTTGGAAAATGTTCCATGTGCTAATAAATAGAATGTATAGAATGTTCTGTAAATATCTGTTAAGTCCAGTCTTTTCTAGCGTATAGTTTAAGTCCATTGTTTCTTTGTTGACTTTCTCTCTTGATGACCTGTCCAATTTGATCAGTGGAGTATTGAAGACCCCTACTATTATTGTGCTGCTGTCCATATCATTCCTTAGATCTAACAGTAATTGTTTTATAAATTTGGAAGCTCCAGTCTTAGGTGCATATATATTTAGGATTGTGATATTTTCCACTGGACTAGTACTTTCATTATCACACAACGTCCCCCTTTGTCTTTTCTAACTGCTGTTTGCCTTGAAGTTTCTTTTGTCTGATAATAAGAATAGCAACTCCTGTTCACTTTTGGTGTCCATTTGCATAGAATATCTTTTTCCACACCTTTACCTTAAGTTTCTATGAGTCCTTACGTGTCAGTTGAGTCTCTTGAAGACAGCAGATACTTGGTTGGTGAATTCTTACCCATTTTGCCATTCTGTATCTTTTAAGTGAAGCATTTAGGCCATTTATATGTAATGTTAATATTGAGATGTGAGGTACTATTCTATGCATAGTGCTATTTGTTGCTTGAATATCTTGTTTTTTTATTGTTATCTTCTTATAGGTCCTGTGAGATTTATGCTTTAAAGAGGTTCTATTTTGATGTATTTCAAGTATTTGTTTCAAGATTTAGAGCTCCTTTTAGCACCTCTTGTAGTGCTTTCTTGGTAGTGGCAATTCTCTCAGCATTTGTTTGTCTGAAAAAAGAGTGTATCTTTATTTATGAAGCTTGGTTTTGCTGGATGCAAAATTCTTGGCTGATAATTGTTTTGTTTAAGGAAGCTAAAGATAGTACCCCAATCCTTTCTAGCTTGTAGGATTTCTGCTGAGAAATCTGCTGTTAATGTGATATGTTTTCCTTTACAGGTTACCTGAAGCTTTGTGCCTCACAGCTTTTAAAATTCTTTTCTTTGTTTTGACTTTAGATAACCTGATGACTGTGTACTCAGCAGTAATATTTTTGTGATGAATTTCCCAGGTGTTCTTTGAGCTTCCTGTGTAAAGATGTCTAGATTTCTAGCAAGGCTGGGGAAGTTTTCCTCTATTATTCCCTCAAAAATATTTTCCAAACTCTTAGATTTATCTTCTTTCCTGGGTACACCAATTATTCTTAGGTTTAGTCATTGAACATATTTCCAAAGTTCTTGGAGGCTTTATTCATTTTATTAAATTCTTTTTTCTTTGTCTTTATCAGATTTTGTTAACTTGAAAGCCTTGTCTTCGAGCTCTGAAGTTCTTTCTTCTACTTGTTTGATTCTATTGGTGAGACTTTCCAGTGTGTTTTGTAATTCTCTAAGTGTGTCCTTAAATTCCAGAAGTTGTGATTGTTTGTTATTTATGCTATTTCACTGGAGATTTTTCCATTCATATGCTGCATCTTTTTTTGTTTGTTTGTTTCTTTATGTTGTACTTCACCTTTCTCTGGTGCCTCATTGATTAGCTTAATAATTGACCTTCTGAATTTTTTTTCTATCAATTTATAGCCATCTTCTTGGTTTGGATCCATTGCTGGTGAGCCATGGTGATCTTCTGGTGGTGTTAAAGAACGTTGTTTTGTCATATTACCAGAATTATTTTTCTGGTTCCTTCTCATTTTGGTAGACTATGTCAGAGAGAAAATCCAGGGATTAAGGGTTGCTGCTCAGATTCTTTTGTCTCACATAGTGCTCCCTTGATGTGGTGCTCTACCTCTTGCTTTAGGGATGGGGCTTCCTGAGAATCGAACTGCAGTGATTGTTATTTCTCATCTGGATCTAGATAGCAGTATCCTGGCTGGTACTGGAGAGTGTCTGCAAAGAGTCCTGTAATGTGATCTGTCTTCAGGTCTCTCAGCTGTGGATACCAGCACCTGCCCTGGTGGAGGTAGCAGGGGAGTGATGTGGACTCTGTGAGAATCCTTGGTTGTATTTTTGTTAAGTGCATTGGTTTTATGTTGCTGGCTTCCAGCCAGAAGGTGTCACCTTCAGTAGCACATAGTTGCGGTGGTAGAGGGAGGATCAGGCATTTTCCAGGGCCACAGAGGTCCCAAGAGATTATGTCCTTTGTCTTAGGCTATCAGGTAGGGTAGAGAAAGACCATCAGGTGGGGGCAGGGTTAGGCATTGTCTGAGCTCAGGCTCTCCTTGGGCAGGGTTGCTGTGGCTGCTGTGGGGTAGGGGGTGTGTTTCCCAGGCAAATGAATTTATGTTCACAGAGGATTATGTTTGCCTCTTCTGTGTCACACTGGTCTCCAGGGAAATGGGGGAAAGCTGGCAGCCACAGGCCTCACCCAGCTCCTATGTGGCCCACAGCCTAAAAGGCCAGTCTCACTCCCACCGTGCTCCCTGAACAGCACTGAGTTTATTTCCAGGTAGCTGGTGAGCTGCCCCAGGCTCAGAACTTGCCCCAGGCCACAAGCCTCCCAGCTGAGAAAGCAAGCCGATTCACAGTTCCTCCACTGTCCCACAGAGCCTGCAGAGCAATCCACCTCCTTCAAAGTGTCTGTGGGTTCCTTCAGTTTTCCTGGTATGTTCCTGTTTTTAGAGTAAAAGTTCACAATGTGAGCCTCCACATGCTGGTCTTTCTGGCTGAGAGGGTGCTGCAAGTTAGACCTGCCTCCTGTCTGCCATTTATTTTCCATATCTAAGTTTTGGGATTTTACTTTGAAGGGAAATGGGGAATAAATGAAGTCTTTTAGGTAAATGAGTCACATGCTCACATCTGTATCTTAGAGAGTGTGATGATGAATGAATTTTGTAGAGATCATACACAAGGTAGAAAGTCCAGCTATGTCCATTAGATACCACAAAAGATGTTGGTGATCTGGATTTGGGTAGGATCCAGTGAAGTAGACATACATGAAAAATGTTTTAAATCTGGAATGAATAGGATTTGCTAATTGTTTGGTTTCCTGGAAAGAGGGAATGAAAAGTGTTTCCTTTTGAAGCAGTTATGAGTCTCTACTATCACTTATTCAGAAGGAAATCACAGGAGAGGAACTAATTTAGGGCATATTGATTTTGAGGTGTTTATTAGACATTCTAATATTAATTATAAATGTCTGGGCCTCAGGGGACATACTGTGACTAGAAATATAAATTAAGAGAAAAAATACATATATAATGATGATGGAAGATATATAAAGGGAGTGAGTGGGCTTATGGGTAGGCTCTAAAGCATATCAATATTTAAATGTTAAGAAAGCAACATTTATTTAAAAATATTCAGAAACGGCCACATATGTATTTAGAAAAATGAGAGAATGCACTATAAAGGCAAAGGAAGGGCATAATCAACAATGTCAAAGACTGATAAAAGAACACTTAGGGCAAGTTCTGTATTTAAAAAAATAAGAAAATTTATGGAGTAACATTAATTAAGTCATTTGTTTTCCATAGACTCTCTATGTGGAGTTGCATTAACAGAGATCTATAAATACTAAGAAATCCTATTGAGCAGCTGGGGTTTTAAAAGCTGGTATCTTTTCCATAGGAATGAAAATGCCTTCCTCAAATCATTAAATGGGCTATAATTATGGCTTTTATTCTAAGCTTTTTGTACAAAAAGGAAGCAATTGATTTCTTTGTAGCTACCTTAATGCTTTCCTGTATTTATACTAAAGTTAAGTTTAGGTGATTGAAGAAACACAATAAAGGAATTTCCTATTGTAAGAAAAAACAAATGGCAGAGATGAGAGATGTGAGGGATGTATATTTCAAAGATTATCTTACACAAGCATGTCACAGAAGACACTGAATAATAGTACATATAAATTTAAGTTCACAACTCATACAAATAAAATATGTTGCATTTCTATAGTTTACATGTCAACTACACTTTTATTCTATTACCTGTTCACAATAAATTCATTCTTGAGATTGTCCCTTTCTAAGGGTTATGCAGACTGTCCTAAGACTCACTTCACACAAAAGTGATAATTAAACCACTTTGTACTTTATGTGTCCATCAGTAAAAGTTATAAAGGCATCAGCAGATATGGAAACTTTCCTGCAATCCCTGGCTAGTGCAAGCTACAGCCCTGATTCTTTAGAACTAACCTGCTTCTATGTGAGCTTCCCCTCTGAAGTCCTGCCATTGCTAAGACTTATCCCTGGGTAGCAGAATTTGTGTCAACTTTCTTTCTCTCTTTTTTTCTCTTTCTTCCTTTTCTTTTTCTTTTTTTTTTTTGAGACAGTCTCACTCTGTCACCCACGCTGGAGTGCAGGGCACGATCTCAGCTCACTGCCACCTCCATTCTCCGGGTTCACGTGATTCTTGTGCCTCAGCCTCCCAAGTAGTTGGGATTATGGGTGTGTGCCACCACACTTGGCTAATTTTTGTATTTTTAGTAGAGACAGGGTTTCACCATGTTGGATAGGCTGATCTTGAACTCCTAACTTCAGGTGATCCACCAACTTCAGCCTCCCAAAGTGCTAGAATTTGAGTCACTTCAGCTAGAAGAACTTCTTATGAGGTCTCTACTCTCGTGTTTTTTTCTCTCTTTTCAAGTCAACTATGAAAAACACAACAATGGGCCTATACCTTGAAAACAGTCAGAAAAAGCTATCACACATAATTCAATAGGACACATTGTCCACATTATCTAATATTGGAATAGTAAGTTCTATCATAAACTTCATGCTGTTAAAGATTAAGCTCTCTAAAATGGGGATTTAAAAATTTAAATTTACTCTTTGCTTTTTATGAATTGAAATCATACTTTGTATTCTTTGTTTCTTTCACAGATAAAGTAGTGACTATATGAATTGATACTGTTTATACTGTAGGAGCTAAGAGCAATGCCTGGCCTATAGATAGCAAGAAAATGGACACATCAGTACTATACTTGCAAGGCACCTATTCTGCAATTAACTGGAATGAATTGGGAAGAAGACCCTGAGCCCAAGTAAGATAACTGCTCCAATTAGCACCTGGATTTCAGCATGGGGATGCCCTGAGCAGGAGATCTACTTAACCCATGCTTGGTCTTGACATATGGAAACTCTGAGTTATTAATTTTTTGCTGTGTTAAGACCCTACATTTATGGCAATTTGTTACATAGCAACATAAAACTAATACAGATACTAGTAAAAGTTATTCCAATCAAGTACAAGTGGTGAAAGTCAAAGTTTAATGTACTGTGTCATTTCTTTGGAGAATACGAATGAATTAATACAGAAAAGATGATAACACTGTAAAATAAATGAAGAGCATATCAGCACCAATTAGGCTTAACCTTGTTTAAAAACATTTTTTTTTTCTAAAACCAATCCTGCTGACTGGCATCCCTGTATGCTGTTTTGTACTCAGCAAGTCCATTCTGTTGAGAGATCACTGTAATGAAATTGCAGCATCAGTGCTTTCTAACAGGGCCATGCTTACAGTGCAGGTGGGCAAGCTACACACTCTAAATCTAATTTGTGTTTTCAATAAGAAAATGGAATTTTTTAAATACTTTTAACATTATTCTGAGGATTCAGGGCTCATGATGCCAAACAGATGAATAAGCAGCCTCATTTATCTTAATTAAAGCTCATCTTAATCAAGATACTGTCTGTCAGATAATATTTCTTGAAAGACACTTCTTAGTCTCATCATCATAATATCAGTCACAAGGGAAGCACCATCAGCAGTACATATTTGAATACACAGCTGAAAGCCAAAATGAAGAGTCAATTCTAAAATCTTGTATACTGAAGCCTTACTTCTTGAATAAAACATGATAGGATAGTCACTTAATTTAAATATTTGGAGCCTGGTGTCTTAACTAATTTTTTTCAGAATCTGCATAAGTGATTTTATATATATATACACACATATATATATATGTATGTATATGTGGGTGTATATATATGTATATGTGTGTATATATATATAACTTATGTATACGTGTGTATATATGTACATGGAAACATCATATTAATTTAATGTGTTATGGTGGTATTTTTCTATTTTTTAAAAAATAAACATAGTTAAAAAATAGCATATAAATAATGTATTTGTGACTATTTAAACTATTAAAAATACCAATTTCCACCTTGAATTGTAAACTGTCACTATTTCAACTCTTCCTTCTTTCTGTAGTAAAAAGGAGTAAATATCATATCCCTTGTCATATAACTTTTCAGAGCTCTCCCACTTTGGACTCCTAATTTGCTTTGGAAACTGGGATGTTCACATTTGTGATGTAAGCAGAGGCTTGGGATGTGCTTATGTGTTTGGGCTTGTTCTCCTGAGTCTCTGCAGTTGTTATGAAAAGTATATTCTGGGCCAGTCCATTGGTCCCAGTAGGAGAAAGACAGTCCCCTTGGAGCAGAATCCTAAGTCCAATCCGAGTTAAGATCAGCAGAGACCCATTCAGGCTCCCCCTACATTAGCAAATTGCCCACCAACTTGAGACTTGTGATCTAGTAAGTGCTGATTTTTATACATCTCTGAGATTTCGTGGTTCTTTGTAATAACATTATTATAACAGCTAATTAATATATTTTCTAAATTTCATTTACTTACTATATAAAACAAAACAAGAACAAATTAAGAACCAGTATTGAGTTTAAGTAACAAAAAATATAAAAATGTTAAAAATGTTAATTTTTAAAATTGTTCTAGTAGGGCTTTAGTATCAACAAGCAAAACTTGGTAGCTATCTGTATAATGTGGTTTAAAGCAATGCAAGTTCAAATGCACATGCCTTTAAAAGAATGAAAATGGAGATTGGTGATAGTGTAAACTGGTAAATACATCTTTAAAAATTGTTATTATTTGCTAAATGAATATATGCATATCAGGAGTGTCATTGAGTCCATTTCTTGGAATACATTTTAGGAAATTTGTATATATTTATAACAAAATACATATGAAATTATATTCATAGCACATTAGTTAATATCAATTGCAAAACACCTCATTTAATTTCAATAGTAGAAAACACAAAAACATTAGTCAGCCATTACAAAAGAAGCTACAGTGATATAAAATAAAATGAGAAGATTTCACAGGCATAGTGTTGAAGAAAAAAGAGAGATGAAAGAATACATGCTATATAATTCCATTTCCACAAAGTTTTTTCATAGGACTAGAAGTCAGAAATGTGCTTATACTTTGGAGTATTGTCTGAGACAGACCTTAAGAGCTGGGTGGCTGATAATTTTTCTTTGAGTGATAGTTATATAACTAAAATCACATCATAAATATTATCAAGTGGCACATTCATGATTTCTGTACATTGATATATATGGATATATATATATATATATATATATATATATATATATCTCCTAAAAATTAAGAAATGTCAATGTAAAGGTAGAGGTGGATCTATGAAAAGTTCTTTAGTGCTGAAAAACAGAAAAAAAATTAAATACCATAAGAATCACCACAATCCAGAGTCCTTTTTTGACCATCTGTTTCTTCCTTTCCCAAATACCTGCTCAGAGAGGTGCTAAAAATTTATTTCTTCAAATACTATTCTGACCAAATATCTCTAGTGGAATATCTCTAATAGAATATTAAAAGACTTATTTATCATTGTAGCTAGAATTGGAACTTAACTTATGGTCATAAATACAGAATTTTTTTTTTGAAAAGACTCTTACATGTCTCAGATTTTTATGTAGGAGATGTTAGCCTTGGCAAATCCTGAGAGTGCCACTTGATAAAATGTATGAAGTGATATTAGTTATGTAACCATAATCAAAGAAAAATTACCATGTAGCAACCTAGCAAGACAGGCCAACATTCAAATTCAGAAAATACTGAGAACACCACAAAGATACTCCTTGAGAAGAGCAACCCCAAGACACATAATTGTCAGATTCACCAAGTTTGAATTGAAGGAAAAAATTTTAAGGGCAGCCAGAGAGAAAGGTCAGGTTACCTACAAAGGGAAGCCCATCAGACTAACAGCAGATCTCTCAGCAGAAATCCTACAAGCCAGAAGAGAGTGGGGGCCAATATTCAACATTCTTAAAGAAAAGAATTTTCAACCCAGAATTTCATATCCAGCCAAACTAAGCTTCATAAGTGAAGGAAAAATAAAATTCTTTACAGACAAGCAAATGCTGAGAGATTTTGTCACCACTAGGCCTGCCTCACAAGAGCTCCTGAAGGAAGCACTAAATGTGGAAAGGAACAACCAGTACCAGCCACTGCAAGAACATGCCAAATTGTAAAGACCATCAACACTATGAAGAAACTGCATCAATTAAGGGGCAAAATAACCAGCTAACATCATAATGACAGGATCAAATTCACACATAACAATATTAACCTTAAATGTAAATGGGCTAAATGCTCCAATTAAAAGCCACAGACTGGCAAATTCGATAAAGAGTCAAGACTCATCAGTGTGCTGCATTCAGGAGATCAATCTCACGTGTAGAGACACACATAGGCTCAAAATAAAGGGATGGAGGAAGTCTACCAAGCAAATGGAAAGCAAAAAAAGCAGTAGTTGCAATCCTAGTCTCTGATAAAGTAGACTTTAAACCAATAAAGATCAAAAGAGACAAAGAAGGCCATTACATAATGGTAAAGGGATCAATTCAACAATAAGACCTAACTATCCTAAATATATATGCACCAAATACAGGACCACCCAGATTCATAAAGCAAGTCCTTAGAGACCTACAAAGAGTCTGAGATTCCCACATAATAATAATGGGAGATTTTAACACCCCACTGTCAACATTAGACAGATTAATGAGACAGAAGGTTAACAAGGATTTCCAGGACTTGAACTCAGCTCTGGACCAAGCGGACCTAAAAGACATCTACAGTACTCTCCACCCCAAATCAACAGAATATACATTCTTCTCAGCACCACATTGCACTTATTCTAAAATTGACCACATAATTGGAAGGAAAACCCTTCTCAACAAATGTAAAGGAACAGAATTCACAGCAAACTGTCTCTCAGAGCACAGTGCAATCAAATTAGAACTCAGGATTAAGAAACTCACTCAAAATCACATAACTACATGGAAACTGAACAACCTGCTCCTGAATGACTACTGGGCAAATAACGAAATCAAGGCAGAAATAAAGATGTTCTTTGAAAACAATGAAAACAAAGACACAATGTACCAGAATCTCTGGGATACATTTAAAGCCATGTGTGGAGGGAAATTTATAGCACTAAATGCCCACAAGAGAAAGCATGAAAGATTTAAAATCGACACCCTAACATCACAATTAAAAGAACTATAGAAGCAAGAGCAAAAAATTCAAAAGCTAGCAGAAGGCAAGAAATAACTAAGATCAGAGCAGAACGGAAGGAGATAGATACACAAAAAACCCTTCAAAAAATCAATGAATCCAGGAGGTAGTTTTTCAAAAAGATAAACAAAATAGACTGCTAGGAAGACTAATAAAGAAGAAAAGAGGGAAGAATCAAATAGATGCAATAAAAAATGATAAAGGGGATATCACCACTGATCCCACAGAAATACAAACTACTATCAGAGAATTTTATAAACTACTCTATGCCAATAAACCAGAATATCTATAAGAAATGGATAAATTCCTGGACACATCCACCCTCCCAAGACTAAACCAGGAAGAAGTGGAATCTCTGAATAGACCAATAACAGGCTCTGAAATTGAGGCAATAGTTAATAGCCTACCAACCAAAAAAAGGCCAGGACCAGATGGATTCACAACTGAATTCTACAAGAGGTACAAAGAGGAGCTGATGCCATTCCTTCTGAAACTATTCCAATCAATAGAAAAAGAGGGAATCCTCCCTAACTCATTTTATGAGACCAGTATCATCCTAAAACCAAAGCCTAGCAGAGACACAACATAAAAAGAGAATTTTAGGCCAATATCCCTGATGAACATCAATGTGAAAATCCTCAGTAAAACACTGGCAAACTGAATCCAGCAGCGCATCAAAAAGATTATCCATCATGATGAGGTTGGCTTCATCCCTGGGATGCAAGGCTGGTTCAACATATGCAAATCAATAAATGTAACACATCACATAAACAGAACCAATGACAAAAACCATATGATTATCTCAATAGTGGCAGAAAAGGCATTTGACAAAATTCAACAGCGCTTCATGCTAAAAACTCTCAATAAACTAGGTATTGATGGAACATATCTCAAAATAACAAGAGCTATTTATGAGAAAAACCCACAGCCAGTATCACACTGAATGGGCAAAAACTGGAAGCATTCCCTTTGAAAACTGGCAAGAAACAAGGATGCCCTCTCTCGTGACTCCTATTCAACATCTAGTTCTTTTAATTGTGATGTTAGGGTGTCGATTTTAGATCTTTCGTGCTTTCTCTTGTGGGCATTTAGTGCTATAAATTTCCCTCTACACACTGCTTTAAATGTGTCCTAGAGATTCTGGTATGTTGTGTCTTTGTTCTCATTGGTTTCAAAGAACATCTTTAGTTGGAAGTTCTAGCCAGTGCACTCAGGCAAGAGAAAGAAATAAAGAGTATTCAATTAGGAAAAGAGGAAGTCAAATTGTCTCTGTTTGCATATGACATGATTGTGTATTTAGAAAACCCCATCATCTCAGCCCAAAATCTCAAGCTGATAAGCAACTTCAGCAAAGTCTCAGGATACAAAATCAATGTGCAAAAGTCACAAGAATTTCTGTACATCAATAACAGACAAAGAGAGCCAAATCATGAGTGAACTCCCTTTCACAATTACTACAAAGAGAGTAAAATACCTAGGAATCCATCTTACAAGGGATGTGAAGGACCTCTTCAAGGAGAACTACAAACCACTGCTCAACGAAATAAAAGAGGACACAAACAAATGGAAGAACATTCCATGCTCATGGACAGGAAGAATCAATATTGTTAAAATGGCCATACTTCCCAAGGTAATTTATAGATTCATTGCTATCTCCATCAAGCTACCACTGACTTTCTTCACAGAATTTGAAAAAACTAAAGTTCATATGGAACCAAAAAAGAGCCCACATAACCAAGATAATCCTAAGCAAAAAGAACAAAGCTGGAGGCATCACACTACCTGACTTCAAACTATACTACAAGGCTACAGTAACCAAACAGCATGGTACTGGTACCAAAACAGATATATAGACCAATGGAACAGAACAGAGGCCTCAGAAATAACACCACACATCTACAACCATCTGATCTTTGACAAACCTGACAAAAACAAGCAATGGGGAAAGGATTCCCTATTTAATAAGTGGTGTTGGGGAAAACTGGCCAGCCATATGTAGAAAGCTGAAACTGGATTCCTTCATTACACCTTATACAAAAATTAACTCAAGATGGATTAAAGACTTAAATGTAAGACCAAAAACCATACAAACCCTAGAATAAAACCTAGGCAATACCACTCAGGACATAGGCATGGGCAAAGACTTCATGACTAAAACACCAAAAGCAATGGCAACAAAAGCCAGAATTGACAAATGGGATCTAATTAAACTAAAGAGCTTCTGCAGAGAGAGAGAGAAAGAAAAAAAAACTCTCATCAGAGTGAACACGCAACCTACAAAATGGGAAAAAATTTTGCAATCTACCCATCTGACAAAGGGCTAATATCCAGAATTTACAAAGAACTTAAACAAATTTACAAGAAAAAATCAAACAACCCCATCAAAAAGTGGGCAAAGGATATGAACAGACACTTTTCAAAAGAAGACATTTATGCAGGCAACAGGCATATGAAAAAATGCTCATCATCACTGGTCATCAGAGAAATGCAAATCAAAACCACAATGAAATACCATCTCACGCCAGTTAGAATGGCCATCATTAAAATGTCAGAAAACAACAAATTCTGGAGAGGATGTGGAGAAATAGGAATGCTTTTACACTGTTGGTGGGAGTGTAAACTAGTTCAACCATTGTGGAAGACAGTGTGGCGATTCCTCAAGGGTCTAGAACTGGAAATACCATTTGACTCAGTGACCCCAATACCGGGTATATACCCAAAGGATTATAAATCATGCTACTATAAAGGCACATGCACACGTATGTTTATTGTGGGGCACTATTCACAATAGCAAAGGCTTGGAACCAACTCAAATATCCATCAATGATAGACTGGATTAAGAAATTGTGGCACATATGTACCATGGAATGCTATGCAGCCATAAAAAAGGATGAGTTCATGTCCTTTGCAGGGACATGGATGAGGCTGGAAACCATCATTCTAAGCAAACTATCACAAGGATAGAAAACCAAACACCGCATGTTCTCACTCATAGATGGGAGTTGAACAATGAGAACACATGGGCACAGGGAGGGGAACATCACACACTGGGGCCTGTCAGGGGGTGGGTGGCTGGGGGAGGGATAACATTAGGAGAAATACCTAATGTAAATGATGAGTTGATGGGTGCAGCAAACCAACATGGCACATATATACCTATGTGACAATCCTTCATGTTCTGCACATGAACCCTAGAACTTAAAGCATAATAACAAAATAAATACATAAAAGGAAAAATTACAATGTAAATACCATGGTGTCTGGAAGAATTTGGAGTTCAAAAAGAATTCAACACTGGTTTGTAACTTAGGGATCACCAGTCTACAAATACTATTTAAAGACATAGCCCTGGATGAGATTCCCTAAAAACAATAATGTAAGGAAAGAATGAAGCCCATTATTACATTTTGTCTATCTAATATTGCCAGGTCTATATTGCTTCATTTTTCAGAACAAGATCCTCTGACAACATACTTTGCTTTAACATTAGTTTTTAGAAATTGTATCTGGTATTCAAAATATTAAGAATTATTTCACATGGATTTTCCGTAATAATGTATTTTGACTTTAGATGAGATTCAAATTTTAATTTGTATTGTTTCAGTTTGCTTTATAAACTCTAAAACAATATAATGCTTAGTTTATTTATGAATAGGTTTATGCTACAATCTCATTCAAATTATGTTCAGAAAATAATTTTAATATTGGCAATAACATTTTAGATTTAACATTAAAAAACATAATTTATGAAAAAAATAAATTGGCACTCATTAAAATTAAAAATGTTCACTCTAAATTTTTTGTTAAGAAAATGAGAAAACAAGAAATAGATTAGAAAAAAATTTGCAAAAACACATATCTAATAAAGACAAATCTAAAATAGAAAAATAAGACTTACAATTTACCAATAAGAAAATGAAAAATTAAATTAATAAGAGGACAGAAGATCTGAACAGATACCTCACTAAAGAAAATATGTAGGTAGAAAATAAGCCTATGAAAAGATGCTCAAGATCATTTAGTATTAGGGAATTGCAAATATAAACAGCATAACATGAAGCATGTGTTAAAGCCAGATATCACTAGAAAAATTTTATTAGATATGTAAAGTTTTATTTTATTTATAGCACTTTATTTTTTTTAAAAAAAGCTGACTAAGTCTTGGTGAAGATATGGCACAACAATAACTTGCATTCCTGCTGGTGGGAATGCAAAATAATACAGCCACTTTGGAAGACAGTTTGACAGTTCCTTTTAAAGCCAACCATAGCCTTACCATAGAACTGAGCAATTATGCACCTAGGTATTTACCTAACTGATTTGAAAACTTATGTCCACACAGCATCCTGCATGTCAATATTTGTAGAAGCTTTATTCAGAATTGCCAAGAACTGGAAGCAGCCAGTATAACCTCCAATGAGTGAACAAATAAACAAATTGTGGTACACCCATACAATGAGATATTATACACAATAAAAATAAATGAGCTATCAAGCCACCACAAAAAAAACATGAATTTTAAGTGAATATTACCTAATGAAACAAATTAACCTGAAAAAACTGCATACTGGATGATTCCCATTATATAATATTCTGGTACAGACAAAATATAAGAATAGTAAAGAGATAAGTGCTTGTCAAGGGTTTAGGGAAAGGATGGTAGGGTTGAGTAGATGAAGTGCGGGACTGAGGGTTTTTAGGGAAGGAAAACTATTCTGCATGTATGTATGTATTCAGTGTGATACTGTAACAGTGGATTCATAACATGAAGCATGTGTTAAAACCAATTGAACTTTACAGCACAAAGACTGAACCTTAATGTATGTAACAAAAAGTATATATTTATGAGGTTGAGGCATATTAGGAATAAATAATGTTTGTGACCAAAGAATCTAACTATATCACTAAGATGAGAAACATTCTCTCTGAAGGGGCTAGGGTAAATGATGTAGACATACCTAACTCTGGGAATGTGTATGTAGATTAAATGCAAAAGGAAATGCATGTAAATGCTACAGTCCAGTTGGTAAATTTGCTTCCTATGGGCACATAGGTTAACAAGTCTGAGACTGCTATACATGTATACTGGAATTGAACAATTAAATAAATGGATGTTGAAAGTTGGGGGAGCCTCATGTTTCTGCTGGAGTGAAAAGATACAAATAACAAGACAAGTCTAAAATGATTCATGTGTTAGTGAATTCAAGTTAGAGACATCAGTATAAACTAATGCTTAGCTTAATATAGATACAGATGGTTTATATAGAAATATGTAGAGATCTGGGCATCTCTGGTGCCCTGGTTTTGGTTTCTAATACTATTCTCCAATAAAGTTAGCCAGGGCTCTATGGATAAATGTCTGATTTTAGGACTGGGCCAGGAAATAAACAAGATGAGTCTGAAATATCTCATAGTTACCAAAAGTAAGAAGGATTGAAAAAAAAATGAATGGGAATATATCAAAGATACAACGAAGCTAAGTAAAAAATATGCTAATGACCAAACCTGGATTAATTTGACGAAAAAATACATTAAATTGTATTGAATTACAAATTAAATCATAAAATAAATATCCATGTGTTTTAGTCTGTTTGTGCTGTTATTAAAAATATCTGAGGCTGGGTAAATTTATAATGAAGAGAAATTTAATAGCTGACAGCTATGGAGGCTGAGAAGTTCAAGACCAGGGTCCTGGTATCTTGTGAGGGCCTTCTTGCTGCATCATAACATGGCAGGAAACATTACATGGTGGAAGGGCAAAGATAAATCATTAGTCATTAGAGAACTATAAACTAAAAAATCAGTGACACAGAACTATACACCTCTGGAATGACTGTAATAAAAAAGATAGACAATACCAAGTATTGGTTATTATAGAGAAAAACTAGAGCCCCTCCTACTTTGATATGGAATTTAAAATGGTATAGCCACTTGGGTAAAACTCTTTGACATTTTCCTTTTTTAATTTTTGAGGTAGAGTCTCACTCTGTTGCCCAGGCTGGAGTTCAGTGGCACCATCTCAGCTCACTGCAACCTCCACCTCCCAGGTTCAAGCAATTCTCCTGTCTCAGCTTCCACAGTAGCTGGAATTACAGGTGTGTGCCACCATGCTCAGCTACCTTTTTTTCTTTTTTTGTATTTTCAGTAGAGATAGGGTTTAGCCATCTTGCCCAGGCTGGTCTCAAACTCCTGACCTCAAGTGATCTTCCCGCCTCAGCCTCCCAAAGTGATGAGATTACAGGTGGGAGGGTATTTTCTTAAAAACTTAAATGCAAACTTCTCATATTACTCAACTGTTGTACTGGTAGGGATCTATCCAAAAGAAATGATAACATCTTCATAAAAATAATTGCATACAAATGCTCATAAAAGCATTATTTATAATATTCCAAAGGCGGAAACAATTCAAATATACAACAGTTGGTAATAGAGGAACAAAATATATCAATACTATGGAATATTATTCAATAATAAAAAAGACAAAACTACTGATTCAATGTATAAGGTCAGTGAATCTTAAATAACATTATGTTAAGTGAAAATGCTAAATACAAAAATAAAACTATTGTATATTTTCACTTCCATGAAGTTTGCAGAAGAGGAAAATTTATAGAAAGAGTATATTGATGAATAAGGGTTTGGGACAGAGTGTGGTAATGGGTATTGATTGCAAATGACTCAAGGAAGTACCTGTGGTAATATGAATGCTTTAAAATGAGAAGGTGGTGATGGTTGCACTTCTCTACAAATTTGCTAAAAAATCATTAAATATGAATCACTGAACACTTAAAGGGTGAATTATATGGTAATATTTTTAGTAAATTTTCCTTAGTAATGCTATTTTTGAAAAATGAAAGCATATATCTACATTGTAGCATGAATTTTAGCTGAGGAAATATAAGATTGTGAACATTTTTTAAAAGACATCTGTCACAAGAAAATAAAGATAATGGGTCAGCTGAAGTGAATAATTTATCTTAGGAATTATGCAATGTAGCAAATTCCCTTTTCCAGGGTTCTGCCTCATTATCAAAATGTAAAGTAATAAATGCACTCTTAATTTTATCTGGTAACTCTAACCTATTTGTGTAAAATTAAATCCTATCCCTCAAAATCCACTTTGATTTTCTTAACTGTTTGAACTCTTGCATGATAATGAAAAGCTAACACAATGCTTCAACAGGAAGAGCTAAGTAAGAAATATGGATTTAGCTAGTAATACACACCGAAATCTCAATAAAAATTATTGTTGGCCTCCAGGTTTGGGACGTTTTCATGGATTATATCCTGAAATATGTTTTCCAAATTCGTTCCATTTTCCCCATCTCTTTCAGGTATATCAACCATAGATTCAGTCTCTACATAATCCCACATCTATCGGGGGTTTTGTTTATCCCTTTCTTTCTTTTTTCTCTATTCTTCTCTGCCTGTCTTATTTCAGAAAGACAATCTTCAAGTTCTGAGATTCTTTCTACTTGATCTATTCTGCTATTAATACTTGCGTTTGTGATTGCATTATGAAATTAATGTATTGCGTTTTTCAGGTTTATCAGGTCAGTTATGTTCTTCTCTGTACTGGCTATTTTGTCTGTCAGCTCCTGCAATGTTTCATGATGATTTTTAGCTTCCATGCATTGAGTTACAATGTGCTCTTTTAGCTGAGTGAAGATCGTTTTTATCCATATTCTGAAGTCCACTTTTGTCATTTCAGACATCTCAGCCTGAGCCCAGTTCTAAACCCTTGCTGGAGAGGTGATGCAGTCATTTGGAGGAAAGAGGGGGCACTCTGACTTTTTGAGTTTTCCGTGTTCTTGTGCTGATCCTTTCTCATCTTTGTGGGCTTACCCTCCTTCAATCTTTGAAGTTTCTGACCTTCGGATGGAGTTTTGTTTTTGTTTTTTTTTTCTTGTAAGTCTGGCCACTTTTCTTTAGGGCTGCTGCAGTTCACTGAGTGTCCACTCTAGTCCCTAGTTGTCTCTGATTTTCCACTACCTGGAGGTATCCCCAGAGAAGGCTGCAAAACAACAAAGATGTCAGCCTTATCCTTCCTCTGGGAGCTCCATCACAGTGGGGTACAGACCTGTGGCCAGCCCGAACTCACTTGTCAGAGCTGGCTAGGGGCCCTGGTTGAGAGGTCTCGCTTAGGAGGAACGGGATTGGGGGTCCTTTTAAAAAAAGCAGTCTGGCCATTTTTACAATATTGATTCTTCCTATCCATGAGCATGGAATGTTCATACATTTGTTTGTGTCCTCTTTTATTTCATTGAGCAGTGGTTTATGTCTAAAACACCAAAAGCAATGGCAACAAAAGCCAAAATTGACAAATGGGATCTAATTAAACTAAAGAGCTTCTGCACAGCAAAAGAAACTACCATCAGAGTAAACAGGCAACCTACAGAATGGGAGAAAAATTTTGCAATCTACTTATCTGACAAAGGGCTAATATCCAGAATCTACAAAGAGCTCAAACAAATTTACAAGAAAAAAACAAACAACACCATCAAAGAGTGGGCGAAGGATATGTACAAACACTTCTCAAAAGAAGACATTTATGCAGCCAACAGACGCATGAAAAAATGCTCATCATCACTGGCCATCAGAGAAATGCAAATCAAAACCACAATGAGATATCACCTCACACCGGTTAGAATGGCGATCATTAAAAAGTCAGGAAACAACAGATGCTGGAGAGGATGTGGAGAAATAGGAACACTTTTACACTGTTGGTGGGACTGTAAACTAGGTCAACCATTGTGGAAGACAGTGTGGCGATTCCTCAGGGATCTAGAACTAGAAATACCATTTGACCCAGCCATCCCATTACTGGGTATATACCCAAACGATTAGAAATCATGCTGCTATAAAGACACATGCACATGTATGTTTATTGTGGCACTACTCAAAATAGCAAAGACCTGGAACCAACCCAAATGTCCAACAATGATAGACTGGATTAAGAAAATGTGGCACATATACACCATGGAATATTATGCAGCCATAAAAAATGATGAGTTCATGTCCTTTGTAGGGACATGGATGAAGCTGGAAACCATCATTCTCAGCAAACTATCGCAAGGACAAAAAACCAAACACCACATGTTCTCACTCATAGGTGGGAATTGAACAATGAGAACACTTGGACACAGGGTGGGGAACATCACACACAGAGGCCTGTTGTGGGGTGGGGGAAGGGGGGAGGGAAAACATTAGGAGATATACCTAATGTAAATGACGAGTTAATGGGTGCAGCACACCAACATGGCACATGTATACATATGTAACAAACCTGTACATTGTGCACATGTACCTTAGAACTTAAAGTATAAAAAAAATATATATATATATATATAGCAGTCTGGCCGGGCACGGGGGCTCACGCTTGTAAATCCCAGCACTTTGGGACCCCGAGGTGGGCGGATCACAAGCAAAGGAGATCAAGACCATCCTGGCTAACACGGTGAAACTCCGTCTCTACTAAAAATACAAAAAAATTAGTCGGGCATGGTGGCGGGTGCCTGTAGTCCCAGCTACTCCGGAGGCTGAGGCAGGAGAATGGCGTGAACCCGGGAGGTGGAGATTGCAGTGAGCGGACATCGCGCCACTGCACGCCAGCCTGGGCGACAGAGTGAGACTCCGTCTCAAAAAAATAAATAAATAAAAAATAAAATTAAAAAAAAAAGCACTCTAGCCATGCTGTAGAGCAGCTGGGCTCTGCTGGGGTAGCACTTCTGCCTTCAGTTGGCTTGAGCGCTCCAAAACCTGGAGGCTAGAATGGCTAAGCTGCTGAAACAGCAAAGGTGGAGCCTGCCTCTCCCTCTGGGAGCTCTGTACCATGAAGTTTTCAAACGCTTCTTAGCCAGAGAACATCCAAGAAGTGGCTGGAGGCTCCAGTTGGAAGTTCTACTCGGTGAGGAGGAACAGATTGAGGACCTGCTTAAGGAAGCAGTCTGGCCATGCTTTCTTAGAAGAGCTGTGCCATGCTGTGGTACCGCTAGCCATATGTAGAAAATTGAAACTGGACCCCCTACTTACACCATATACAAAAATTAACTCAAGATGGATTAAAGACTTAAATGTAAAATCTCAAAACTATAAAAACCCTGGAAGACAATCTAGGCAATACCGTTCACGACATAGGCATGGGGAAAGATTTCATAATGAAAATGCCAAAAGCAACTGGGAACAAAAGAAAAATTGAAAAATGATATCTAATTAAACCACAGAGCTTCTTTACAACAAAAGATACTATCAACAGAGTAAACAGACAACTTGCAGAACGGTAGAAAATTTTTACAAACTATGCATCTGACAAAGGTTTAATATCCAGCATCTGTAAGGAACTTAAACAAATTTACAAGAAAAAGAAAAACAACCCCATTAAAAAGTGGGCAAAGGACAGGAACAGAAGGAACAGACACTTATCCAAAGAAGCCATACATGCAGCCAACAAGCATATGAAAAAGAGCTCATAATCACTGATCATTAGAGAAATGCAAATCAAAACCACAATGATTCTCACACCAGTCAGAATGGCTATTACTAAAAAGTCAAAAAATAACAGATGCTGGTGAGGTTGTGGAGAAAAAGGAGCACTTATACACTGTTGGTGGGAGGTAAATAAGTTCAATCATTGTGGAAGACAGTGTGAACATTCCTTAAAGACCAAGAGGCAGAAATAGCATTTGACCCATCTATCCCATTATTGGGTATATACCCAAAGGAACATAAATTGTTCTATTTTAAAAACACATGCACACTTATGTTTATTGCGGCACTATTCACAAAGGCAAAGACATGAAATGAACCCACATGACCATCAGTGACAGACTTGATAAAGAAAATATGGTACATGTACACCATAGAATACTATGCAGCCATGAAAAAGAATGAGATCATGTCCTTTGCAGGAACATGGCTGGAGCTGGAGGCCATTGTCCTTAGCAAATTAATGCAGGAATAGAAAACCAAGTACCACCTGTTCTCACTTATAAGTGGGAGCTAAATGATGAGAACTCATGGATACATACAGGGAAGCAACAGACACTGGGGCCTACTGGAGGATGGAGAGTGGGAGGAGGGAGAGGATCAGCAAAAATAACTAATGGGTACTAGGCTGGCTTAATACCTGGGTGATAAAATAATCTGTACAACAAACCCCTATGACATGTGTTTACTTATGTAATAAAACTGCATATCCTGCACTAGTACCCCAAACTTAAAATCAAAGTTTAAGAAAAACCTAATTATTCCTATAAAAAGTCTCAATTCTTACTCTCATAAGGTCTGCCAAAGAAATTATCTAATATAACATCACTCAAATCTAGGAGTATACCCATAACTGTGATGATGCACTTGAACAAATCAAAGTGCTAACTAGTTAAAACATTTTCACTTATTTCTGGAGGCTTTTATCCATTCATCTAGTATCACTGACCACACCTTCTGCCCCAATTACCAGAAGGTCCCTGAAACCAGTTGTGGAGGTCTAGACATTTTCCTTAACCCACAGCCCCCCACTGCTTCTCATTGTTACCAGGCTACTATATCATGTGGTATTGTATCTATCTTCTAAGAGTCAAACATTGTGTCCCAAATAGTTTTAACTACATTAACATACAACTTTTTTTTTAAATTAAGCACACGATACCAGTTCAGAATCTCCTTTTCCCAAGACCAATATCCTATCAATGACCTTATAGCTTTTCCCTGCCACTAAATCTTTTATTGACCAGCTCCCTAGTCCACTGTGACCAATCTTCCTAGCTTTGAAACTTGGGGATTAGTCTTCACCCTTTACAGGCAAAGGTAAATTGGCCTCCTTGGACTCCAATGGCCAACATTGCCAACCAGGCATCTCAGTGAATACATATGTGTGGATTACCAATCAGCTGAAGAATAGGTAAGTAATCTCTGGAGCTCTCTCTCTGTATCTTCCTCTTGTTCATGCCTTTCTTTTCTGTTTTTCAGTTCTCTGGCTTGTGCATTCCAGCTACTTTGTTCTCCCAAAATTCTCAACTCTGTATCCTCAATTGAGGAGCCTGCAGGAATATGTTTGGGTTCACTCTCCCTATGCTGTGTCCTATGAACTCTCTCCAGGCAGTAAAATGGGACAACTCTACGGCTTAAGTGATACTTTACCTAAGAGATAACTGCCTTGTGCTATTTACTGTCCAATGTTTACAAACACTTGTCTCACATACTTTGTTCTGTGTTTAACTGTTCCAAGCAGAAGGATAAATAAATTCCATATGAACCCATCATGGCTGGAAAAAGAAGCCTCATCTCCCAAACCCAGTGAGGTTTTAAAAATTATTGTTATTAATATTTTAGCAATTGCTCCTGAAAAGTCTCAGAATAATAGCAGACTTCACTGACTCTAAGATGTCATTGGGTTTTAAATGCACTATTATGTAAGACTAAGAAAGAATAACACTTCCAATTTGATTTTTACATTGCTATCTCTATATGAAGATTTCAGAGACATTAGAGGTAGAAAAGTGGCACCAAGTTAATGAAACATGATCTCACTGACAATATATGGCAAATAAACATTATAATAAGATTCAAAT
This sequence comes from Homo sapiens, assembly GCF_000001405.40. Taxonomy (NCBI): domain Eukaryota; kingdom Metazoa; phylum Chordata; class Mammalia; order Primates; family Hominidae; genus Homo; species Homo sapiens. The sequence goes on along the minus strand of NC_000004.12, from coordinate 171,300,641 downwards.
TCATATGTGATAATATTTAACTAGTTTTACCTGCTCTATTTTTGTAAATTAGATACACAGATATTTCGTTTCTTTGTAGTTATCCTAATAAGGAAGTTTTTTGCATAAATGGGCCAGAGTCTTGCAGAAACTGAAAATTACGTACAAAATGAGAGTATCTGGTATTTGCTGGCCTCTTAGAGGCTTAAAATATATCTCTGCGACGATGACATACTGACTGAGCATTTCTATCAACTTCTTATACAATTAGAGACTTCAAATAGCACTGTGGTGTTTCCTTAATCAAATAGAGTTAAAAGAAAATATGAAAAGGGAATAAAGATTGTAGTGAAACATAACTTTTAAAATCTTTGGAGTAAACACTTATCATATCACTATTCTGAAACAGAATGTTTACATATTTCCAGTTCAGCAGTCCTTTAGGTAAGTGATGACATTCAAAACTGAAATTCAAATTTGAATTCTAGATGCAAGTCCACAGGATTCCCAATGGACAAACTGAATTAACTCTCACAATTCCTTCAAGCTTTGCTGGCTAAGGAGATGTAGTAAGTCTAAAATACATAATTATCTGGTATTCATAAATATAGCAAATGGGGTCTATTATATATTTAGAACCTAGATCTTTAAAGAACCAGCTATATACCAAGGAAGCATAAAAATCACAATCATTTTTCATCAGTTCATTCAGTCCCATGTAACTAGTTCTTGTTCTGCTTTATCTTGGGTTAACTACTTGATGAACTGATTAGTTTCTCTATTGTAGTTCTAGAAGTCTGTACAGTCTAGTGGTGTGTTCTCAGAGTTATTTCAGCAATGCCATCAGAAGCCTGTATTCCAGATTAACTGTCATAGTTCTGTCTGTGGTTTCTGAGACAGTCACATTTTGTTAAAAATGAAGCACTTTGGCTAGTAGTTAATTACAAGAACTTTTAGGGAAAAATCAGAATAAAATTAAAATTATTTCTTGATGACAAATAGCTTTAAATCGCCATGGTTAAAGATCTGATGAGAATTTAACAAAATATTTGGTTTATGACATCACAGGTTATATTTCCAGTTATTTTTGTGGCATAACAATTGAAATTATTAGTGGTAACATTATACTATTGTGTCCGGAATTGGTGGGTTCTTGGTCTCACTGACCTCAAGAATGAAGCTGCGGACCCTCGCGGTGAGTGTTACAGTTCTTAAAGGCGGCGTGTCCGGAGTTTGTTCCCACTGATGTTCGGATGTGTTCGGAGTTTCTTCCTTCTGGTGGGTTCGTGGTCTCGCTGGCTCAGGAGTGAAGCTGCAGACCTTGGCTTGGCGGTGAGTGTTACAGCTCTTAAGGTGGTGCGTCTGCAGTTGTTTGTTCCTCCCGGTGGGCTGGTGGTCTCGCTGGCTTCAGGAGTGAAGCTGCAGACCTTCGCAGTGAGTGCTACAGCTCATAAAGGCAGTGTGGACCCAAAGAGTGAGCAGCAGCAAGATTTATTGCAAAAAGTAAAAGAACAAACCTTCCACAGTGTGGAAGGGCACCCTAGAGGGTTGCCACTGCTAGCTAGGCAGCCTGCTTTTATTCTCTTATCTTGCCCCACCCACATCCTGCTGATTGGTAGAGCCCAGTGGTCTGTTTTGACAGGGCACTGATTGGTGCATTTACAATCCCTGAGCTAGACACAAAGGTTCTCCACGTGCCCACCAGATTAGCTAGATACAGAGTGTGGACACAAAGGTTCTCCAAGTCCCCACCAGAGTAGCTAGATACAGCGTCCATTGGTGCATTCACAAACCCTGAGCTAGACACAGGGTGCTGATTGGTGTGTTTACAAACCTTGAGCTAGATACAGAGTGCCGATTGGTGTATTTACAATCCTTTAGCTAGACATAAAGGTTCTCCACGTCCCCACCAGACTCAGGAGCCCAGCTGGCTTCACCCAGTGGATCCCGCACCGGGGTTGCAGGTGGAGTTGCCTGCCAGTCCCGAGCCATGCGCCTGCACTCCTCAGCCCTTGGGTGGTCCATGGGACTGGGCGCCGCCGTGGAGCAGGGGGCGGCGCTCGTCGCGGAGGCTGGGGCCGCACAGGAGCCCGCAGAGGCGGAGCGGGGAGGCTCAGGCATGGCGGGCTGCAGGTCCGGAGCCCTGCCCCGCGAGAAGGCAGCTGAGGCCTGGCGAGAAATCGACCGCAGCGCCGGTGGGCCAGCACTGCTGGCGGACCCAGTACACCCTCCGCAGCTGCCGGCCCGGGTGCTAAGCCCCTCATTTCCTGGGGCTGGCAGGGCCGGCCTGCTGCTCCGAGTGCGGGGCCCGCCAAGCCCACGCCCACCCGGAACTCCAGCTGGCCCGCAAGCGCCGCGCGCAGCCGCGGTTCCCGCTCGCGCCTCTCGCTCCACACCTCCCTGCAAGCTGAGGGAGCCGGCTCCGGCTCTGGCCTTGGCCAGCCCATAAAGGGGCTCCCACAGTGCAGCGGTGGGCTGAAGGGCTCCTCAAGTGCCGCCAAAGTGGGAGCCCAGGCAGAGGAGGCGCCAAGAGCAAGTGAGGGCTGTGAGGACTGCCAGCACGCTGTCACTATGATGTGTCATGGCTAGGTATAGCATTAACAAATTTCTATGAACTTTGTACAATTTCTGAAATAACTGTATTAATAATATTTGCCCAGACAAATATCATGTAGAGTAGGCTGAATATCTTTTTTATTTGACAACACTTTTCATGCAATTTAACATATCAAATAAACCAAATTATTTGTAACATCTCTCTTTTACACAACAAAAGAATAAATTGTTTGAGGTTATTCAGCGTCCTCTTGGGAATCTCAATGTCAGTTCAAGAACAACAATCTTTTATTTAGGATTTGATTTTGGAAGGACAAAATTGTAAAAAATATGTTAAAAAATTAGTTTTTGAAAACTGCAGTCTGCATGCTCTTAATTAAGAACATGATGAAGGTTAACATAAAGCACAGGAAATTCATCTGATAGAACAGAAATCTTGGTTTCCTATGCAGATTAATTAAATGGTAAATAAAACCTTTCAGTCTCTCATTTTATTAAGATAATACTGTAATCGGAACAGTAATCCAATAAAGCTATAATTTTAACAGAAAAAAGACAAATTTTTGTTTTGCATCAATCTACTTTTGATAATAAACATAATTTTTTTTAAATGTTGTAAATAAATGAGTTCAATCTTTGCCAATTTGGCCAAATAATTTTTTTTCACAAACCTTCTCTAACTTTCCATATATATTCAGTTTTTGTCCTGTATTTTTCTTTCTTCTCATTCTGGAACAACCGATTGTTTTAGTTTAGGACGAATTATTGTCCTAAACACATTTTTAATACCTTATATACTTTTTCTTATCAAAACTACCTTTATATTCCTTTCATACTTTTTATACTAAGTTGTTGCCCTTATATATTTAGTAGTTTTATTTTCATATGTTGATTATAATTTTAACCATTGGTAATCTTTCCTTAACAGAGAAAGTTAGGCAGTAGACATTTGTAAGTTGTCTGTTGCTTACCAGAATTCTGTAGATAACTAGCAAACTTTACAATTATACTATATGACAATTTTATTGGTATGAATTTTCTCGCAGTATAATTTTTCGATATGTCAAAAAGTACACGTTTATTACCAGAACTAAATATCTTTAATACCCTTATACCGTATAAAAATAAGAAGTCAAAAGAATATAAACTGAATCTTACGTTTGGTAATTAAGGTTTCCATAGTTTATCTTACTCAGAGATTACCTGGAACTTTTTTTAGACAGATGTATAATGTTAATCAAAGCTAGCCACCATCTCCAGTTTCTTACCTGTTGACTGTTTTTATAGCACATGCATGCATGTGAGACAAGTATAAAACACACACAAACTACAAAAAGTTAAATGCATAGGTTTTTCCAATTGTTTTACTATATGTTTAACATGCATAAAGTAATGGACTTCAAGAAATTCATTTTTACATGGATGAAATTGGAAACCATCATTCTCAGTAAACTATCGCAAGAACAAAAAACCAAACACCGCATATTCTCACTCATAGGTGGGAATTGAACAATGAGATCACATGGACACAGGAAGGGGAATATCACACTCTGGGGACTGTGGTGGGGTCGGGGGAGGGGGGAGGGATAGCATTGGGAGATATACCTAATGCTAGATGACACGTTGGTGGGTGCAGCGCACCAGCATGGCACATGTATACATATGTAACTAACCTGCACAATGTGCACATGTACCCTAAAACTTAGAGTATAATAAAAAAAAAAAAAAAAAAGAAATTCATTTTTACTGCACCTTTACTTGTATATTTTTTCTTAGGATGAATTTATAATTTTGGCTTGTAAAACCAAGTAGAACGACGATGTATGCTCATACTGTACTAATGCCAATATCTTGGAAAACATGGCTGTTTTTATTAAACCAACAATATTAAATTAGTCTTTAAAGATTTACTCAAAATACATGAACTAAAAAAGTATATGGGTTACTTTCTATGTTTCTGGGAGTGTTTGAAATATTTAATTTATATAAGCACTTATTTATCTCTAAACCAATTTGAATAGAACTTTTTAAAGTTTTTTATAAGTTAGTTTTTTAATGCCATCTACAGTTAGATAAATATCACATATGCATAAAATACATACATACATATATAGATAAACACACAGACATACATGGAGACCTTACAGCTTACATTCTAAATAGAAGACTCTGCTTTTCCCACTTTACATTTCTTCTCTCAGTTGTATTTCTGGAAGAGAGAACAAGCTAAGTTTCCCTATTTAATATGAGGGTTAATGCTTTTTACCCATATTTATTGGGGAGACTTTTAGGATTTTCTTCAATTCTAATATGTATTCTTAAGGAGGCTGTGGATATTGCTCAGCATTAGTAATAGCAAATCAGGAGGTAGCAGTAGATAATCTATTAATTTGTATAACATAGGCCAAATTATTTAATCTAGAAAATATAATTAAAAGAGAAGATAAATATTTTTACCATTTCTGTAATTGGCTAAAATGTTTGAAAATCAGTTATCCATTCGTATGACAACATTTAATAAGGAACTTCTTAGAATTCACTATTTTTTCATTAAATATACAAAAGGGAACACAATATAGTCCTCTGCTTTTAGAATCTAACAGACTACATCATCATTCTCATCTGTTACTAAAGAAAATAAAATTTCATCCATTAGAATATTTAATATTCCAATAGGTTTCAATTGTAGTAAATACCCAAAGATTTTATAAAGTCAGCTACCAGCCATCATAATATATATTATTAAGAAACAATTATGCCAGAAAACAAAATCAATAATAATTCTCCAGGAAATCATATCCAAAGTAATTAAATAGTGATATAATAAAGTATTCACTGCCAGAAATGGTTTTTTGAGAGTTGAGGATAATGGCCAATGATGAAGGACTTTAGGAAAGTGAAAGTGTAACATATTTCAATTCACTAACGATTATTTCACACTAGGTATCCATACATTTAGTAGTAGTAATTGAATTCCAAATATAATCAATTAATTGCCACATTATTTTAAATATTCTTTTAAAAGGAAAGTATGTAATAACTATTAAATAACTTATCTTTGGAGTTCAAAAAAGTAAAAAATTACAGATTCTTTGGTTTTTCTAAATTAATGTCTACTTTATTAGGCATTAGTCAACAAAGACTCATTGAATTTTAATGAACCGATTTTTAGATATGTTCATCAATAAGATTTTACAGGTTTTTTTTTTCTAGTCTCAACTCATGGAAGACATTAATTATAATGAAAAGAGCAAGCTGCTGTTAAGTGTATCTGGGCAATTGCAAGAAAATCCAGACTGTGAAAATACAAATTTGGAAATTAAAAAGGGAGTTTCTCATGAAAGCAAAATTGAAAACGCTTTCAGTTCACCTGTATTTTCTTTATTTCTATGGGGGAAAATTCATTGAAGGACACAGTCATTGTGGAAGAAAAAAATCTAACAATTTTCTAGTAATTTGATTACTACAAGTAAACACTCTTTTGCCTTACCTAAGTAATAAATGTATTCTTGAAATTTGGAGCATTTTTATTCACTAAAAATAGCAATATCATTTTATACATATTTTATCACTTGGTGTTTATTCAGGAAAACAAAAGCTTCTTCAGGTGTTTTGAGAAGGAAGTAGCTTAAAATAGGAAAATTGAAGCTTAAACAGTTGGAAGCTAGAGTAATACAGGACAGAGAATCTGGAATTGCAGGAATGGACTCAAAGTTCTCTAGCACCCACTTGGGTATTTTCTGGGAGAAAGTTCAGAACTATTATAAGCCACCACTGATGACATCCGCTGCCAACAATACCAATGTTAGTTATTCTCAGGACACCATGCAAAAGCTGCAGATAAATCATAATGTCTGATGTCTGCTGTTTTCCACAGGACTTCCCAAAGCTGCCATGGAAGAATAATGGCTTCTGTCTTTTCCATCATCCTGGTCTACATTTGGCCATTCATTGGTGGAATCTGATGAAAATTCTCCTGGTAGGTGAGTTGGGAAAATTGAGTTTTCAGGCTCTGTACCTCCATGGGGAAAAGGGAGGAGCTTTAAAAAGCAGGAATGGCATTGTTTTCAATGAAATAACTAAAAAACACTGGACCTCTCTTTTTACCATGATTTCACATCTGCTTGTTTAAAGGAAACTTTATGATTTTTTATGTTGATTAATGTTCTTATAAATCAAGTAATTACATCTTGGTGTGGTTCTTTATGTAATTTTACATATTCATGGAGTATATACATCTTTGACAAATGTAGCTTAGGCTTAATGTTTTGACATTTCACTCATTCTAACAATTTGATGCAAATACTCTATTGAAATTCTTCCTGCTAAGGTCAACAAGGACTAGTTGTCAATGCCCATGGCTCATTTAAAATTCTTGTTACATTTTCTTTTTCTGTGTTATTATTAGTAGTAACAGTTCACATTCTTGAAATCATTGTTCACTTGACCTTTGTTCAGTAGGGTTGAACTTTATTATGAGCCCTGTCCTTACTCAGCCTCCATTTCTATTACTATTCCTTTTTTTGCCTCCATTTTACTCCTTTTTCTTTACCAACATCATGTTTTTTCCTAAGTCTTGTTTTCTTCTCCCTTACAGCTCTATAAATTATCTCTGTCTAGCATTACTCTGAATAGCTCTATTTAAATAGCTCACAAAAATGATAATTCATAATCTTTATATATATAAGAATAACTTTAATATTCAATGACTTCTCTTTCTGTATTCTCTCTTTTGGTTACTTCATTATTTATTCAGTGAACTAAAAGATCAAATTCAATACCACAGTTAAAGGCACACATGGAAACTATGCTTTCTTTGACTTTTTACCCTGGTCTAGAACACAGCACAATGTCAAAAATGATGGTTAAACAAATAAGATATTTATCTAAAGAAAACAAAAAACATATATCATGTAAATAAATTTGAGAAAATGAAGTGGCAGCAAAATTGTTCAAAACCTCATCTGTTAGAAACTCATTTCCCATACCAGACCAACTCATTCCAACAGAAGCATGTGGTGTACATGATAAGGAATCTCTAAGTGATCAAGACAGAAATAAAAAGCGATGCAAGTTAGTGAATATAAGTTTTCATATGTCGATGAGTGACAAGTATTTATTTAAGAAGATGTACTAGTCTCGGAAGTGTTTACATTAATGAAATAAACTGGAAGGTTATCAAAAGCTAACTGCAAAATCACAAAGAAGACCAATCACCTTGTTCGCTAAGGCGGCTGTCTGAGAACGTCTCCAGATTAGGAAGCACACAGGCACCTTGCTTTTCGAATTTGCAGGAGCCACATATAAGTATATTTAACATAGGCATTAGGATTATAGACAATAGCAAATCTATTCTAGTGATGTAAAGTATATGTTCCTTAATATATCATTCAGAACTCACCCTTTCTACCACATCTAATGTGGATTGCGTGCCTTATCCCACCTTTTTATTTTTTACATTCCTGGAGCACCTGGTCACAACTTGAACATCAGTGGTATCACTGACTGCATGGAAATTACCTGGCTACTTGTATGCCTTCAAACAGAAGACTGAACCATTTGGAGGGATGTGTGACTATACTTTTTTTTAAATCTTTATATCACTTCACATGGCTCTTATTAGTTGTTCAATAGTTGCTGAATATTGACACTCGTATGAGTGAGAAGTCCTGACAATGACTGCAATAAACTCAAGTCACCCTTGAAATAGACAGAAATGCTTGAGAGATGCCACTCAGTGAATCAATTTGATAAGCAAGATGTAGGATTTGTAGAACAGTAAAGGAAATGGAATCCAGATTTGGGGTGTTGATGGGGAGATTCTGAACAATTGGTAAGTATGTATATTAAATGAAAGATTTTCAAATTTCTAAATGAGCTTTTTAAAAGTACAATTTACATACAAAGAAAATTCACTTTTAATGTAGTTCTGTGAGTACAGATATATGTATATAGTAGTGTAACCATCACCATAATGAAAATTTAAAGTGGTTCTAACCCCCAAATTCCTGCATGTCTGTTGTAGACAACTCCTCCCTCACACTCTCAATCTTTGTTAGCCACTGCTATGTTTTCTATCTCTATACTCTTACCTTTTCCATGATGTCATAGAAATATAATCTTACTAGACTCTCAGATTGTCTACTTTCACTTAACATAATAAATTTGAGATTCTTGCACGTATGAGTTTTTTTTTTTCCTTTTTGAGTATTATTGCCTCATTTAAAGACATTGTAGTTTGTTTATTAGCTCACCATTTAAACATTTCGGTTGATTCTAGTTTGGAGTAATTATTTTAAAAATCAACTGGAACCATTCAAATACAGGTAGGTTTTGTGAGAATGTAAGTTTTTATTTCACTTGTGTAAATACTAGACTAAAATTGTGATGCCACTTAGTGTTTAACTTTCTATAAAATTGCCAAACTGTTTTCTAAAGTGGGGTGCCGTTTTTTTTCTTTGTAGGATCTATGAGAATTCCAGTTGCTCCACTTGTAGACACTAAGTATTGTCAATTTTTAAAGCTATTCTACCAAGTGCATAATTATATCTTATTGTGGTTTTATTTGCACTTATCTGATAACTAATAATATTACATATTACCATGTACACATTTTCCATTCACATATATATCTATGAATGGAAAATATATTTATATTTCATAATATATATTTCATTATATATATATTCCATAAATTGTCTTCAAAAGTTTTGCCTATTATTACACTTGGTTATTTTATGGAGGTAAAGTGGGATTTTCTTGAGGTAAAGTTAATATAACATAAAATTGATAATTTTAATGTGCACAAAAGCATTTAGAACATATACAATGTTATGTAACTGTCACCTCTATATAGTACCAAAACATTTTCATCACCCCAAAGAAAATTCTGCATTGATTAAGCAGTTACCCTGAATTCCAATCTCTGCCCCAGCTGCTGGCAAACATCAATCTGTCTGTCTCTAAAGATGTACCTATTCTGGATATTTCAAATAAGTCATATCTCAGATCACATACAATATGTGATCTTACTGGCTGGCTTCCTTCACTAAGCAAGATGTTTTTGAGGTTCACCCATATTGCATTATCTATTAATACTTCATTTATTTTTTATGGCTGAATAAAATTCCATTAAGATTATATATTGCAATTTGTTTTTCCATTCATCTGCTGATGGACAGCTGTGTCATTTCTATCTTTTGGCTATTGTGAATATCGCACTGTAAACTGTGAACATACGTATACAAGTATTTGAGTACCTGTTTTTAATTTTTGGGTATGTATCTAGAAGTGGAATTACTGGGTTAATTGTTAATTCTAATTAATTTTTTATGTAGCCACCAAATTGTTTTCTATACTGGCTAAACAATTTTATGTATTTCTATATATTTTCACCATTGCCGATTTCATTTTAAAAAGAATTATATCCATCTTAGTAGATGTGAAGTAGTACCTCATTGTGGATTAAATTTATGTTTTCCCAGTGAGACCAATGGGATTGAGAATTATCTCCTATGTTTTTTGTCTATTTCTCTATTTTCTTTGAAGAGATGTCTATTCAAGTTCTTTGCCCATTTTTCAGTTGGGCTATTTGTATTTTTGTTGTTCAGTTGCAAGAGTTATTTATATATTCTGGATAACACATATTCAGATAGGTGATTTGCAAATGTTTTTTCTCATTGTGTTTGTGATTTACTTTTTTTTTACAATGTATTTTGATGCACACATTTTTTATTTTGAAGTCAAATTTATCTGTTTTTAAAAATTTCATTGCCAATGCTTTTGATATTACATTTATGTTATTGACCCATTTTGAAATCAGAAAATATAAGTCTTCCAAATTTATTATTTTTTTAAAGATTGTTTTTGCTACTCAGGACCACTTGCAATTCATTATGAATTTAAGAATAGGCTTTTCCATTTTTTCAAAATAAAAGGCTATTGATATTTTGATAGAGATTGCTTTCAGTCTGCAGATTCCTTAGGAAGTATTGATATGTAAATAGTAATGTCTTCCTATCCGGAACACTGGATTTATTTCCATTTATTAAGGTCTTCCTTAAGCAATGCTTTCTTGTATTTATTGCACAGATTTTACCTTTTTGGACCAACTTATTTCTAAGTATAAGATTCTATTGGAACCTACTGTAAATAAAATTGTTTCTTTTTTTTTTTTTTTTTCTTTTGATGGAGTCTTGCCCCGTCGCCCAGGCTGGAGTGCAGTAGTGTGATCTTAGCTCACTGCAACCTCCCGATCCCAGGTTCAAGTGATTCTCCTGCCTCAGACTCCCAGGTAGCTAGGATTACAGGTGTGTGCCACCATGCCAGGCTAATTTTTGTATTTCTAGTAGAGACAGAGTTTCACCATGTTAGGCAGGCTGGTCTTGAACTCCTGACCTTAGGTGATCCATCCACCTGGGCCCCCCAAAGTGCTGGGATTACAGGCGTGAGCCACCGCACCCGGCCTGCTTATTCATTTTCTTTTGGGGGTATTTGCTGGTAATTTAAAGGAAAACAACTCATTTTTTGTGCATTGATCTTGTATCCTGGACTGTTAATTCGTTTACTATTATTAAATAACAAATTATTAATAATAAATTAATTATCAATTGTGTGTGTGTTCTTTATTATTTTCTACATATATTGCTTAATGTCATCTGGAAAGATAGTTGTACTTCTTCCTTTCGAATTTGAATGTCCTTTAAGTCTTTTCTCTCTTCTAATTGCTGTAGACAGTTTATCCGTTAAAATGTTAAATAGCAGTGATGGAAGTGGGCATCATTTTCTTGTTCTTTATTTAAAGGGGAAAGGTTTCAATACTTCACCAGTGAATGTGATAGTGGTTGTGGGGTTTTTGTTTTTGTTTTTGTTTCTGTTTTTATACACAGCCTTTAATGTTTTGAGGAAGTTCCCTTCTATTTCTAGAGTGCTGAGTGTTCTTATCATTATTCACGATGCAAAATTTGGTTTGTAATTTTTTTTTCTTCTGATATCTTACTCAGAATTTGGTATGAAAGTAATGCTGGCCACATAAGAATTAGTTAGGAAATGTTTTCTCTCTTCTATTTTTGGAAGACTTGGAAAATGATTAGTGTTAATTCTTCAAATGTTTGGCAGAATTTACCAGTGAAGCCATATGGTCTTGGACTTTTCTTTGCTATGAGTGTTTTATAAATTCCTGCAAAATTGGTTCTCATAGTTTCTGCTAGTTTTTGTTATTGTTTGTTTTGCACTCCTTTCAGGAAGAGCCTAAATTTAGAGTTTCTTATCCCACCATTTTGGCTAATGTCACATAGTACTTTCTTAAAGAGGATTTTTCATGTCTAATCTGAAACCATGCCAATAAATTATTATGCTCTGGAAAATTAAAATCCACTTGTCACTCCGCATGTAATATTTTGATTTTGAATACGATTCTCTAATAAAGAAAGCAAGAATCCTTGCGGAAATAGTTGATTCTACAGCTTGACAGGGGATATGGTTGATGAGCTGGAATCATCTTGCAGCTCCAACAAGAAAGTGCACACATGTACACACATGCATACCATAGTGAGGGTGTATCAAAGGGTGAAAGAAACCAATTTAAAAGAGCTCCCAATGTCCAAGCTTGAAACAATTTGAGCAACAAAATAAATAATAAAGTATTATATTACAACATCAAATATTAAAATACATACATGAGTCCATACTGACATAAATAATGAGCAAATAGATAAATAGATGATCACAATAGACAAATCTTCCACGCAGAACAATTCAGAATAATTTGTGTAGATACTACCCCAAGGATTTGAGCTATACATAGTATTTTTTTCTTAAGAGTACTTTTGGAAAGGGAAAGGGAAGAGTAATTTTACTACAGAGAAAACTGATAAACACTATCTCAGTCAGATGATTATAGTTAACACCAACAGTGGTAAGTTATATCGATAAAATATACCCTTCATATGATTTGATGAAAATGGCAATTTATCTCTGTGGTTTTCTTCTTTCTACCCACCACCTGAAAAACAAATTAAAAAAACCCAAAAAACCATAATCATTTTCTAATCCTCAGAAACAAATCCAGCATACTAAAATTGAAGAGCAGTCTATAAAATGGCTAGTCGGTGTTCTTAAAAGCCTGTTGAGACCAGTCTGAGAAGTCATCAGAATCTAGAGGAGTCTACAAATACTTGACAAATAAATTTAATATGGTACTCTAGAGAGAATATTGAACAGAAAAGGGCATTAAAAACTGTAGAAGTGTTGTTTGTACTTTACTAGTGGTGTACAATATTTGTTTATTACTTGTAACAACCATACCAAAATAATTTATGATGTTAATAATAGAGGGATCTGGGTGTGGGGTATATGGGAATTGTCTGTACTCTTTGCAACTTTAAAAAGAAAAGTAATGTTTGTGACACCTAAATATGAGAAATCAAAGTGTCAATGTCCATAGATAATTTTTTGAAGCATATACATAGAAAAGTTTATTGGTCTATTTTTCATTTTGAGTGGATTTTTAAAATTTATGCATAATTGTATAGCATCATATAACCACTATTTGGAAAACTTTGTTTCCCTGAGTTTTGCAAATACATATGCTGAAACTTGCAATTACAAAGGTCACATTAATCAATTTCACCAGCTATAGCATACAAATATTCTGTAAGAACTGGGCAATGTTGAAGCCCATGGTGGTAGGCATAAGATTTTTAAAAATTTAATTTTTCATTTATAAACTTACATTTTATAATTGACACCAAATACTGCCAGTTGCTATTCTTAGAGTAATAGGCTCACTTTATTTATTTCATAATATAATGGTTGTCTAAATGAAAAATTTCTGTATGAGTTATGAGCTAAACTAGTCACCTATTTTATGGACCATTAATTTTGCTTTAAATTACTGACAAGCAAAAGATGATCATCCATATGCAGGTAGCTGGCAGACATTGTAATTAATTTTATAATGTGAAGGCAACCAATGAAAATATTACACTCCCTTTGTGTTTCTTTGAACTCAAACACAAACAACTTGAAAGAGATACATTGCTATGTAACCAGATGGTCTTGATTATCTATCACACAATTAGATAAGTGTACATGTGAATCAAACAGGCAAACATCTTTTCTCTTGAAATTAGTTATCTATGTAATTTCAAACTTTTTTGTATATAATTGATTTATATACATATATATATGAGTATAAATTGATTATAAGGCTACTACACAAAGAAGTAACAATGCTAATATATACTAAAGGGTGTCCATATATTTTCATTGCATTGTTTGCTTATGCAGTTTGGAAAAATAAAGAAAATAATATTGTGGAGCTGGCTGATGGCTAGAGTAACTCTGGCAAAAATGACAATCTTTTCCTTTTCTTCTTTCCTAATTTCAGTTGCTGCATCAACATTTTCTGTGTTAAAATAATCTGCAGCAATACTGCATTTTACATTGTGACTTTATATGTATCCTTTATTAATATGTTCTTAATACGGTTTTCCGGAAATAGAAGAAGTCACAATTTTATGGTAAAACACACTGTACTACAAGAAGTTGTATGAATCACAGAATTGGAATTGGTTCATATAATGATCCAAATATAAAGGGAAAATACTTTATGTAGTAAATGAAAAAACATGAAGTGGGATCAATAGAACGAGTTCTTCTATAGTAAATTACACCTTCACGAGTTGCATAAAGCTTTCTCATAAATTATTTCCGTTGAGCGTAATGGCAAGCCATAGAAATAAGTAGGAAAGGTATCAGTTTTCCAATTCTAGAAGATGTTGTTATGGACAAAAAAATGTGACACCCCCCGCACCCACACATAAACATATAAAGATACCCACGTCCTAGTTCCTGAAACCTGTGTCTGTTACCTTGCATAACAAAAAGGACTTTATGGATTGTTTAAGTTACAGATATTGAGATGGAAAGCTTGTCTTAGATGATCTGGTTGGGCCTAATGTTATCACAGGTGTCACTGTGATAGGAAGCTTGGAAGGCCAGAGTCACAGAAGGAGATGTGATGATGGAAGCGGAGGTTGGAATGATGGGAGAACGGTTTAGAAGCTGAGGACAGTAGGCTACCTGGAAAAGCTGAAAAAGGCCAGGAAACTGATTCCCCCTAAGAATCTTTGGAAGGAAGATAGCCTTGCTGATACCTTCATTTTAGGACTTCTGATCTCCAGAACTGTAAAATAATAAATGCATGTTGTCATTTTAAGCCATTAAGTTTTTGGTAAATTTTAATAGCAGCATAGAAATCTAATATACATGAGAAAACTCAGATTAAGAAAGTATAAATATTTGTACCCCCAATCTCAAGGCAAATATACTGTTGAGCCTAGACTTAACTTAGAATATCTGATTTGTTTTCAGAGGTAATACCATCATTCACATAACATTATTACAAAAGAATTTCATGTGAAGAAAGTCTCAAGGCATATAGATAGACCAATATAAAAAACTTGGATAGATATCAAAATCACATAAAAAAGTGACAGCAAAGCTAGTCATTAGAAGAACCCCTCCTGAATCAACCAGGATATAAATTTTTACATGAACATAGAGTCAGAGACATAGAAAAATGTTATAGAAAACTGATAGAGTAAAATTTACTCTTGAAATTTTCTCAAACCACGAGTAAAATTTACTCTTGAAATTTTCTCAAACCACCAAAAAGTTAACGTTGAAGTAGATATTCACATGCATTCAATTTTTAAAGTTTGTTTATATTTAAGAATCATCTTTATGTCATTTGAGATCAGTGGGAACTGGGAATTCATTGATGTAAAACAGGTTCACTGTGCACTGGTTACCAGCTTGTCTGAATCTGGCAAGACAGAACTTATTCATACAAATAAGTGGATTTATCGCTTACAGATACACAGCAAGGGGCAATGGAAGCCTGTGATTCATTGCAAGCTGAACCCTCAAGGCTCAGGAAAGCTTCCTGGGATCAATGCAGCCTCATCCGTGCATGCTTCCCTTGCACCGCAGTTGAAGGACCCCCAAAAACAGCCCAGCATGGGTTTTATACCCTGGGGTCCTGTGAAACACTGGGTTAAGGTGTTCAAGATTATCCTATTTCTGAGAGGACTGGAAAAGAGCCCAGGTTGTTCTCTCCAATCTCCTTTTATCTCAGGATGTTGCATTCCCAGCACATCCTACAGTTATTCTTGAAAACTACAAATTAGAAAGCTGGGAGAAATGAGTTGGTGCGAGGCTACCAGGAGAACTGGACTGCAAATAACATTTTGCAACTCACACTGAATCCAGAGAAAATGCTGGAGGACCTGCCTGCAAGGCAGTTTGGCCTAAAAAAATTAAATCAGTGTCCTGCTATCATTCTCTCTGCATAGAGAATTGAATTAAGTTATTCGTGACAGGACTCATCTCCACTGATAAATGGAAAGAAGTGGGAAATGCAGGAAAATGTTTTTCCAGGCTTTGTTGAATGCAGAACCTCTTCATCAGTCCCTTAGAGATTTGAGCAGGACTGGAGATATGGGTATAATCACTTCTACAAACACAATTTTAAAAAAGTCAAATTTGCTCATAATTTAACTTCCCTAGGAAGTATTTCTTACTGGAATGTCCTGAGAGAACATTCTGCTACAAGCTTAATCTCTTTCCATTAGCCATATATTAATTATCTAATTTCTTAAATATAGCATACATGTTGAAGTTCTGGAGTTTTAAAAGTGGGAGGGCAACAGTAAAATTCTTTGAGGTCATTCAATCTTGACCAATCTAATCTAATATTCATTATCTGCAGCCAGTGGTATCTCACTGATAGAAATGTCTTCTCACTGTTCTTCCTGATTGTATTGCCCAACATTTCCACTCCACCACCATTCCTGCTCAGTTATCCTGTTGGAAGGTCTGTTTAAAATATAAGAACATCTCTCACTTTTCTGAAGAAATTTCTTAAATGTTTATCTAAGGTATTTAAACTATACATCTTACCACACCAAGTCTTACAAACTCTATTTTCTTCCCACTTCCACTTTGTATAACCTATATTTCCACAGGATATATTATTTGCATAGGGATAATGATATCAAAGCTGAAATAATAATCTTCTTCAACCTGTATTTATTCTTCAAACCTTAGCTCACAATCGTGTAGCCTTCTTTGCCTGAACTCCAAGATCAATATGAGAGCTTCAAGCTTTGTGCAGATCACAAATTCTCCCTTTTTACCAATGATCACAATTAACTGTACTTATTTATTTATCTCTATGGGATCATCATTTCCTTAATTTTAGGTACTAGTTATTTATTAAATTTAAATCCCCCATGCCTAGTGTAAGGATTGATTGTCACATAATAGACATCCAAAGGTTATTGGTTTGCAGAATAAATTATTTTTTTACTTTTTCCTCTAAATTTACCAAAACGAATTTTACATTACACTCAAAGTTACAGCAATTCTATATTGGTCAAAGTAAGTGACTTCAGCCTGGTAATTAATTAATGAAAATATTTCAATGTTCATATGCTCAGTCTAATATCAGTATTATACTATATCCTTTTGAGGGTGCATGTTTTTTGGAAGCAAACCACCTTCTTCATTGGCCCATTCATTTCTCTGGAAGCAATTAGTCTTTTGCCCAGCGACACGTCTACTTTTCACTTTAGTTGAAATTGGCAAAACTACCACAGGGAAGAATTGACATTTTCCATCAATTTCTGGAAAGTGCAGTAGTGCCAAATGTCATCAGAATTGAGTTATATTGGGAATTATTTTGAACTGCTCATGTACATGCTTGCAAAGTTTAATGTCAATCCTAGTGGCATAACAAGTAGGGCAATCTAGTGTCTGGAGCACCAGACTGGCCCTAAGGTTACTGAGTACTGCATTCAGTTCAATCCATCAAATACTTTTGGACACTTTTTATTATGCTCTTGTTGGACTAAAACTCTGTGGCATTAAAAAATGTGGAGGATGTAGTCTTTACTCACAAAAATCATTCAGTCTAGAAGGAGAGGCAAAAAATCCACATATAAGAAATACTGAATAAGGACTCAGAAGACCAATTCTACAGTATAGCTAGAGAAAATATGCTTGTTACTTCATAGCCACAGAGCATAAAAAGTGAAGTCTTAAATTAAGTTATACCTTTTAATAGACAGCTGAATAACTATTGGGTACTATGTTCACTACCTGGGTAATGGGGTCGTTTATACCTCCTACCTTGTGTATTACACAATATATCCATGTAACAAACCTGCACATGTACCCCTTAATCTATAATAAAAAATTGAAATTGTTTGTTTTTAAAAAGACAAGTGGCATTTTACTAATTGCTGCCTGAATGTTTCAGTCAGGAAGAGCAAAGGAGCTTGGAAAGTTTGAGATCCAAGTAGTCTGGAATGATCAAGGGGCTTTTAAATCAGAAAAGAGGCCTTGGAATAAATAATTAAAGAATGGGCATCAAGTGAAGAGGCTGGGATGGGGGAAGGGAAAGAGCAACAACATGAACAAAAGTACAGAAAGAGAGTGCAGCATGGAATAGATCATGGCATAAAGTTAGATGACGTGTAGGAGGTATCAAGTGTTCCTTCTCTATCAACTACCATCAGGTCGAAGGTGAATCAGAAAGTGTCCCTGTTCCCCCATTTCTTTAGGTGCTGTACAAGGAGATGTCATCAGAAAGCAGACAGACAGGACTATGTATCATGGCTCTAGAATTCTGATTTATTTTACTCCATCCTGTACCAGTACCAGTTATCTAACCTTCCCATCCCCAATTTTGTCTGTAAAAGAAAAATAAGCACAATCTTAGAGTTATCTGGAAAATAAAATTTTAAAAATGCACATAAAGGTCCTTATGATAGTTCCTGGTGCATATTGTATACCATTAGCTATTTATTTACTGCCATGCAAAGATGAAACAAAACAACAAAAACAAAACATTGAAAAACAAAACAGCCAACAGTCAAAAGGAAACAGTGGATTTGAATTGATTGATGATTTCTGCAAGAGTAGAAACATATTATTTAGATGTTCTCATGAGAACAGGAAACAAGACAAAAGTATCTGCCCAAAATCTAAAATGATGCATGCATATTAGTATATATTATATATGATTTTATGACATATCTATGTATATAAACATTGTAATATGTGTCATGCAAGTAAATATATATTTTAAAGTATTTTAAGTAGAATTAACCAGGTCATTCCATTTGATAAAAAAAGGTGGCCTAATACTGTGCAAAGATTCAAGTGTAAAATATTCTATCAAGGTCATAGTTAAATTAATTCAAAATATTATACAAAGTTCTTTCCTGTAATTGGTATTTTGATCACTTATATGCACTGATATTTACAAAAGGCTAGGCACTTATTAAAAAAAACCCCTCTGTTTTCTAATTTCAAAATGTTATCTAATATGTGTAGGCAGATACGAGTGTCCTTCTTAGGGACAACTATTTTTCAGTTGAAATCTATGACTCCCTTACATCAAGACAAGTACTGCACGGTAAGTGCCCTCCTTACTTGTAATTGGGGCACTACACAGGAATCACAGCATCTAATTTGCTCTGGCAGCCGCATGACAGCAGGTTACCACTTAGTATTCTCTGGACAAAAGAAAGGATGATGAAGCACAGCTGTTTTTAAACGTAGCCCATACTGGAAGCTGAATGGAAGAATCTATAACATGTTAAAGCACAACTTGGCAAACACATAGTGAAAATGTGTCAAGCATAAAAGGTAGTAGAAACTCACAAAAAGCCAAAAGAACTTGGGGAAAATATTCTTTAAAGGTTTTTACTTAAAAGGTTATGCGGGATAAGTTTTAGATTTCTTAGAACTCGCTCCTCATTGAGGAACACGTTTGGCTTACTTTTTACAAAGGAAGCCCAGGGTGTGTGTTTTGTAAAGCTCTTTAATACACTGGCACACTGAAACCGTATTTTAGGCTACACAAATGGATTAAAGTTTAATATATCCAAGAATTACTTTACAAACATTTTAGAAATATTACATACTCATTTGATCATATCAGCTCTACCAATAATCAAAAATGATTTTCATCTTGATTCCTAACAATCATTGATTGGTACCAACTACCTGGAGTACTGTTTTGATGATTTTGAAGGTCATTGGTCCTCTCTTAAGCTTTGTTAAAGGAAAGGTCAAATGAAGGAAAGAGAAAATTCAATGGAAAATAGAATAAGAGATTTCAGAGACTGGAAGAAGGAGCCTACCTGTGGTGAGGCTTTTTCTGGGATTTTGAAACTAGGGTCAATATCTATTTGAAAACTTGGAAAAGTATCAAAGATATCTAAGAAAAGACTATCTAACACAGTCTTAGATAAGATTATGTAAGTTGTGAAGAGACATCTAAATTATAGAGCTTATGTATATACATGTATATATATATTTTTCTCTGTATACATATTTATGTGTTACATGTGCATACATAGTATACACATATATTTTATACGTATATGCACACACATACACATAAATATATATATACATATATACAAATATGTGTACATTTGTATATATAAAAACACATATATACATATACACACATGTACAGACATATATCTATTTATACACACATATATACACAGCTAGCGCAAAGGACTTAGTTGAGAATTATTGTTTTGGACTTATTCAGTCCTGTGTTTAGATTCTATTTTGGCTACTTCCAAAATGTGTGGCCTTCAGCAAAGTTACTTAAATTTACTATGCCTCAATTTTCTCACATGTAAGAGAGAAATAATGTGTATATATGTGTGTGTGTATATGTGCATTTGTATATGTGTATATATGTGCATGTACATGTGAGTATATGTGTATATGTGTGTGCTTTACATAAATGTGTGTGTGTGTATGTATATGTATATGTATGTTTCCTGTAATCTAGAACCTAGGCATGGTTAGTTAGTATTTAAGGTAACCAAATCAAAAACCAATGCTTTTATAGTGTTATGCTTACTCCAGTCATGAATCAATGGAGTCAGAATCAATGTAATTAATGCAATCTATTGTTTAAACTCGATTAATAAATTTGTCACCTAAGTTTATTCATTAGTAGAAATGATGTTAGAATATTTTTATGGTGAAATGAAAGTTCAGAGTTTTAACAGGTAGAAAATATCATACATGTATCTCAAGCTCTGCATGGGAAATGTGTAGAATCTGGCCCAACCAATGCTATTGGAGCACTTTTCAAGGTACAGAGTCCTACTGGCTCTGCCTCCCTCCTTTTCACAAAGGATCTGCCACTTCACAGAGTTACAACTCTGGCTGGTCTTCTGTTTATGTATTTTCTCACCTACTTCCAAGTCATCCTTGTACAAAATGCTTAAATTATGGTGCCTTGGTCAGCAAATGGAAATTCTCAGAGATGTAGAATAAGTATATGACTGTTTTTCCAGATTCCTAGTAATGTTTGTATGCTGGAAGAAATTTGGCCTTAGACTTACTTTTATTCAGGCATTCCACTTGGATATGCGGTTCTTAAAGATATCTATCCATTATTAGCCTAACAATCTTACCAAAGGCAACTGTGGCTTGCTGAACCACTAAATTGGCCTGGGTCAGTTTGCAGCAATAATGCTCTCGTTGAATGCTCCCACTGCCAATATACTACAATAATTGCCATCAATACCTTTCTCCTCCCTGGTAGAGTAAACATCCTTTGAAGGGCAGGATTTATATCTTAGTCAGATCCTAACATATAATAAGTTTCTAGCAAACAATTTTAGAATGAGTAAATGGTTGGCCATCCTGAGTCATTTAGAGAGAAGCATAAATATTCAAAAGTGAAAGCCACCCCTGTTGATAAACAGGCTGTGCTATTCCTACCAGGACGTAAAGCAATGTTAACCATGAGACTTCAACAAGGCTATATAAACAATGCTTCTCCAATGAACCCTCCATGGCTGTAAAATGAATAACAACCCCTCCTTTTGAGTTATTGCTCCTTTTTTTTTTTGAACCAATGACATTTTGGTCTAACTTCATTGATCTCATCTCCTAAATAAATGTTGCTGAACTATCCAATTGCTAAATGCTCTGCTTGCTTGACAGCATCCAATCCACAGTTGGTCTTCACTTTACCTTCCTTAGAATCATTCACTACAAAACTAAATCCAATAAAAGTGTCTCCTCACTCCATTTTGTGAGATATTTCTAAGACCTTTTCTGAAATGCTAAATAAAATAATTGATTTAACTATTGAATAAATTAGTTAATAAACTGTTGAAGAGGCTAAATAAAAATAATTTATTTAACTCAGGCTGTGTCTCCAGTGTGCTTTGGCTGGTGGGCTTAGAAGAATACTTAGTATAATTTAAGAAATGATTTTAATCTTTCAAAATTGTATTTTTATAAATTACATAGAGCACATAAAGAACTATATTGAATAAGTTATTCTTGTTTATAAATGTAATTTTCAACATCTAAATTTTATCTGATTGTTTCAACATTTTTCTTAATTCACAGCTCTTAGATTCCCCAACATCTGTGACTTGTCAGCCTCAGTCTTCCATGGTTTGGCTCCATTATCATCACTAAAGCCCTGTTGTATTAATTATAGACTTCATGTAAAGGTCTTTCACAGTTTATCTACATGTATTTATCTACTTTATTATGTCATAAACAAATTAAATGAAAGTTAAGGAAAAAGAACAACTGTCCCTACTTCTCATCTTGAAATGTGCTCTGTAAAGAGAGATGATACAGTTATCTGTGACTCCTCTTAATTAGAGAATAGGCTAGTGAGGGAATCCTGTGACAACTAGATGAGACCCAAGCTATAGACAAAACATAAAACTTCAAAGCCTCTGCCAAGTGTTTGTTATTTGCTAACATATGCTGTATTCTAATCAGCAGTTCATACTCCAGGGGTGGTTAGGTTATTTAGAAGGCCCTAAATATCTAAAGCTACATTACCCTCACATGCACAAAGGAACTGTTAATTTAAAAAAATGAGAAATTACTTTTTACTGAGGAATAAGTAATGCTCCCAGATGTATTGATTGCTTAGAAACATACTAATACTTTGATGCTTGAATGTGCAAGAGTATTAGAATTTGGGGAACCTTGCAACCTATACCATTTGAATTTCAATTCACAGCCCACGGGGTACCCTTGGAAGATTGTGCTGTCAAATATCATAAGAAGTTAGCTGAATTAGTCAGTAAACTATTATAACCATTATTTCAAGAGCTCATTTCATGTAAGGTCATTGTTAGCACCAAAACAAACAAACAAACAAAAACCAGGGAGTTAAAGTTTCAATGGGCCTTTATAGAAAACAATACGAACACTTGCAGATTATTTGATAAAAATGTTATTTATGGTGGCATAATTTGCTTTTATAAAATTTCATTTGATTTTGAGATTGTGAGGGAGATCGGGGAGGGAGGAAGCTATAGGACTCACCTAACTTTAATTATGAATCTACTGAATTCTATTCAAACAAACTTGTGAATAATTTGTCTGTTCACAATTGACCCAAGTTAGTTCACAGCACTCCCTGTGGTACAAATCATCTTAATATCTGTAACAGTCAGTAAATTTTCTTGCACAGACCAGATGCTCATATGGTGGGAAGTGAAGAGATGGCACTTCCCTTTAACTTGCACGCTCTTCACTTCCCATCACTTCGTACATCACCCTTCACTGATGTCATTATGACCAGCAGCACCTTGCAGGGAAGGTGGGATGTTAATGCCCAGATTCATGTGGTTGTCAGCAGTGAAAGAACTGAAAGAGCAAGTGTAGAAAAGAGAGTGTTGTAGGCAAAGATGTAATTGGCTGAGAACCTATTATAGAGAGGACAGGTTTAGCAAAAGACTTAAGGAAAGTCAACTTTTCTTCTAAATAATGAAGAGTATAATGACCCTTGAAACAGACAGACAGACAGACTTGAATTAGTGAATCATTGTAGATTATATGCCTTTTACATAGGAATTATGGCTTGGCTGAGAAAGAGAGGGAGAATGAGAGCAAGCGAGAATAAATAATTAATGAATCACTCACATGCTTAGTTATTGTCTCATAGAATGAAATTCTTCAACCAGAAGGTGCTTTAGAGATTACTTTGTCCCAGTTCCTTATACTACACGCAAGAATTTTGAAGCAGGGAGAAAATACATGGTTCATCTCAATGTCATATCAATTATAAGTAGAACTACGACTATAGCAAAGCATAGTTGAGAATTAATGTTTTGGACTTACTTAGCCTGTGTTTAGATCCTATTTTGGGTACTTCCTAAATGTGTGACCTTAAGCAAAGCTACTTAAATTTACTGTGCTCCAGTTTTCCCATGTGGAAAACAGAAATATACTAACCCATGAGAAATGTTATGAGGATTAAATGCAATTAAAAAGCATTTAACATTATGTTATTATTTTGAAATATTTTGGTGGCCAAATATATTAGGTTGTTTTATTTAAAAAAGATTCAGTCTGAGATTTTATCCTAATCAAATATTGAATACAATGAATTAGTTTAGGTTCAGCAAAGTTTGATTAAGAAGTATATGAAATTAAAGGGGGTCTAAAATGTGTGTCTACTTTACATATTTTTACTCTATTTAATGAAATAACCCTTATGTAAATTTACTTATGAAGAAATAGAATTTCAGAGTTAATAATTTTCCCAGTCTTACAGCTAACAACTGGAGGAATGGACTGTGATCCTTCTTTTTGTGTCTTTTCAGACTCTTAATTGTGATGTAATATATCACATGCCCTTGTCAGAATGAAGAGAGCCAAAAGTCACCACGGTGATTATAGATGCCTAGTTGTTATTTAAACAAAGAGAGTCACCAAAAGCTTACTGATTTCACTTGCTACACAATTTTGCTTTGGATGATCTATGAACAAGTACGCCATGCTATCTAAAACAATAGTGACCAAAGATGAAAAAGAAAATTTAATTCTTTTATACTACATAACTTTTATTATGCTGTGCTTAAGGAGACTCAAGTTTTTTCCTATATAAATAACAATACTGTCACAGAATATTAGAAATCATAAAGGCCACTGATTTTGAAGTATAAACACTAACTTTTATACTGAACATAAAAGCAATACTATTGAACCATTAATCTGAAAAAAATCTCAAAAGAACGTTTAATCTATCTCTTGCCTCAAGAAAGAACTTTATCAAAACTATTTATGTGAAATGCTAAATGCCTCCCAAGTATTTCAGAATTTCATTCAACCTAATAGGCTACACATATACAATATGTATTGTATATGAATCTTAGTCAACTCACATGTACAAGGATGGTAAACTATTTTTTCTACAATTTATTTTTCATTTCCAGCCCACATCCATCGTTGTCATTATACTTTCCCAGAGTTGTGAATTTATTGCACAGGTATTTTAGATTTGAAGGAGTCTGTTGAGACGCTCATTTTAATAGTTGGCATTACATTTTTGGCTCTATGGTTCTCTGTGTGTTTACTTACCTATTTTGCTTTCTGACTCTGCCAGAATACAGACAGAACAGAGTTATCTTCTCCCTGGGTTTCTGTTTTCTCACTGCTACCAGTGCATAAAACCAGTTTCTCTCCCATAGGCGTGACTGAATCAGAAAACAATACAGGATTGATTCACTTTCCTTCACCATCTCAGATATGCTCTCCTCTCATTTGGCTGAATCTGTGGGCAGATTCTTTTCTCTTTATGTTTACCAAAGTTATCCTGGTGGAGAGAGAAATTCTCTTTGACAATTGTTTTAACAAACGTTCTTGGTAGTTTGTTATTCACCTGGCTGAGATCATAACCATTTCTGAACCAATAACCATTTCTGAGTCAATCAGCGGCACTACAAATGCACAATAGTCTGATTTTGATCCTGTGTCCAGTTCTAGAGCTGGGTTGGTGTCCTCCTATGCACAGTATGTGTACTGAGAGTTAGAGATATCAATTACTGAAAGGAAACAAGGTAGGGGAACTGGAGGCTGACTATTTAAAATGATAAAATTAATTTCAGTATTAAACTCCTGCCAGCATTACTCTCAGCCCAATCCTGTCTCCTCATTCATTTCCCATTTTTGTGGAATCTCACACTTCAGAGATAAAGCTATGTTCTTTACTCTATTTGGCCAAGACATTTTCATGGCCTTGAAACTTCCTTTACTTAACCATACATCTTTTCTAGAATCCTCCTAATTGTGTGTGCTTTTGGAACCCAAAACCAAGAGGGACTGGTGTACATTCTTCTTGATTTAGGCAATGATTATCTGCTTGAATGATGGAGAGGGAAAGGAAGAAAAACGATGGGAAGAAGATGTATGCTGATGTTCAAAATTGTATCCTGATACATGGTTTAAACTCAACTTTATGCTTAATGACATGAAGAGTTTTCAATAGCATAATTAAACAACATATAATATCTATAGTATAAAAAATAAAATGTTAAAAACGGTACATTTTCTAAAAATAAATATAGCAGAGAAAAAGAAGCCTCTTTTTACTAATAAAGACAAATACACTGCTGATGAAACTAACGGTTCATTGTTGAGTAGTAAGACGTCCAAGAGGCTGGTTGGTTCTGATCTTTCAGCAGGGATGTAGCTATACCTTTTTGAATTCCAGGAACCTAGTATACCACCTGACATGCAATTAGTAAATTTGAGAAAAAAAAAATAAATGCATAGATTGTGCTATCATTACTTTAATTTTATTTTTAAAAGCCATGCACTGAGATATTTTTTCTTTATTTATATTCTTTGATCAATTAAAACACTTCACACCTTAAAGAGGAAGAAAGCCTAGGCACGCAAGTTTTAAGAATTTTACCAAACCTAGAAAAAGCAACCCAAAACAATGGTAATATCCCCAATTTTTTTCTGTGGTACAAAGGTAATGTGATAATTATTTTTTGTTGTTTTTCTTGATGTTAAAATGTATATTTTTTAATTACTAACACAATTCACACTATCATCAGTTTAAAAATAGAAGAGGAATAAAGGAGAAAATGGAGTAGAAGGAGAAGGAGGAAGAGAAAAAGAAAGAGAAGGAGAAGAAAAAACATCACCAAGATTTCTATCACCAGATAGGACAATCATTGCTAGTTTAATGTACACCTTTGCAGCTTAAGTTTTTAATATCCAATTTATAGATTTTGTTTTTGACATAGCAATAACCATACTAAAACTTGCCAAGATTACACACATCGTGTTGGTAACTTTAACTTTTCACATATTTGTTTATTGGCAATGTTTAGATGTTTTTATGTTTGCTATCTAGTTTTATTTTTCAATTGAAAAGCTATTTGTGACTGAAAGTCATTCGATTGTCATACAGTAGTAATTGTTTATTTAAATACAATTTAATTCAATGCTCTGCTAAAGACATTAGTTATTTTTCGTTAAATTCACTGGAGCTGTTACATTCAAATTTATCATTTTTTTGAAATCTGATTTATTTAACCATCAAATATACTTATTTTATATTTACTTTGCCATTTTAAGAGTGGACTTTATGATAAATACATGGAATTTTTAAAATTTACATCTGAACTGAGCAAAATAAACATTTATATTAGGGAAAGAAAATCTAAAAGTGACGAGTAAAATGAGTACCTACAAATAGGGCTCAAATTTCTTGACTAGGATTAATTTAATCCTATGGTTCCAAAGAAAATTTAGATTAAGACAATTAATCAAATATCAGTAATTTTTGAAGGTTCTTCGAGAAGAAATAAATCAGGATGTTAAATGTAGAAAAATAAATAAGCGATTATAGTAAATTAGCCATATTCCTATAGTGAGAAGAGCAAAGAACATCAAATCCTACCTCAGGCCACAGACATCCCTTTTATGAAAACCCTTGGGAAAATACAAGCACAACAGAGTTGCCAAGTTAATATAGAAAAAGTTATTTTATTGGTAAGTGTGGATTCTGCCTAAATTCTCATTGCAGACTGCTCTGAGACACGGGATTGGGCCAAGAAGGGCATCGTTTGCAATACATGCTTAAACTTGACAAAATCGTGTGCATGGGACCTTTTTGTTTTCACCATCTCTTCCCCCTATGCTGAAATCTGAGTTCAGAATCGTTTAGACTGCTTGGATAGACATAAGAGTAAGAACAAAAGAACAGACGAGAAAACGTGCAAGATCATGTCCAAGCTGGAGGCGTTCTACCAATCTCTGCCAATGGAAAAAAGAGAATAAAGAGAGAGACAAATGGTTGGGTTTTCACTCTTTAGCGAAGGTTTAAGAAACCCTTATGCAGGACACAGCAGCAGTGGAGACTCAGTTATATATTGTAACTTAGATTTATAAAAATATTGTAATCTTTCAAGAAATTATCACTTTCAAGGAATTATTTCTTTCAAGTAGTTATCAAGAAAGGATCATTGTTCATAATAAAGTAGAGGGTCTTCAAGGCTGAGGTCACATCTGGCTCAGCATTATGGGGTCAGTAATACAGGGACCAAAGGAAATAAAATTAATAGATTTAAATATGAGAAAAAGGCAGTGTGGTTTGGGGAGTAATTCACCTATTGTCATATTTTTACAAGTCGATATCTGCTTTTGATGATGGAATAGATCCTTCCGAACGTATCTTCTCATAGTTACTCCATCATCTAAATTAGCTTTGGACTCTGATATAATCCTACCTGGCTCCCCTTCTCTGAACCATATCTTCTTTTACCATTTCAGTCTTAACCTATACATTCTCCATCTCCCAGGCATTTTTACTTTTTCATAGTCCATGTCGTTCCTTTTTCTCAATTTATGAATCTATTTCATGCAGATCTCCCATACTTCTACTGTAAGATCTGCCTACCTTTCTCTTGTCTTCTTGTTAAGTTTATTTGTTTAGTTTCAACTTCTTCTTATCAAGAATAATTTTCTAAGCCCAGGAGCCTTCAGAGTATAATTCAACCATTTTATAGATACAATTTCTCTTTTGGGAGATTTCAGTTATAGTCTCAATGTGGGTTAAGGTAGTATCTTGCTAACGAATCCACAGGTACTCAAATCCTTTTGCTGACCTCTTTTGTTAAGCCTGTTGGGACTGTTCATCATGCTCTTTGATATGAAAACAAAACATTCATCTCTTTTCGTATTAAATCTTGATAGTGGGTTTGATCTCTAAGAGTTCAGTCTTTCTTCTATGATAGAACTTTTCCTTGACTCCTTATTTTAATTTCTGTCATTTCTAAAGGTACATTTACCTCCAGGAAAATAGTTCCATGTTTATTTCACATATCTCATAGTCTCATAGCCTCTATAACAGCAAAGTTCTCTTGTTGCTCTGTGCTAATATGTCCCTCAAAGTCAAAGCATTCCAGGTGCAGGCTCCTGGTAGTGGTTTGCAGCTTTGGGATTGTGATATTTTTGTTTATGTTTGGTTCCACATTTATCAAGAAGAAGCTACAGTTCCTGTGTAATGAATGTGCCACTCATTTCCATTTGTTCAATAAATATACTCTACTAGAAAATTACATACAATTTCTTTCTTTTTTTTGGTTGTACTGATTTTCTTTATTTTGTGTTGTAGATTTGTTTTGTTTGGTTTTTCAATATTTACTCCAGTTTCTCAGGGCAACATTTTTTCAATTCTGTCTCAGGGAAAATTCTCTTCCCTCACTCAGCCCAACGTTTGGTCTAACACCCAACTTAGATCAAGGCAGTTGCTGCCTGGCTCTCTTGTTATCCTCATTGCTCTGTCATGGAGGTAAGATTCATTTTTATTCATTATTTTTGGAATCAGTTTAATTTATTAAGGAATAAAATCTTTTTTCTCCTGGAATCAGAGATGATAGTGGTCATCATATGTAATTTCATGATGGAGATGGAGAGTGCAGAGATAATATGAGTGTTCAAGAAAGCTGCACGTGGAATCTAATGTGACTTTGGAACGCACAGGCAGCTTTGTGAACTAATTTATTTTGTTGCTTTTCTTTCCATTATGCACCAATTGAATTTTTATCAGCTTCTATTTGTGTCTTAATCATTACATTTACACCTAAAACATATTTAAACTTTTAATTTTCACTTAAATTTATGTTTCTAACTGTTGAGTATACTCAACAATTTACATACACACACACATGCACACGCTTTTAATTTATGTATGGTATTACTTTCTTTTTGTCTCTTTCTCCCCATGAACACCCTCCTCTTCTATCTCTAGGAACACTCTCACACACACATTCACAACCAAGGAGAATTGCTCAGTTATTTAAAATCAAGTGATTGTCTTCTAATTTGAATTATTTTTTAATCTGAATAATGTTGGTTTGTTCAATACAGCTCAACCTGTATGTTAGTTTAGATATAAGCAAAAGATATTATGTGAAATAAAATAAAAATTATTTACATTTGGGTTCAAATTTTATAGGAAGATATTATGTTTTTAAAAATGACTTCCTTATAATTGAGGTTAAGCATAAGAATGGATTCACAAGAGGCAAAATAAAATCAAGCAATTCTTTTCTATGTGATCTATTTCTGTTTCTACTGATGAAAAAGAAGGGTTTAACAGCATGTATTCTGAAATAGGAAAGTGTATATTGAAAGAAGAAACTCTTACTCAAGCATGGGACTTTGTAACTTGGTGTAGGAATTATGCTTTCATCAAAATCCAGGAATTACTTTCATAATCTCTTCTTTAAAGTAACCATGTACTAAATGACAAAAACTTAAAGGGTAAAATGTATTATTTCAGTGGAAAAATTCTGACTGTATAATAAGAATGTGCAGTTATCTTCAAATCATCCCCAAAATTATTTACAAAGGGATAAAAAGATAGCTTTAATATTGATTTACAACTGTGTTTTACTTTGAAAATTTTTCTGAAGTAAATATGTGAAAGGAGTGGACCACAAATAAGCTGTAAGGACATTCTTAGTAGCAATGCATAGAATAATAGTATTTTTGTACAAATAAGAAGTCCTGTTCTAGGGACTTTGTTAGATTCCAAATAATAACATAGTCCTTCAAGGTAAAATATAGTTTATGAATATTTATTAGCCTAAAGGTGACTTATGTTATCTTGTTAAATTTGCAGTGTTAGACATACAGACAACAACCTTGAAGGCAGTTTTACCATAAATATGTGTCTGAGTCTGTGTTTGTATCTTACTGGAAAAAGAAATAAGTTTACACACCAAATTTTTAACAATTTTTCCTATGTAGAGAGATTAAATCCTCTTTTTATTTTCTTTATTTTAATTTCATTGTTAAGTATTGTTCTTTCTGTCTTCAGTCCACATATATGTGACATATAATAAAGGTTAAAATCAAAGACTAGGTTTAGCCTTATAATTGAACACTACCAACAGCCCTTGCAGTCTTATTGAAGGCAAAAGACCCCAACTCAAATATAAAATGTACTTTACCTAGATTGGTTGTTAGTGCTTAAAACTATATAATTGACTTTTTGTTCTTTTGAGCATCTAAAATTCCACATTAAATATCGGGAGGGTAATGCTACTAAAAATGTAGAATACAATACAGGAAATACAGGAATTAGGGTCTCAAGAAATAGGCAAGAAATATAGAAAGGCGAGAGAAGAAAGGAGAAACTTCCTGCTCTTTCAATTTTGTTTAGACTTTGCAATGACAAAACCCATGACATCCATACAGATAAATTTTCAACTCAATATAAGAATGAATAATTTGTATTCCTAAGTAAAGTTTAAAGTGCTTTTCAATTGGAAGTTTCAATTTAATGTTACGATTCTCAATGGTTTAAAAGGTGATTCACTAGGAAAATATCAAAACAATCAACTTTTTCTTTGTTGAAGACATGGTGGGATGAAAGAGGGTATATTCTCATTGTAATATAAGTTGCATATACTAATCAAAGAAGGGTTGTAATACAGATGGATTTTCAAACCACAAATCCTCACACCTAGCAAAATGTATATATATATTCCATTAAAGTCAATTTATATTATCTATAAGGACATTCACTATTACAGACATCATCAAGTATTTCTTGTATTGGGGCATATTATTAAAAGATCTATTGAAATATTTATCATGAAGTGAACTATTTATTTTTATTTATTTTAGTTTTCCAACATTCCAATGCAGATTTTTCCACTCAGTTTCAATAACTGTGCTCAGACTGGTTTTCTCTACATTGCCATCCATATTTTTCTAGATATGGACAGAGAAGGGATTTTTTGACAGAAAATTTTGGATATAAAAAAGCAATGGAATGCATAAATGTCCCAAAATATCTCATTTATGAAAAAGAAATATAACTAGTTGACTAGAATGTCTGAGCTAAAGTGGACCCATACCGTTGAATATTTGATAACCTACACTACAATAGAGTCAACAACAGAAGAGTTTTCATTTATGTAGCAACAGCTACACGTCCAATTCAATACACATACCTAAGCAGTTCTCATACCTCAGTTTGATTTCTTTAGAAGCTATTTCTCTTTGGAATATAATTTTATATTTTCAGTAACAGGTATACAATAGAAATTAATAAATGTAATATTAGGATTGCTTGCCTACTATTTTGAGAAGAGAAAGAAAGAAAAAAAGAAAAGAAAGAAAGAAAGAAAGAAAGAAAGTAGCAGGAGGAGGACAAGGAGAATGAGGAGAAGGAGAACCAGAAGGAGAAGGAGAAGAAACGTAGGAAGGAAGGAAGGAGGGAGGGAGGGAAGGAAGGAAGGAAGGAAGGAAGGACGGGAGGAAGGAAGGAAAGGAAAAAAACATGGAGGAAAGAAAGACCCTTCAAATACCATGCTATTTAATGAGATTTTTAACGTAAATGGTTAACATTTTCTAATAGATTGAAATAGAGATGAACTAATTTATGAAAAATAGGGAAAAATAAATGTCCAGAGGGAAACATTAATAAATTCAACTAGCTTAAAAGCTTGATATATATTGCAAAGCAAAGTGACTCTGGTCAAAAATAATGTACTGCATATTTTAAAATAACTGAGATACTAAATTTCGAATGTTTCACCACAAAAAGATTAAGTAAGTGAGGTGTTATATGTGTTAAGTAGCTTGGCTTAGTCATTCTCCATTGTTCACATATAACAAATCACCACCTTGTACCCCATAACGTATACAACTATGATTTATCAATTAAAAATAATATTAATGCAAAAATTTAGAGCACCATACACACAAAATAAATAACCCTAAAACTTGAAATATATGCATATTACTAATTAGTAAGCAAATAAATGAGCAGAGAGATGATAATTTCAGAAATATACCAATTGGACTCTTAATTTAAGAAGGCTTTATTGTTTTTATATTTGCACTTGCTCAAACATTGGTGAATAATAAATGTTTAATCATAATCTATTTTGTCTTACCCCAATGGCATTTTTTGTTTGTCATATGACAAACTCTTGTTTGTGATGTTATTTATTTATATTTTGACCATTGCTTCTGAATCATAAACATCTTTTGGAGAAGAAAAGATTCCGTATGGAGACTCCATTTCTCCAACAGCATAAATGTAGGAGGTTGATACTTAGAATTTACAAATATTATTTAAAAATACAGTATTTTAATGTTCAATGTTATAGCTATAATTAATGTTATAAAAAGTTCTTCTCACTTTTTCCCCCTATTTTAAGAATTGGTGACCGAATTTAAGCTTAAATAAGGACACTATATGATTTATAAGAGAATAATCTCTATCTGGTAAAACTTTAGGCATATTTTACTATGTAATAACTTAAATATAGGCAAAATTCTCTGTAATACTCTACCCATCTTTAATGTAGAAGAGAAGCAGTTGGGTAGCAAATTAGCTCTTCTGTGGCAATATGGTCTGAGCAACCATGTAAACAAAGAAATCTGCTAATCAAAAGCAATTTCTCATGAAACAAAGACAGCAGCTAATTGAGAGCATCTGAGGCTAAAATAAGATTAACTTCAAAATGAAAACCCTTGTAGCTTCTTGAAGGAAAGCTGTTGGGGTAATAGAAAGCTTACAGTAGTTTAGAAGTGAAAAATCTTCATAGAAATGCTATTTCTCATTCTCGGAAAATATTATTACAAATCCATAATTAACTTTCTCTCTAGTAAAACTGCTTGAAAAGACATAAGAAAATGATGAAAATGAATCCCTCGGGGTCAAAATAGGAAGGCATATTATAGGCAAATCTATGATAGAGTGAGCCTTCCACAGCCTGCTTGGTGCGCCTTGCACAGCTGCTGTTTGTGCCTGAAGTGCAGAAGTGCATATTCTCGTGGGCTGTGACCCTCTTTTGCATCATTGGAGAAGGCTACAGATACAGTAACAGCGGCAGATTGTTAGGTGAGAAGAGTCATAGGGTTGAAGGCAGGCCTGAGAGTGGAGGAGGATGAGAAGAGATGAGGAAAGGGCCGGCAGCAGTAAACCCATGGGCACATCTTGTGCTGAGTAAAGATTACACGACAGAGCTTCTCAGAGCCAAACTTAATGAGTTACAAATAGAAAATGAGTTAAAAGATGGGACTTTATCAAAAGAAGAGGCAGAAGTTAGTGCCGCTTTTACCACATAGCACAGATAGGGTGAAAAGGATTTCAAAGTAAAAGACTTAGACATGCACTAAAATAGGACAAAGCCGAAATATATTGGTATCTCAGAGCTCTTGGTTTCATTTTGTGTAAAAATTGAAATATTACATCAACCCTGTTTTTAGGAGTATATATGTATGCATACAACATAGAAATATAAAAAATTCATAAACATATATAAAGATATGTATTAAGAATATAAATAGATATACACACATGTACACACACGTATATATACACAAACACACATATACCTTACTACGTAAACAAATCTTTAACTGATTATTAATAACATCATCACTTATACATTATACAATTATATATAATATACATTATATATAATTATACATAGATATTGAAATATATTATGTACATGCATATATATGAATGTACAATATATACACAGCGTGATAGATAAGGGGGAGGGAGGGCATATTTATGAATGTATAATATACACATAACAGATAATGGGGAGGGAGAGCTAGAGAAGAGAAAGAAGAAGAAAAAAAGGAGGAGAAAAGAAGAGGAGGAGGAAGGGGAGGGAAAGGTGAGGGAAGGAGAGGAAAAGGAAAGAAGAATGGCCACTTTTCAACATAGGATCAAAATTGAATATATAGAGATAAAAGTTTCTTAATTTTTCCATTTCTTAAAATGGTAGCCAAAAATTTATTCTTACTACTGAAGTTACTTCTAGTTTTAAGCTCAATCTCTTGTTTAACTCCTAGTTAAGCACTCTCTCACCTCCACCAAGCATTTTTCTGCCTGCAATTTCTTTCTTCTCTTACCAGAAATGATCTGAGTTCCACAGGACCTCATATATCCTTCTTATATTGAGAGAAAGGAATCAGTGCTAAGGTGATTTTTCCCCCTGCTTTTTCATATTTGTGGTCTTTCTTATTTTCTAGTTTCATATCACAAACAATGCAAAGTGGGTGCTTGAGGGGAGCTGGTGGTTTCCTCCTGCTGAATCCACCCTGCATTAGATCTTACTGGCACCAGTGATCCTCAGAGGCTCAGATGTTTTCTCTAGCTGCCCCTAAGCTTATCTGTTCACAGTGCAGCCTCTGGTATGAGTTTTCCTTGCTTACAACTTTACAACTTTGGAATCTCCTTAAATATAGGCAAATCTGTGGCTCTCTTCATCCCTTTGTTGATATGAGGACAACCATGGTGAAGACCACATAGGCCCTACATCTGCCCAGACCTGTGAGGTAGTTATTTTTACTCTGTTGTGGTTGACTGCCCCATTTTAGGGAAGGACAGTCACCTAGGTTGCCTTCTTCAATAGTTTCATATAAGTGAGAAAAAAATCTCTGTATTAAAATTCACAATATTACCTATCTAGGTAATTTATCATCTCCACTACGTGCTGTAATCATTAAAAGGGGAACAATAATCAAAGGCTCTCATTCCTGTCACAATTCTCTCTTTTCTTTTTACAAATATCCCACCTCATCATCCCTGCCTAGCACGGAATATTAGCTTTTCTTTTTATGTTAGGAAAATTGCTCTATTATCACCAAACATTATTTTCCGAATTATATTATTATTGTGATAAACTTTGAAAACATTGTGAATTAACTCTTGATTTGA
Source organism: Homo sapiens (assembly GCF_000001405.40). Taxonomy (NCBI): domain Eukaryota; kingdom Metazoa; phylum Chordata; class Mammalia; order Primates; family Hominidae; genus Homo; species Homo sapiens. The sequence goes on along the minus strand of NC_000004.12, from coordinate 171,265,015 downwards.
AAAGTATTTTTTTTTCAGAATCAAAACAAGCAAAAGAAAACAAAAACCAATTAAGCCTGAAGAGATGATTCTGGGATGATAGTGGAGCAGAAAACACCGGGAACCTGTCTCCCTACCCGGACAACAATGCAACAGCAGAATCTCTCTGATGTGACAATTATGAAACTTAGGTCTATTGAAAGCTTGAAACTTCCAGCAGAAGAATTGGATGGCAAATTGCAGTTAGTTTCAGGGGATTTTAGCTCATAGCTCAGCGACAGCTATCCATTCTTCTACCCCAGACCTGTGGTAGGCAGCCTGCACATGTTCCTAGAGGAGCTTACACAGCTTGTTGGAGCCATCTAGGCAATAAAGATCCTGTTCTACAAATATCAGAGATCCATATTTGGATTACTAATTGCTGCTTCTAACCAAGGGAATATAAACACAAAGGTAACGGTCATTGTTGCACATCCTTCATTGCTTCAACCTCCCCACCTCCTCAGAGACTTCCAGGAGATTTAAAAGGCAAGTGTGCTTTCTTCCTTCCCACATTCATTTTTCTCTTTTCCCATTATTGATAGCCAGAAATTAAAGACTAGGACACTCCAAAAAGTGCATATAAGGGTGAAATTAGAAAGATATCATGCATACTAGGGAAAGTCAAAGACTGAAAAAAAAATCTGAAATGACATTAAGTTTTTACCCCTCAGGCTAATCTTTAGTAGACAGATAGCATAAGATAATCCAAAGCACAACAAACAAAACAAAACAGAAACAACAAACTCTGGGGAAGGAGTAGAATTTTGGAATTGCTACAATACTAGTTTCAAATGTCTGCTGTGTAAAACAAAAACAAAATTCTAAGATATAAAAAGAAACAGGGAAGTAAGGCCAATTCAAAGGAAATAAAACAACAACAACAACTATCCTTGAAAAAGGTGATGACGTATTAAACAAAGATTTTAAAACAACAGTCTTAAAGATACTCAAAACACTAAAGGAAGACGTGGAAAAAGACCAGAAAATTATATATAAACAGAATGGAAATATCAAAATCAAAAAAAATTCTAGCACTGAAAAATACAATAAATTTTATAAATAATAATTAAAAAATTATCAGGACTTCAAAGACAGATTTGAACAGGCAGAAGAAAGAAACAGTGAAGTTGAAGACAGAGCAGTTGAAATTATTGAGTTTGAGAAACAGAAAGAATGAGACCAAAGTTAAAAGAGTCAAAAAAACCTGTGGGAGAGGGACACAGTCAAGCTGACCAAAATGCATTGTGAGAGTCTCAGACAAAAAAAAAAAAAAAAAAAGAAAAAAAAAAGATGAAGAAAGAACAGAGGGAGAGAATATTTGAAGAAATAATGGTAGGATGAACTTAAAAAGATTCACAATAAAACTCATTATACTCAAAATCTCAAAAGAAAAAAAGAATTTAAAAAGTAACAAGGGAGAAGCAACTTGTCACATAAAAGGGATCCTCAGTGAGATTATTGGCAGATTTATCATCAGAAACTTTGGAGGCCAGATAGCATTGAACTAATGTATTCAAAGGGCTACAAATAAAATGAAATAAAATAATGTGTCAACCAAGAGTCCTATATCTGTCAAAACCGTTCTTCAAAAGTGAGGGAGAAATTAAGACATTTCAAGTTAAACAAAAGCTGAAGCAGCTCATTACCACTAGAGCTGCTCAGCAAGAAACAGTAAAGGGAATTCTGCAGATTGTAATGAAAGGACACTAGAGCGTATCGTGAAGTCATATGAAAAAATAAACATCTCAGTAAAGGTTTTAAATATACTGGGCAATTATAAAAGCTAGTACTATTTAAACTTTAGTTTGTAACTCCATTTTTTTTGTTTTCTACATGATTTAAGGACTAACAATTAAAAAATCATTAGTCAAAAAGTTAGTAGCATTATAATTTTGTAAATCTGTATTTTTATTTTGCATAATTTAAAAAACAAATGCATGAAATATTATTAATTTTTCTTTTTGGACACAGGTACTAAGATATAATTTTGTGACACCAGTAACTAAAAAAAGTGTGAAACAAGTGTAAGTTAGTAGAGTTTTTTATTTTATTGAAGTTAAGCTGGTATAAACTTAGAGTGTTATAACTTTATGTTGTTAAATGTAATTTCCATGGTAACCACAAAAAATAGTTTTAGAATACAGATGCTTCTTGACTTATAATATGGATACATTCTGACAAACTCACTGTATATTGAAAAATTGTAAGTCCAAACATAAGTTAAGGATGGTCTGTATATACAAAAGAAATGAGAAGGGAAGTCAAACATTTCGGTACAAAAAGCAACTAAAAACAAAAGACAGTAATATAGGAAATGAGAGACAAAAAAGTTATAAGGTATATAGAAAACAAATAGCAAAATGGCAGAGGTAAGCCCTTCCTCAGTAATTACTTTAAATGTAAATAAATTAAATTATACACCATGACCAAGTGTGATGTATTCCTGGAATGCAAGGATGTTTCAAAATGCAAATATCAAACAATGTAATATACAGATTGGCAGAATGAAAAGAAAAAATTTATCTCAATTGATTGAAAAAATACATTTGGTAGATTTAAAATCCTTTCAGAATAAAAAATACTTAAAAAAATATGAGTAGAAGAATACTACCTCAACATATATATCATATGTAAAAAGTCGTAGCAAATATTGTACTCCATGTTCAAAGACTGAAAGCTTTTTCTCTAAGATCAGGAACAAGGCACTTATATTAAACATAGTAGTAGAAGTTATGGCCAGAGCAATTATGCAAGAAAAAAGTCATCTAAACTGGAAAGGAAAAGTAAAATCATCTCTGTTTGTACACTCTTGGATTTTGAAAATCTTAAAGATTCCACAAATTCCTATTAACAGTAATAAACAAATTCAGCAAAGTAGCAGGATACAAAGTCAACATGCAAATGCCAGTTGCATCTTTATATACTAATAATAAACATTCTTAAAAGCTACCAAAACAATGCCATATATAATAGTATAAAAAGTATAATCAGGAATTTTCCTAACCAAAATGGTAAAAGACATGTACAATAAAAACTATAAAACATAAATAAATTAAAAGATATTCTGTGTTCATGGATAGAAAGACAATATTGTTAAGATATTACCCAAAGCAATCTGCAGATTCAATGAAAACTGATGGTATCGGAGGATGGAAGAGAGAAACACAAAGCAAAGCTGCCCCATTTAAGTGCCCCTACCTATACTCAGTGTATATCTGCTGACCTCCATCTAAGACTCAGAAAACTCAGAAGTATGAGCAAAATAAAAGCTTTTTTTTTTTTTGCATATCACTGAGATACAGAACACCGATGGGTCTTGACTCTTTATCTAATTTGCCAGTCTGTGTCTTTTAATTGGGACATTTAGCCTGTTTACACTTAAGTTCAATATTGTTATGTGTGAATTTGATCCTATTATTATGATGCTAGCTCGTTATTTTGCCCATTAGTTGATGCAGTGTCGATGGTCTTTACAATTTGGTATGTTTTTGCAGTGGCTGGTACTGATTATTTCTTTTCACATTTAGTGCTGCCTTCATGAGCTCTTCTAAGGCAGACCTGGTGGGGACAAAATCCCTCAACACTTGTTGTCTGTAAAAGATTTTATTTCTCCTTATGAAGCTTAGTTTGGCTAGAAGCATTCCCTTTGAAAACTGGCACAAGACAAAGATGCCCTCTGTCACCACTCCTATTCAACATAGTATTGGAAGTTCTGGACAGGGCAATCAAGAAGGAGAAAGAAATAAAGGGCATTCAAATAGGAAGAGAGGAAGTCAATTTGTCTCTGTTTGCAGATGACATAATTGTCTATTTAAAAAAAAAAATCATCTCAGCCTAAAACCTGCTTAAACTGATAAGCAACTTCAGCAAAGTCTCAGGATACAAAATCAATGTGCAAAAATCACAAGCATTCCTATACACCAATAATAGACAAACAGAGAGCCAAATCATGAGTGAACTCCCATTCACAATTGCTGCAAAGAGAATATAATACTTAGGAATACAACTTACAAGGGATGTGAAGGACTTCTTCAAGGAGAACTACAAACCACTGCTCAAGGAAATAAGAGAGGACACAAACAAATGGAAAAACATTCCATGCTCATGGATAGGAAGAACCAATATTGTGAAAATGGTCATACTGCCCACAGTAATTTATACATTCAATGCTATCCCCATCAAGCTACCATTGACTTTCTTCACAGAATTAGAAAAAACTACTTTAAATTTCATATGGAACCAAAACAGAGCTTGTATAGCCTAGACAATCCTAAACAAAAAGAACAAAGCTGGAAGCATCACGGTACCTGACTTCAAACTATACTACAAGGGTACAGTAAACAAAACAGCATGGTACTGGTATCAAAGCAGATATATAGACCAATGGAACAGAACAGAGGCCTCAGAAATAATGTCACACATCTACAACAGTGTGATCTTGGACAAACCTGACAAAAACAAGCAACAGGGAAAGGATTCCCTATTTAATAAACGGTGTTGGGAAAACTGGCTAGCCATATGAAGAAAACTGAAACTGGACCCTTTCCTTACACCTTATACAAAAATTAACTCAAATGGATTAAAGACTTAAATGTAAGACCTAAAACCATTAAAAACCCTATAAGGAAACCTAGGCAATACCATTCAGGACATAGGCATGGGCAAAGACTTCATTACTAAAATGCCAAAAGCAATGGCAACAAAAGCCAAAATTGACAAATGGGATCTAATTAAACTAAATAGCTTCTGCACAGCAAGAGAAGCTATTGTCAGAGTAAACACGCAACCTGCAGAAGGGGAAAAAATTTTTGCAATCTATCCATCTGAGAACGGGCTAATGTCCAGAATCTACAACGAACTTAAACAAATTTACAAGAAAAAATCAAACAACCCCATCAAAATTGGGCAAAGGATATGAACACACACCTCTCAAAAGAAGACATTTGTGCAGCCAACAAACATATGAAAAAAGCTCATCATCACTGGTCATTAGAGAAATGCAAATCAGAACCACAATGAGATACCATCTTATGCCAGTTACAATGGTGATCATTAAAAAGTCAGGAAACAACAGATGCTGGAGAGGATGTGGAGAAATAGGAATGCTTTTACACTGTTGGTGACAGTGTAAATTAGTTCAACCATTGTTGAAGTCAGTGTGGCGATTCCTCAAGGATCTAGAACCAGAAATACCATTTGGCCCAGCAATCTCATTACTCAAAGGATTATACCCAAAGGATTATAAATCATTCTGCTATAAAGACACATGCACACGTATGTTTATTGTGGCACTGTTCACAATAGCAAAGACTTGGAACCAATCCAAATGCCCATCAATGATAGACTGGATAAAGAAAATGTGGCACATATACACCATGGAATAGTATGCAGCCATAAAAAAGGATGACTTCATGTCGTTTGCAGGGACATGAATGAACCTGGAAACCATCATTCTCAGAAAACTAACACAGGAATAGAAAACCAAACACTTCATGTTTTCACTCATAAGTGAACAATGGGAGTTGAACAATGGGAACACATGGAAACAGGGAGGGGAACATCACACACGAGGCCTGTTGGGGGTTGGGAGGCTAGGGGAGGACTAGCATTAAGAGAAATACCTAATGTAGGTGGCAGGTTGATGGGTGCAGCAAACCACCAAGGCACGTGTATACCTACGTAACAAACCTGCACGTTCTGCACATGTATCCCAGAACTTAAAGTATAACAAAAAATTGGAAAAAAAGTTATGTATTTCATATATCCCTGTTATTATAATGTAATGGATACTATATTATGCTACTTGAACTTTAAATACTTCTTTAAGAACATGTTTTTGAATGGTGGAGAAGAAAGATTATGAAACCACAGGCAGCTGAAGGTGAAGGGGCTTCCTCCAAGGTGTGTGTGTGTAGAAATGGTATGCAGAATGGGGAGAGCTGAAATCTTACAACTTTGGTTGTAATTTTACACCCTGGTCCTACTCATAAGTTTTCCTATAAGTCCCAGTCAAAAAGCACTTAGAAGTGGGGTTCATGTATACAATCTAAGAATTTTGTTTCAATATAACACCACATATAACAATTTAATAGGAGGCTTGAGATAAAGAAAAGCTCAGTTCTCTGGAGTATCTTAAAGAACAATATTGGCACTTCTTTGGCAGAGAATTGCACAAGCAGCCCACAATCTCTGAACCAGATGCTAAGCCAAAATACTCAGATGACATTTTAAAATAGGGAAAATGAATTTCAAGTGCCTTAAACCATCCAGAAACAAGTGAGAAAAAGAATGGTAGCAACTAATGTTAATCCATCCTGTTACCAGAAGTTGATTAACAATCATATTACTGGAAGAGAAGCTCTTTCAGTATCTCATATGATTTTAATAATGCAGCCTTATTTTCTACAGTGAGAAATTATTTCCTTACATGACTACTTCTTAGTATAATGCTTCAGTATATGTCCAAGCTACTGAGGGTACAAAGAAAATGCTCTCACCTCAATCAATTACAGTAATCGTTAAGACAGTCATCACTTTTAAATGATTGACTATAATTATTTCAATATTTCATGCTGCGGTATTACTGTGGTTTCTGCAAATCATTGCAGTGATATTTTTCATCTTCAATAGGTATGAAATAAGTTACTTTTGTTCTGAATATAATTTCATAAATTTGTCATCTAGGTAAGATGGGCTATTCATGTAAAACACAAAAGATTTCTTTTAAATGAACTTCTTTTCAGCTTATCTGTGGTCCATAAGATACACACAGTGGGAGCAAACTAGAAGGAGTGGCAGACACAAAACTTGGCAGAACTTTAAGAAAATCTCAACTTGGATTTTAGAAGTTGTTTAGTTTAACTACAGAAGGCTAAAAGTAAAGAATGGTTTTTATCATACAGATCATTCAGATCTTATATTTGTAAGATATAAGCAGAATGTACTTTTTCTCTAGAAGAACTAATGTGCCAGTGGCATATCTCTATCTGAAGGTTTACCTGTAGACATGTAGATTTTCAGGGGTAGAATGTCCACAAAGGCAAAAGTTAGGCCACAAAAATTGCCTTGCTCAGTCTTTAGCTAGATTAGAAGTTTTCAAAATTCACAGTCCCCTGTGTACTCCAGCCTTGTGTCCTATCACAGTGTCCTGCTCATGGTAGGTAGGATAATGATTATTGCATCTTAGAAGAGATGGTGTAGTCAGCTTTCATATCCATGGAAATCCAGTATTGACAGTTAGACTTGCCTAACTCATTTAATCTCACTTTTTCTGTAGATAGAAGAAAATATTTGATTTAGAAATTAAGAGCGGGGAATAAAAGAATAGTTGGAAAAGAAATATTTATTAGTCGAATCTAGTGATTTTCTTTCTCTGGTTTCTTATTCCTCCCTAGCCTACCACAAAAATTTAACAGAGAATTTGATAGTGTAATTAAGAATGTGCAGGAATTCCAATATATCACTGGTCTTTCGTGATTGCAAATGAAACTGAAATAAAAAACCCTGAGGCTCATGCTCTTAAAAATATCCTTGAGAATTCTTCTGCCTGGGAAGCACACAGCAGGGAGCCATTCTCTTTCCTGCATCCTTATTTTCTTGTATTTGTACCAACAATATGTTTTCATTTCTCCTCTGAAAGTCTCGAGATAGCCAGATTTACAGATTAGCTCTTCCTTAAATGATATTCTTGGTTCTCTCAATCAAGAATTTCTTGGATATAAACCTTACTGTACATTTTTTAATAGTGTTTGAATCTCTCTCTCTCTTCTCTGTTCCTTCCTCATGTATACATATTTTTGGTCCATGTTCTTGGCTTTGATGAATGAGACTTCTGTCCTTTGCTCTGTTCATTCCTCTTTGACCCAAAGCCTCCCCTGCTGTCATTGTTTTGTTGCAGTAACTCCCTTAGTTTTAAGCAAATGATTTTTAAAATTGTCCCTTGAACAACATAGTTGTTAACTGTGTTGTTCAAACACAAAACAGTGGACCTACTTTTAAGCAATTTTTTTTAAGAGTTCGTGTCTTGCTCTGTCACCCAGGCTAAAATATAGTGGTGTGATCATAGCTCACTGTAGCCTTGAACTCCTGGGCTAAAGCGATCTTCCTGCTTCAGCGTTATGGGTAGATTTTTTTTCAACCAAGTGCAGATGAAAAATACAGTATTCAGGAAATGCAAAACTCATAGACAGTAAGGGCTGACTTTTCCTACAGGCTGGCTCCACAAGGCCTACTCAAGAGACTTGAGTGTGCACGGATTTTGGTATGGGGTCCTAGAAACAATATCTCCTGTACACTGCGGGATAACTGACAACTCTACTTCACATCGCAGCTATCTCCCTAGTATGGCACACCCTGTGGCAAGCAATGCTCAAAAATCTACATTTTGTTTCCATTTCCTTTTGTTTAGGGAAGTAGAACAGCTTTCTTTTGAGGAAAAGAAAGCACAAAATCCTTGTTGTCTTTTACTGAGATCAAAAGCTACTTCTTTGCTCCAGGGGTGGGTGTGTGGGGCTGGGATGGCCACCATCATCTAAACATAAAAATGCAATCCTCCAGCCATCTGGCTTAGGACTGGGAAACAGCTCTTATACTGCAAACTGAAGTGGGTCAGTCATGAGTAGTGTGCGTGAGTAGAAAAAAAAAAATAATAAGGACACCCTGAAGCAGAACTTCCAATAGTGTGGCCCTGCTGGGAAGCCAGAACATTAACGATAGAGTCCCAGCTACTGCAATCAGAGATAAAATGGATATTTCTGATGTACGGCCACAGGCTGATTGTGAAGGAGAAAGGCAAGATTTCAAAGACTGCCAGGTTCTACCAGCACTGGCTACAGTTTCAAATCTAAGGAAAATCTTTACAGATAATTTGATAATTGTGTCAGCTATTTCTATGCACAAAGGCCACTATTTGTTCAGAAGTGAAAATGTAAACAAAACAAAAATCAACATGCATGCCTTAGTTATGTTCACTTTCTGATCATCTCAAGTTAAGAAAAATAAATATATTTCTGTAAAATTATTCATAAAATAAGCTACAATTCTATTCTCAACATAAACTGCATATAATTCATACAGAGAAGATTTGTATAATCATAAAACAGGATAACAATTTTTTTAAAAGTTTAATAGGAAGAAAAACTCTTTTTAGCAGTTGGCTTTTGATGTATCTGATAATAATTGGGAGACAGAGTTTGAAATGACCAGGATTTCTTCATTGATGGAACTTTATCTAGTTTTATTGATTTGTCTGTTAAAGTATGCTTCCTCAACTGTAGCCATTTCTAAAAAATAAACCCATGATTTGCTACAAAACCAAATTTCAAAGTGTACAATAAGGGGCACTTATATCAAACAACCTCTTCTGTAAAAAGTCTGTATGGCAATACTGTGTCATTTAAGATTTCCCGGGATGACACACTAATTTTTTTTTTAAGTTTTTTTTTTCTTTTATTATTATACTTTAAGTTTTAGGGTACATGTGCACATTGTGCAGGTTCGTTACATATGTATACATGTGCCATGCTGGTGCACCGCACCCACTAACTTGTCATCTAGAGGGGCACCAAGAACGGTATCTACCTCAAGCCCCACTGCAAGACATCAAAGCATTTTTTTTAGGGCTACTAGGCAGAATTGGTTTACCTGGCTGGAGTAAGATGCTATTTTGTTTCCTCTGAATTTTGAAAGTTACTGGCTTACTTGAATACCTCACATAACTTAAGGGGCATGCAAAATATCATGGCAGAGGAATCAAACAAAATTCTCATTTACTTTCATAATTCTTAGATATTTCATCATGCCAATGTGATGAGTGGTTAATATACCTGTCTTTTAAACTTAGAGTAATTAAAAATAACCAGCCCACAAAATATAGTTTAGTGAAAGATACAGATAATGTAATGGTCAGGCTTCCACTTATTTTATTTGCTGCTGAGGGCAGACAATTGAATCACAAGCTCATTGGTAGCAAAGTTCTGGACCTCGTAACTAATGTTATTAAAAATTCTTTTAAGATACCTGAGTTTTAATGTAAAAATCAGCAAAAAGTAAATCTTTCCTAAAACATTTTTAAATTAAAATATAACATATATACAGAAAAGTGCTCAGCGAATTTTCAACAATTGAACCTACCCATGTAACAGCAACTAGAGCTAGATAAATAATATTTTAATATTTGTATCCAGAGATATTTCCCCGAAATCACCCACTCTTTCTTCTGTGTAATCATTTTCTGACATAATCCATGTATAAGTTTGGCCTTTTTTTTTTTTTACATTTATATAAATAGAAGTAGAATTGTCTGCAGAATTGAAGAGGGAGGGCCACATGAAAAATTAAAATGCTGAGGCCGTCATTCAAAGGTCATTTATTTTGAGATGGTGATAATAGAAGATTAAACAAAGTTTGGGTCCTGTGCAACTGCACAGGTTGCAGACCCATAAAGCTAGCTCTCTATACATTATATAATTTTATATACATAAAGATTTTTTCTCCTATTGTATTTGCAAAATTAATCTTTGTTACTCCAAATTGTATGTTTTTTTCATTAGCATTATGGCATAGTTTGCTATCTTCTTTTGATGGAAACTTGTATTATTTCTAATAGAAATGATTATAAATAATGCTGATATCAATACTCTCCAGCATGTCTTTTTGTAGATATTTACACTCATTTCTTTTGCACTTTTACCAAACAATAAAATCTCTTGTACTATAGTGAGCATGTTTACGAATCTACTAAATTTACATTTATCAAATTTTGCCAGTTTTCTAAAGTTAAGGAATAAGTTTAAACTCTCCATTAGCATTGTTCAAGTTTCCAAAGCTCCATATCATCACCCACATTTGGCAATTTTTGTCTTAAATTTTAACAAACTTTGTAGGCATTTAGTAGAAGCTAATCACAGCTTAATATGCAGGCTGAACAACTTTTCAAATATTTATCGACAATGAATAGTTTTTTTCATGTTATAACTGTTCAAGTTTCTCTTCCACTTTTAAAAATTGATGTGGGTGTCCAGTTTACTTCTTAATGATTTATAGGAGTAGTTTATTTCTTTTATATGCAAGCACTTTATTAGGTATACATGATGTGATGTAAACTTTTGATGATGGGAAGTTTAGGGTTTTAATAAAGTCAAGTTTATCTATAATTTCATTTATGTTTAAAGGTTTAAAAATATTGTCAAAATTACTGCCTTTTATGCAAATATTGTCATTTGATCTTTGGAAAAGGAGCAGAGAATACTCAATGGAGAAATTACTGTCCTTTCAACAAATGGTGCATCAACAACTGGACATCAATGTGCTAAAAAAAAATGAATGTAGAAACAGACCTCACACGTTTCATGAAAATTAATTCAAAATCAATCATAGACCTAAATGTAAAGTTAAATACTGTAACATAAAACTCCTAGAAGGTGATAGAGGAAAAAATCAGGTAATCATGGGTTTGGCCATGACTATTTATCTCCAATACCTTGAGCATAATTCATGCAACATAAAATTGGTAAGTTAGATTTCATTAAAATTAAAAACTTCTGCTCTGTGAACTACACCAAAGACAAATAAAAAGACACACCCCAGACTGGGAGAAACTCATATCTGACAAAGGATTGGTACCCCAAAAATACAAAGAACTCTTAATACTCAATAATAATAACCCAGTTAAAAATTGGGCAAAAGATCTGAACAGATACCTGAACAAAGAAGACATGCAGATGAAAAATAAGCATATGAATAGACACTCTACATCATATGTCATCAGGGAATTGCAGATTAAAACAATAGTGAGATACAGCTGTGCTTTTATTGGAATGATCAAGATACAGAACACTGTTAAACACCAGAGGTTGGCAAGGATGCGGAGTAACAGGAACTGTCACTTATTGCTGGTGGGAATGCAAAATAGTACAACCACTTTGGAAGACAGTTTGGCCATTTCTTAAAATACTAATCATATTCTTATCATATAATCTAACAATCATGCTTCTTAATATTTGTACAAATGAGTTGTAAGCTTATGCTCACATAGACACACACATATACACATTTGTGGCAGCTTTACTTGTAAGTGCCAAAACTTGGAAACCACCAAGATTTCCTTCAATGGGTAAATAGGTAAACAAACTGTGGTACATTTATACAATGAAATACCATTCGATGAAAAAAAATAAATAAATGAGCTAGCAAGCCATAAAAAGACAAGGAGGAAAATTAAGTGTACATTGCTCAGTGAAAGAAGCCAGTCTGAAAAGGCTACATAATTTGTAATTCAAATGATGTAACATTCTGGAAAAGGCAAAGCTATGAAGACAGCAAAAGGATCAGTGACTGCTAGGTGTTTTGGGGAGAAAGGGAGGGATGAATAGGTAAAGCACAAAGGATTTGGGGGGGCAGTGAAACTTCTGTATAACATGATAATGGTGAATAAATGTCATTACACGTGTCAAAATCCATAGAATGTACAACACAAAGAGTGAACTTTACTGTAAACTATAGAATTGAATTAATTATAATGCATCAATATTGGCTTATCAATTGCAACAGATATAGGACATCAATGCAAGACGTTAATAATAGAGGAAACTGAGTAGGCTGTTGGGATATTTGAGAACTGTACATTCTGCTCAATTTTTCTGTAAATCTTACAGTGCTCAAAAAATGTAAAGTGCACTAATGAAAAAATGTTCTCTTCCAAATAATGATCTTTTCAGTATTATATTTTTTAAATTTTATCTTTTTATCTGTCATATTTAAATTGGCATTACATCAAGAATATTTATGTATGGTATGAGACAGGAGCCATGTTTATATTTCCCCCTTACATATAGTAATTTATTCAGATCGATTTATTTAAAAGAAATTATTGTCCTCCCACACTTCTGTAATGCCAACTACATTGTAAATCAGATATTCATATATATGTAGGTCTGCTTCTGGATTTGCCTTTAGGTTACGTTAGCCCCTTTGTACAAATACCACAATAACTTAATTATTCTAGCTTTATAAGAAGTCAATATATTTTAAATTTAATTGACGGTTTGTTATTTTTTAAATTGTGTCTATCATTTGCTATCTAAAATGTTTATATACCTTTAGAATTAATCAGCCAACTTTTACAAGTATATACTGTAATTTTGATTGATTAATTCCATAAATTGAGAATTGAGGAATAATTTTATCTTTTTAACATTGTTTTTTAATCCATGAACATAAAATATTAGATTCCGCCATTTATTTAATCATTATATATTTCAATAGTTTTTTTTACAGCCCAGAAATTTTATAGGACTTTTTGTTAGATTGATTCCTTTCATTTATTGATTTTTTGTGAAATTATAAATAACGTTCATTTTTATAATTCTGTGTTTTGCATAGAAATACAATTCAATTTGTTGAATTGAAGGGAAGATACAGTCTTTTTCAGACAAGCAAATGCTGAGAGAATTTGCCACTCTCAAGCCAGCACTAGAAAAACTAATAAAAGGAGCTCTAAATATTGAAACAAATTCTTGAAATACACCAAAATAGAACCCCTTAAAGCATAAATCTCACAGGACCTATACAACAAAAACACAATGAAAAACAAACAAATAAGATATTAAGGCAAAAAATAGCATGATAAATAGATGAATAGAATAGTACCTCTCATCTCAGTACTAACATTGAATGTAAATGATCCAAATGCTCCACTTAAAGGATACAGAATGGCAGAATGGATAAGAATTCACCAATGAAGTATGTGCTGTCTTCAAGAGCCTCACCTAACACATAAGAACACACATAAACTTAAGGTAAAGGGGTGGAAAAAGATGTTCCATGCAAATAGAAACCAAAAACGAGTAGGAATAGCTATTCTTGTATCAGACAAAAGAAACTTTAAGGCAACAGCAGTTAAAAAAGACAAAGAGGGACATTATATGATGACAAAAGCACTTGTCCACAGGAAAATATCACCATCCTAAATATTTATGCACCTATCACTGGAGCTCCCAAATTTATAAAACAATTAATACTAGACCTAAGAAATGAGATAGACAGCACAGCAACACAATAACAGTGGGAGACTTCAATACTCCACTAACACTAAGCAGGTCATCAAGACAGAAAGCCAACAAAGAAATAACAGATTTAAACTGTACCCTAGAACAAATGGACTTAACAGATATTTACAGAAAATCCTATACATTCTGTTCATCAGCACATGGAACATTCTCCAAGACAGATCATATGATAGGCCACGAAACAAGTCTCAACTAATCTAAGAAAATGAAATTATATCAAGTACTCTTTTAGACCACCGTGGAATAAAATTGAAAACCAACTCCAAAAAGAACCCTCAAAACTATGCAAATACATGAAAATTAAATAACCCGCTTCTGAGTGACCATTGGGTCAACAACAAAATCAAAATGGAAATTTAAAAAAATTTTGAACTGAGAAAAAAGAGAAATCTAAAAGTTTGGAAAACATATTTGAGGAAATAATCGAGGAAAAAAATTGAGGAAAATCAAGTAACTAGAGAAACAAGAACATACCAAACCCAAACCTAGCAAAAATAAAATAAATTAAGATAAAATAAAAATAATGAAGATCAGAGCAGAACTAAATGAAGCTGAAACAAACAAACCACAAAAGACGAATGAAACAAAAACTAGTTATTTGAAAAGATAAATAAAATTGATAGACCATCAGCAACATTAACAAAGGAAAGAAGAGAGAGGATACAAATAAACTGAATTAGAAAAGAAATGGATGATATTACAATTGATATCACAGAAATATAAAAGATCATTCAAGGCTACTATGAACAACTTTATGAACATCCATTAGAAAACCTAGAGGAAATGGATGAATTCCTGAAAATATACAACTTTCCTAGATTAAACCAGGGACAAATAGAAACTCTGAACAGACCAAAACAAGCAGTGAGATTGAAATGGTAATTAAAAAGTTACCAAAAAAAAAAAAAGTCCAGGACCAGACAGAGTCACAGCTGAATTCTATCAGAGATTCAAAGAAGAATTGAAACCCATCCTAGTGACATTTTTCCAAAAGATAGAGAAGTAGTTCTCCCTAAGCCATTCTATGGAGCCAGTATCACCCAAATAACAAAAGCAGGAAAGGACATAACAACAACAACAACAACAACAACAAAACTATAGACCAATATCCCTGATGAACATAGATGCAAAACTCCTCAACAAAATACTAGCTAACTGAATCTAACAACATATCAAGAAGATAATCCACCATGATCAAATGGGTTTCATATCAGGGATGCAGAAATGGTTTAACATCTTTAAGTCATTAAACGTGATACACAACATAAGATAATTAAAAACAAAAACCACATGATCGTCTCAATTGCAACAGAATGAACATTAGACAAAATCCAGCATTGCTTTATAGTTAAAACCCTCAGCAAAATCAGCATAGAAGAGACATATCTTAAGGTAATAAAGGTCATGCATGACAAACCCACAGCCAACATTATACTGAATGAGGAAAAGTTGAAAGCATTCCTCCTGATAACTGGGACAAGAAAAGGATGCCCGCTCTCACAGCTTCTATTCAACATAGTACTGGAAGTTCTAGCCAGAGCAATCAGACAAGAGAAAGAAATAAAGGGCATCCAACTTGGTAAAGAGGAAGTCAAACTCTTCCTGTTTGCTGATGATATGATTGTATACCTAGAAAATCCTAAAGACTCCTCCAAAAAGCTCTTAGGGCTAATAAATTAATTCGGCAAAGTTTCAGGATACACAATTAATGTACACAAATCAGTAGCTCTGCTATACACCAACAGTGACCAAGCTGAGAATCAAATCAAGAACTCAAATCCTTTTGCAATAGCTGCAAGAAACTAAAACAAAAACAAAAAACTTGGGAATATATTTAACCAAGGAAGTGAAAGACCCCTACAAGGACAACTACAAAATGCTGCTGAAAGAAATCATAGATGACAGAGACAAACAAAAACACATCCCATGCACTTGGATGGGTAGAATTAATATTGTGAAAAGGACCATACTGCCTAAAGCAATCTATAAATTCAGTGCCATTCCCATCAAAATACCACCATCATTCTTCACAGAACCAGAAAAAAAGCAATCCTAAAATTTATATAAAACCAACAATGAGCCCCCATAGCCAAAGCAATACTATGCAAAAAGAACAAATCTGGAGGCATTACATGACCTGACTTCAAACTATACTTACTATAAAGCCATAGTCAACAAAACAACATGGTACTGGTATAAAAATAAGCATATAGATGAATGGAAAATAATAGAGAACCCAGAAATGAAGCCAAATACTTATAGCCAACTGATATTTGAGAAAGCAAACAAAAAAAGACTGGGGAAAAGCCACTCTATTCAACAAAGGGTGCTGGGACAATTGGCAAGCCACCTGTAGAAGAATGAAACTGGATCCTCATCTCTCACCTTATACAAAAATCAACTCAAGATGGATCAAAGACTTAAATCGAAGTCATAAAACCATAAGAATTTTGGAAGATAACATCGGAAAAACGCTTCTAGATATTAGCTTATGCAAAGACTTCATGACCAAGAACCCAAAATCAAATGCAACAAAACAGTAATAAAGAGATGGGATTTAATTAAGCTAAAAAGTTTCTGCACAGCAAACGAAACAATCAGCAGAGAAAACAGAAAACTCACAGAATAGGAGAAAATCTTCACAATCTGTGTATCTGACAAAGGACTAATATCCATAATCTATAAGGAACTTAAACAAATCAGCAAGAAAAAGACAATTCCATCAGAAAGTGGGCTAAGGACATGAATAGACAATTCTCAAAAGAAGATATACAAATGGCTAACAAACATATGAAAAAATGCTCAACATCACTAATAATCAGGGAAATGCAAATCAAAACCACAATGTAATGCCACCTTACTCCTGCAAGAATGGCCATAGTCATACAATCAAAAAATAATAGATGTTGGCGTGGATGTGGTGAAAAGGGAACACTTTTATATTGCTGATGGGAATGTAAACTAGTACAATCACTATGGAAAACAGTGTGGAGATTCCTTAAAGAACTAAAAGTAGAACTACAATTTGATCCAGCAATCCCACTACTGTGTATCTACCAAGAGGAAAAGAAGTAATTATCCAAAAAAGATACTTGCACATACATGTTTATAGCAGCATAATTTGCAATTGCAAAAATGTGGAACCAGCCCAAATGCCCATCAGTCAACCAGTGGATAAAGAAATTGTTGTGTATATATATATATACACACTGTGGAATGCTACTCAGCCATAAAAAGGAATGAAATAATGGCATTCACAGCCACCTGTATGGAATTGGAGAGCATAATTCTAAGTGAAGTAACTCAGGAATGGAAAACCAAACATTGTGTGTTCTCACTCATAAGTGGGAGCTAAGCTATGAGGATGCAAAGGCATAAAAATTATATGACTCGGGCGAAAGGGTTGGTGTGGGGGGTGAGGGATCAAAGACTACACATTGGGTACATTGTATACTCCTTGGGTGATGGGTGCACCAAAATCTCAGAAATCACCACTAAAGACCTTATTCATGTAACCAAACATCATTGGTTCCCTACATACCCATTGAAATAAAAAATGAACAATAAACATTAAGTAAAAATAAATTGCAAGGGAACCATGCTTAGGAGGGAAAGACTGTGTCCCAGAATTTAGAGATTCATTAAGGACTAAGTTAAACTGAAATAGACTTATCTTAATGAAGTCACCACAAGTTTCAAAAGACCAATTCATAACTTAAGTTTCTTCTAGGAGAAAGTTAAATATTTTTAAAATTATTATTTTAAATTTAAATTATTTAAATTTTAAATTATTTATTTTAAATTTTTAATTAATTATTTAAAATTATTAAAGTTAAAATTTTTTAAAAGACACTTAACACAATCCAGGGTTTTATAGTGGATCATTACCAATAAGCAAAATTAAAAAGGTGTTTAAAAATGTGACAACAGGGAAAAATGAGAACCATTGCTCAAAATTAAAGGTAGTCAATAGAAACAAGATCACAGATGACTCAGATATTTAAGACAAGAATTTATGTCATCTATTATAATAAATGACAGTGAAAATATGGTCAAAATAATTGAATATGTTTGGAATCAGCATAGATATGGCAATTAAAAGAATCATTATATTCAATATTAGACATACTCGTAAATGCTGAAATAAAAAATTTCATTGGATAGGCTTAATAGCACTGAGAGAGAAAGATAAAAATTGTCAGCGAATTTAGACAGAATAATAAAAATGATCCAATGTGAATAACAAAGGGATTTTCTTCTTCTTAATGAATATAATCACATTTCTGTTTTGATGAGTGATCCAACATATATGTAATATCATTCAAGAAGTAAGTGTTTGTAATTAGGCAGATGATTTTTACTACAGTAATATAATGGAGAGTCACTACATTAAAATTGCTTTTTAGGAAAAAGAAAGAATCAGCCTGCCTTCACTGCTTATTGAAAAATATAAAAAAAATTAAAAAAACAACAAAAACATTGTGTTTAGGAATCCATTGTACAGTATAGAGAATGGAAGGTGGTCACATTGGCCTTTTCTTCCTGGGCAGCTAACAAAATATAAAACTGAAGATTATCAATGGGGAAATGGCTTTTTTTGAGAACAGTGCTTCTCTGTACATTGTAACAATGCATCTGCTACCATAATGGAAGTGATAATTTGAATGGAAGTAATAGGTTCAATCTCTTGAAAAAAGAAATAAAATGTTTTTCTTTGTTCTTCCTTGTGTCTTTTGGATTATTAATAAATTTTGGCGCTGGGTAAAATCTATGATTCATGGGAATCTACCTTAAAGGTTAAATCATTGTGTTGATACAGTTGCTTACTTGGAGCATAAGTGATCATAAAAGTTCCATATAACTCATAAGGTGTTTAATGGTTGTCATAGAGAAAAACTGAAGAGAAATTATGTGTTGGAGAAGTTAAAGATTAATTATGCAATGTCTCATTTATGCCTGGGTTTGATTTGGGGTGATGAGACCGGTGACATAATATATAGTACTTTATCCAAGGTAAGTTTTAAGAGTGCATTTTCTAGGGTAAGATCGTAAAAAATAATTGGATGTTGCAACATGAATTTCAAAGATAATTTCCCCCAATCATACGCAAATTATCTTGCTGACAGTATACAAATAATTCAACAGTCAAAATTCCCAAGGCAAATAATTTCTATTTTGAACAATAGTTATTATTTACATGTATTTCTTCCAAGGATATCAAAATAGTTTAACATAGTGTTCTTAGCCATTATCCTCAGCAAACTAACACAGGAACAGAAAACCAAACACTGCATGTTCTCACTCATAAGTGGAAGCTGAACAATGAGAACACGTGGACACAGGGAGGGGAACAACACACACAGCCCTGTCAGCGGGGCGCGGAGAGGGAAAGCATCAGGATAAATAACTAATGCATGTGGGGCTTAACAGGTAGGTGATGGGTTGATAGGTGCAGCAAACTACCATGGCACACATTTACCTATGTAACAAACCTGCACTTCTTGTACATGTATTCTGGGATGTATGTATTTTATGTATTTTAAAATAAAATAAAAATTTTTTAAAAGATTGAAAATAACACATACTGCATTCCCAGACAACAAAATAATTAAAATTAATAACACAATGATAGCTGTAAATCCCAAATATTTAAAAAATTAAACTACTCGTATCTAAGTAACAAATGATTCAAAGAAGCCACAAGACTAACTGAAACATTGTTAACTAAATGAAAAAATATATATAACATCAAAATTTGTTGAATGCATTGAAAGCTGCTTAGAGGAAAATGTATAGCATTATATATATACACACACACATCATATATATAAATAAAATACATAATTAATATATATAAATAAAATAAAGATAAAAATATCTAAATTTCCACCTTAGAAACCTAGAGAAAAAAGAGCAATTAAAACCTCAAGCAAGCAGAAGGAAAGAAAGAATAAAAATTAGATAAGCAATCAATGTAATTGAAAACAAGAAGACAGTACAGAAAATTAATTAAACAAAAGCTGTTCTTTGTAAAGATCAATAAAATTGATAAGGCCCTAGACTAAGAAAAAAAAAGTGAGAACACAAATTACTAATAAAAATGTAAGAGGCGTCATCACTACTGATTTCATGGACATTAAGGGATTAAAAAAGGAACGTTATGCATAATTTTGTGCTCACAAATTGTTAAGCTAGATGAAACTGATCAATTTCTTGAAAGACACACCTTACCAAAACTTATAAATTTAGAAATATATAACCTAAACAGACCTGTATTTATTCACTAAATTGAATACATAATTAATAACTTCTCATAAAAGAGGCAGTAATTTCAGACGGATCCACTTGTGAACACTTACCACCCATTTATAAAAGACATGATGTCAATCCTTCCATATATTCCAGAGAATAGAAACAGAGGATACACTTTTTTTTTTTTCTTGCTCTGTTGCCCAGGCTATAGTGCAGTGGCACGATCTCAGCTCACTGTACCCTCCGCCTTCTGAGTTCAAGTGATTCTCCTGCCTCAGCCTCCCGAGTAGCTGAGATTACAGGTGCACGCCACCACGCCCAGCTAATTTTTGTGTTTTTAGTAGGGACAGGGTTTCAGCATATTGGCCAGGCTGATCTTGAACTTCTGACCTCAAGTGATCCACCCACCTCAGCCTCCCAAAGTGCTAGGATTACAGGCCTGAACCACTGCTTCTGGCTATCTTCTTGATTTCTTCCATAAGGCTAGCATTAGTAAAATAACAGATTCTGATAAACACATTACAATAAACAAAAACTACAGACCAATATATCTCATGAACATAGACGCAAAAATTTTTCAACAAAATTTAGAAAATAAAATTCACAATGCAAAAAAAAGAACAATTATAAATTAATTTCCTAATTTATGTGAAATATTACAAAAATTGAAGGGATGAACAGAAACAACAAAATTTACATCTTTCAAATTTTATGCCAAAGTGAAACCTATAAAAAAGGATGAGTTTTTTTGAACTACTTTTCCATTAACTTCTGCTCCAAGCACCTCTGCTTGATTTGTAACATTATTAAAATTCAGCAATATTAAAGGTTAATTTCATTTTGGCAGTAAGTCATAAAACCAATCTAAACAATTATAACCTTTTCTCTGTGTGCCAATGCTTTCAAAATGTCTAACAACAAAATTACATATTTTTGAAGTACAGCCCATTAGTAAAATGTTAATGTCTAAGATATCTATTGCATGTTTTGAGCTGTTTAAGGAAAAGAGGAAATGGCCTGATCACTATGGCAGTGTGTTGTAACAAAACTTCATATTATTATGTTGATGAATAGATTAGCCTTTTGTTTTCTGTTGTTCCAGCATTAGGTTTTATTTGGTAAATGAGTTTACCTACATATTCATTTCTCATATTCAATACATACAGTTCCTGCAAATATTGTCTGAGATAAAGTATATAAACTTTAGATTCAGTGATGAGCCAAAAGTGGAAGTTCAAACGTAATAAATGTCACTTTCTCCACTACCCTAGAGCTTCACTACCTCCTCCTCCAGGGTTCATCAGTTATCAAGTAGAATTGATTTCCAAATCCCAAGTCATGTTAGAAGTAGCTTGTTAACCAAGGACATCTGGTTACAGATGGGTTACTTTCTATTTTCTTGTGCCATAATACCTTCAAAGATACCTTCAGGAGTTCCAAGTAGAGCACATTGCTTCTTAAAGATTAATGGAAAGTTTAAGAATTTGTATTCAGGATATTCACTTTTTAATACTGAAGAAGTGCTAAAAGCAAAGCCAGGCAAAGTTATTAAAATTCATGAAAGAAACACGGACAATCAATAAGTATGGTTCTGCTATAAATATCTACCAGCTTAGTCAGCTGTGACCTCACTGAGATAACTTGCCTTAGAGTTGCGATCACTTTCCCTCACTTCAGTCAGTCCAGCACATCCCAAAATAGAGCTAGGAACTAGAAATTCACAGCAATGTCTTAGAAGGGAGCATTAAATGTACTTCATGCCTGAGTTTAATTGTAATTTTTATGTAAACTTTTTAGTTTGAGAGAATTGTAGGTTTACATGTTGTTTACTGTAGGAAATGATGTGTAGAGATGAACCAAGTTTTCCCCAGTGATGATATCTGGCAAAACTACAGTACAATATGACACCAGTATATTGACTTTGGCACAATCAAAATGCAGAACATTTCCATTACCAAAAGTGTTCCTGTTTTTATGTATATATCCTTGCCCACTACCCTCCTGCCCTAAATTCCTGATGAACCCCTGGCATCACTAATCCCTGCTATACTCCTATAATTTAGTCATTTCAATAACATTGTTTAAATGGAATCATATGATATGTATCCTGTTGTGACTGGCATTTTTCAGTCAACATAACTCTCTGAGATTTATGCAGGCTTTTGTGTAAGGCAATAATTTGTTCTTTTTCATTGCTAAGCAATATTTCATGGTATGAATATCTTGCAGTTTATTTAACTATTCACCCACTGAAACACAATCTGGGTTGTCTTCAGTTTTGGCTATTACAAATGGAAACTGCGTAAACATTGTGTGCAAGTTTTTGCATAGACATATGTCTTCATTTCTACGGGGAAGATGCCCAGGAATGCAATTCCTGAAACGTATGGTAGTTGTATGTTTACATTTTTAAAAATGCCAAACAGTTTTTCACAGTGGGTTTGCAACTTTACATTTTCATTAGCAATGTATGAGTGATCAGGATTTTCTGCATTCTTACTTGCATTTGGTATTATAACTACTTTTTTTAGTGATTCTGATAGGTGTATCGTGATATTCCATTGTGGTTTCAGTTTGCATTTTCCTAATGAATAAGAATGTTAAATTTCTGTATGTACTTACTTGTCATCTGTATATCCACTTGAGTAGAATGTCTCTATGTTTTGCCCATTTCTAATTTGATTCTTAAAAATTTCATTTTGGTAGTTTTTTGTGTATTCAGGTTACTAATATTTTGTCCAATATGTGTTGTGCAAGTAGTTCCCACCAGTCTGTAGCTTGTCTTTTCATCCTCACTGAGGTCGGTCTTTCATACGATATAAATTTTAATTTTAATGAAGTTAAATCTATCACAATTTTTTTCTTGCATGGACCATGATTTCAGTGTCATGTTTAAGAACTCTTTGCCTTAGCCTCTGAATATTTCCTCTTACATTTTTTTTTCTAAAAGTTTGATAGTTTCAGATTTTACATATAAGTCTGTGGTCCATTTTCAGTTAATTTTTAGTTTTTTCTTGAGGTTTTCTGTTGTTGTTGTTGTTTCTTCCATTGACTTGCTTGTCACAAATCAGTTGGACATGATGTGTGAATTTATTTCTGGGTTCTGTGTCCTGTTCCATTGATCTATTTATTTCTCCCTCTATCAACCCACAGTTTTGACTACTATAACTATATAATAACCTGGCATTTGGGCAGACTGTTTTCTCACTTTTCAAATGAAAATTTTACATTTTATAACAATCTTGTCTTTATTATAAAAAAAAACCTTCCAGGAATTTTCATAGGAATTGCATTACCTATATTAACTTGGGGAGATTTGGGTGTTTTACTATATTGAGTCTTCCAATCTATAAATATGGAGTCTCTCTCTGTTTTCCAAGATGTATTTTGATTTCGTCCATCAAATTTTTGTAATTTTTAGATTTGAGTCCTATGCACCTTTTGTTAGATATTACCTCAAGTATTTTGTTTTTGAAGGATTGCAAATAGTGTTGTATTCTTAATTTCAGTGTACACTGTTTGTTGCTAGTATATAGAAATATGTACTATTGTTTATTGCTTATCTTGTAAACTGTGAGCATGTTGAATTCACTTAGTAGTTCTGGATGACTTTTATAAAACATTTCATTTAGGACTTTCTATGTAGACCGTTATGTTATCCACAAATAGGAACTGCTTTGTTTCTTTCTTTATGTTTCTTTCTTTTTGTTTCTAATATGCGTGTCTTTTATTTCCTTATGGTAGAAGCTATGATTATTTTTCAGCACTTTGTTTAATAAAAGTAGGGAGAATGGACATTCTTGCCCTACTCCTAATTTCAGAGGTTTAAGCCTTTGGTATATAGCCACCAATATAATCCCATTTGCTCTTTATCAATTTGAGGAAAGTCTCTTCTACTCCTAGTTTTTCTGATAGGTTTTAATATAAAGTAATATTGAATTTTGTCAAATGTGTTTTTTTTGCATTGGTATGACATGTGATTTTTCTTTTTTATCCTTTTAATATGCTGAATTACATTATTGATTTTTGAATATTGAACTTGTTTTGAGTCCCTGAAATAAACCCTAGTTTTTTTGATGTATACATTTTCAACATGGAGATATTGTTCTAGAGTTTTCTTTTTTCTTACAATCTTTGTCTGGTTTTGGTTTCAGGGTAATACTGGCTTCATAAAATAAATAGGAAAGTATACCCTTCTCTTAGATTTTCTAGGAAAAGTTGCCTAGATTTAGTGAGATTTCTCCCTTATAATTCTCCAGTAAAATCACTAGAGTCTGGAGGTATATTTTTTGGGTGTTTCATTTATTTGGGATTTACCTAGCTTCTTGACTGTAGGTTTATATCTTTTATCAAATTTGGGAGGTTTTAAGCCATTATTTTTTCAAGCACTTTTTAAGCCCCACTTTTAAGACTGATGATGTGAATATCAGACCTTTTATGACTGTCTTACATGTCTCTCAGGGTCTGTGCAATTTTTGTCAATATATTTTCTCTTATGTTCAGATTGTGTAATTTCTATTGCCATATCTTTCAGTTCACTATTTCTTTTCTTTGTCTTCTCCATTCTGCTGTGGATCCCATCCATTGGGTTTTTTATTTAAATTGTTTGGTTTTTCAAAACTAAAATTTACATTTGGTTCTTCTTTGTGTATTCCATTTCTATGCTGGGAATTTATAGTTCTTTTTTGATAGCTTTTTTCTCTGTTTTAAATGTGCTTTTAATTGCTTTTTGAAGCATTTTTTATAACAGCTGTCTTAAAATTATATATATAAACATATATATTTCTTATATTATCTTTACTTAGAGATTTGTGTTTTATTATCTTGCAAATTTTAAATAACCACTGGGCTTTTATTTGAGCATTTTTTAGCATTGATTTCTTGGACTTTCTTGGACTTCATAAGCCAATCACAGTGGGATTTTCAGATTCCAGACAGAGGAATAAGAAAGAAGGCAGAAGAAAACATTTTTAAAATTAAAAATTAGAATAAATTAATTTTAATTGAAAAATAATTTTTTCAGTTCTAAAAAACATTTTTTTTTCTTATATTCTCTATTATAGAAGTGATTCTGTTGTTCAATAATTTCTTTGAGCTATTAACATTTTTTTAAATTTTAATGATATTGTTATTACATATATTGACAACTTTTTTATTGCTTGTATTAATCTAAAGATAGATTAAAACTCTAAGTCAATAAGTGGCAAAGGAAAAATTCTTCTGCAAAACAAATTTACTTTTTTCATTTCTTACAAAAATTATTGCATAAGTATTGGTTTCTTTCAGAGAAAAGGGGAAATAAAATGTAACCTCAAACTCTACTCAACATTTAGTTAGCATCATTGCTCTGGTAACATCTTTCGAATGTGACAGAATTTTATTCTTCTTTCATTAAAAGTTTCTTTCTAACACTCACTGGTTAATTTTAGACTAATGAGATTTCTTTTGGCTGTAGGTTTTCTTAATATAAGCAGTTTATTAAATTTTACTCTCTAAGTTATATTTCAATTTTAATTTAAGTGTTTTCAACTTTTTCTGAGAACTTCTCTGCCTTCTCGAAGAGAAATAATTAGTGGAAAATAATAACCCCCCCAAATCACAATTCACTAATTTCAGGATGTATTTACTAAATATAAAACTATTGAATAAATTAACTTTTAGCTTAGACTGGATACAGAAATTGACACTTTCTGAAATGAAACCTAAGAAAATGAAAACATGACAACATGTGTTTCATTACTGGTTGCAATAAGTAATCATCATTAATAATTTGTAAATAACCTACTTATGCTACCGTAATACTACCTCTGAACAGCTTAAAAAGATGGGACTCTCAAAATTTAATTAACATACTGACACTTATTCTCAGAGAACGTTTCCTGAATATGACTAGTATAACAAATCTGTATTGACCTCAGCTGAGTAGTGAAACCACCTTTGCAAAAATTATAACAGAAAATTATGACAGTGAAAAAGAACTGACCTAACTGACTCCATCTTGCTTCTAACCTCCAAGCTGTCTGTTCATTCCTGGGCTTAGGCTGAACTAACTTTTGGAGGAACTTAGTTTATAGTTTAACTTTGAAACAAAGACAATAACCGCCCTTTCCCAAAACAAACCCTCTTCCTGCCTGGGGACTAGACTGTCTTTGCAGGACTAATAAGTTGGCCACAAGATCAGAAATTATGGTTTAGGAGTCATAAAACTGAAGGCTGCAAGAGTCTGAGCCTCTTCAATATGCTCCTCGGGATAACATCACTTTTGTAAAATCTAAGATCAGTGCTTGAGATGTTTTGCAGATGCTGTACTCAACGGATAAGCTGGCACCATTCAGATAGATAAACTGGTTCATCTGGTCTTGTGGCCCTCACCCAGGAACAGACTCAGTGCAAGAGAACAGCTTCTACTCTTTATAATTTCATGTCCACCCGGACCAATCAGCACTCCCCCCATTCAGACACCCTAACCACCGAATTATCCTTAAAAATCCCCATCCTCAAGTTTTTGAGGAGACCGATTCAAATAAAAATAAAACTCTGGTCTCCCATGCAGTCATCTCTGTGTGAATTAAACTATTTCTCTATTGCAATCCCCCTCTTGATAAATAGGCTCTGTCTAGGCAGTGGGCAAGGAGAACCTGATGGGCAGTTATAGTAGCTATATAAGGAATCCATGTGGGTTCAGCAGTGCAGAGATATGGAAAGTATTTAAAAGTACATTTAAAGTGCATGCTTTTCTATTTATTTTCATAATTTTTTTGGAAAAACAAAATATATGATTCTCTCAAAATAACATTTTTTTCAGTGAAAATCAGGCAAGAAGTTCATCAATTTAAATAACTCTTTTCATATTAACCTTCTTTCCCTGCATTAACTAGTAAGTCTGCCACATCTACAAAATGTTATATTTCTAATGAATAAGAAGCTTGAGAGAACTATAAAATCATGACAATAATTGGCTGTGATGGCTAAAATTGAATATTGGTAAAATTATCTAATTTAGTTCTTAGTACTACATGGTAATTTTATTTTTTTATTTTCTGTACCAGAAAATTAAGTGTCAGGTATTTTATGTAACTTGCCTTTTGAAGACTATAATGAGTTAATGAGAGATTTGAATTTGATTTTGTCTAAAACATGTTCTCTTTACTACTAAATTCATCTTGCTTCTCTACATGAAAAGTATAATCCCTTCCTTTCTACATACTTACAATTCTCTTTCAAAAAATGTGTTCTAAAAGAACTGCTTCAGCAAACATGTAGAAAATTTCCTAAGACTACAAAAAGTTCTTGTCACTCAGAACAAGGAGGAACTGCAAGTCTTAGTAATTAAAAAGAAGTTTTAATGTACGTGATTTATTGAAGTATTTATTGTGGTCAGACGACTGGTGACTGGGAGAAAAAGAATACATGATACTGTTTCTAGAGATTTTTTAATGTACAACAAAATTAGCAAATACTTCAATTTAAGTGACAAAACTAAATAAAACATGTTCTTTATTTGTTCTTTCAGTCTTTTCAAATAATTCCTCTCTCTTTGTCTCTGATTATAAATCTCTTCATTCTCTAAGGAGCTGAATGCCTTCTCCTTGTCTGACATGGAAGAAAAGGAAACCAAATGGAAATCAAAAGAAACTTGAATGTCATATTTACGTAATGAAAATTAACATAATAGACTCCTGCATTAAGCAGTTTTCTAAATTCCATGTATTCTGCTATTTCCCATTCTATTCTACCTTATTGCTTTCTGACTTTCAAAATCCTGAGCTTCCCTTCTCATTAATTCCAGATCTTCAAAAAGGAAAATCTGAGGTGGAAGAGATTCTTTTCAATGCCACTGGCCTGTGGACATTCTGTTATTTCCACATAGGGTCAAACCTGGTATAATGTATTGTAAAAGGAAATAAAATAGATTTGGAAGACATTCACTTGCTATTTCACTTAATGTCTTTGAAGTATTAACAATTGTCTATAAAGGACCCAGATACTATACTCCAGAAAATCAAAAGAAATGATTATTTGCAACAAAATTTAAATTTTAAGATATATAGACATATTACATAGGATTCAATTCTGATATCTGTCCCTAGACCAAAATTAGTTTATGGCACTTATCTGGTTAACAGACAATAGCAATTAAAAAGATAGGAAAAAAAAAAGAGAGAAAGTAGACTGGCTTCAAGGAGGTTACAGGCTACTGAGTCAGGCTGACCTTAATAAGAGACCCAGGGAACAGTTCATCTACTGGTAATGGAGATGAAATCTCAACTTCGCAAGTTTGGCAGCTGTCACCTTACTTTGAGCTTTAACAATTCTGCTGATATACATGTCACCCACACTGTGAAGAAAAGAGTCTAACTTCACTGAGAGATAGCCTGTCCAGAAAACTTCTAGCAGAGGCAGGATTCAAGCAGCCAACATATTCCAGGTTAAAGGGGATTCTGATTAAGCTTATGAAGCCATAACAGTGTATTATAGCAGTTCATCACTCACATTTCAGATAATCCATGAAGAACATTCTTACAACGTGCTCTGATGAGCCTTTTAAGTTACTTTTCATTTTTGAACTAAATTAGGAACAAAGTATAAACTACTTAAAGAAGAAAAACAAACGCCTAGGTATAAGAGACATAATTCATGAGAAGTGACTTTATCTATATGACTAAATTTTTAAATGACATTTCTGGAAACAGTTAACAGAGGACTACAGCTTGGAAGTCAACTTAATCCTATCCTTGCACAGAGAAACTGCTTTCTTAATTTCTCCTTTAACCTAAAACACCCTTTATTCCAAGGAAAATCAGTGTGGGGCAGATTTTTCTTTCTCAGTTCCTACAATCACCCTAGCAATCATGAAAAATGGTTCTGGTTTTGAAGTAATCTAAAGGTCATTTTAAACAAAATGACATAATTCAAATGAGTTTGAAGCAAAAGAAAATTACAACACACACCCGTTTACACGCAACCACACACAGCAAGTTTCTAAATCTTCCTTTTCTTCAGTTGAGAAATAAACTGAGAAAGGCAGCTCAGATTGTTTGGCCCAAAGCTACACTCCCACAGACTTAAGTCCCAGAAGGTTCCAAAAAATTGTTAAAAGTCAGAGTTCTGAAAACATCTGTCCTAAAACTTTGAAGAAATCGGTCTAAAAATATTCATGTCTTGTTCCATATGCTGGAAGAGATGAATTCAGTTTTAAATTAGCGATGTTTAGAAAAGAGAGGAAGGTAGGCTACATTAAAACAAATCATATATATGTAAATGTAAACATATATAAGGACAGAATTGTGTTCCAACCCAAATTCATATGTTGAAGCCCTAACACCCAGGGTGATGGTGTTAGGAGGTGGAGGCCTTTGAGAAGTAACTACATTTAGATGCCGTCATGAGGCTGGGGCACTCAGGATGGAATTTGTGCCCTTATAAAAAGAGACACTAGAGAGCTTGTTCTTTCTCTCTCCCTCCACTATGTGAGGACACAGCAAGAAAGTAGCCTTGCTCAAGCCAGAAAGTTTTCCTTTACCAGGACCCAATCATGCAAATAACCTGACTGGACATTCCCAACTCTAAAACTGTGAGAAATTCTATTTCCAGATTATGTGAAGCTGTAAATCAGAATACTAAAAAGGTCAATATGATTGTTAACAACTGAAGCTATACAAAACCACCAGCTTTTGCACAGTGATTGTCATAATCAGGCAAACCATCCTTAGTATATAGCTTCTAAAGTCTCTGTAACTTTAGGTTCATGTTTACTTATTTGGCAAAGGAATGTTGACAGAACTTCTACACTGACTTCTCTATGTATTTAGAGGTTTATTCAAAAATATCAAAAACTAAATATAGACATACATAATAGTTAATTATTCATATCAGATACAATGTTATCAAAATGCAATCTGGAAGAGTTCTGATAAAATAAAGTGCTCAAAGTTTACAGTATACATTTACCACTTGAGAACTGGACTTTAAAATGAACTAGACTCATAAAAGAGAACCACTCAACAAATAATTCTCTTTAGCATTTTTGATAAGTGATGACCATAATAGATATAATTGTGAGTGGACAATAGAACAAAAAACATGATTTACATTTGTTAATTCACCCTGGACCAGTATTATAAAAGGGATTTAAAGCAGGAATTGTTCTTCTCTCAGAGCCTTTATTTTTTATCCATGGATATTTGGCTAAAGAAACACACACACACACACACACACACACACACTCCCCATTTACAGTGGAAGTTATGTACTAAGGGCTTGTGCCTAGAATGAGTTCAGGGATTTCAGCACTTTAGACTCCTTCTTACCCCACTAGCTGGCTGCCTTTGTGCACTAATGTAGCTGCACGATATTTTATGGCAACCCTCAAAGGATTTCACACTTCATTCTCCCTAAGTGGCTAAAAATTCCCAGTTTCTTAAACCAGGCTCCAGTCTAGCTAGGTGCCAATCCACTTTCTTGTCTGCCTCACTTTTTATCCAGGCAGTATTCTGTCAAAATCAATCTACCTTACTGGGCATCTGGTCACCAACTTCAATCTATTCTATGTGATAAATAACTCTTGGAAGGGAGAGGTTGATTTCAGGTTACCATAAGATTTTTCACTACTGACACGAAACTGGTGTTAAAGATTTTCAATATGTCATCTCCCTTGTAATATGGCTAATAAAACAGTGCTTGACCTAATATATTTAATCATAGTTTAGTGGCTGACAGATTTTGGTATCAGCTTTAGATTATTATTTCTCAGGGATACTCTCTCAATATTTCTTAATATTAGCTTTCATTTTTGTTGAAAGGATTGATGAAAGATTAGGTCTTACAGCAGAAGATTTGATCAACTGTCATTTCACATCTTTAATTTTACATGCCCTTCCTACAGTAAACCTACAGTATAGCATCAATATACAATGTGTGGAAAATAATAAATTGTCATCCGAATTTTTTTTGGTCTTCTTTAAGTTTTAATGTATTCTTTTTCTTATTTTCTTTCTTTAGTAATTTATATATTTCAGTTGTCTTATTTTACTTTAAATGCTTTTAACAGATTATAACTTAAATAATAGATTGATGATATTTTGTTATTTAAATGAAAATAAATCTAAATATCACTTTATAAACATACTAATTCAACTTTAATTTAAAAAGATGTAAATAATAATGTTATATAATAAATAGGTTTGTGTGATGCTTACATTTTTCATATCAATTAAGATCAGAATGATAGCTACTTAGGAGACAGTTGTAATCATGATTTTTTTTTGCGTGTTCATCAGTACCTAGGCAAAGTAACTAATGAAAACGATAATATATTTACATTGTTTAAAATTCTTATATGTTGAGTCTTTAATTGGAATGATTGAACAAAATATATTTGCAATTACTAAACATGGAATTCAATAACAAAGAGGGGAAAATGCTTAAAATTAAGACCTTGAGGGGTTTAAAATCTATGATATAAGAGAAGTCCAAAATAACTAAACACATATGAGGCAGTACTAGAAGGAACTTTGCCCATTTATATGCTTATTAAAAATTCAGAGGAAGAAAATATAAACACATCTTATTTTTATTTATTTATTTATTTTTTTGAGACGGAGTCTTGCTCTGTCGCCCGGCTGGAGTGCAGTGGCGCGATCTCGGCTCACTGCAAGCTCCACCTCCCGGGTTCAAGAGAGTCCCCCTTCCTCAGCCTCCTGAGTAGTTGGGACTACAGGCACGAGCCGCCACCCTCGGCTAATTTTTTTGTATTTTAGTAGAGACGGGGTTTCACCGTGTTAGCCAGGATGGTCTGGATCTCCTGACCTCGTGATCCGCCAGCCTCGGCCTCCCAAAGTGCTGGGATTACAGGCGTGATCCACCACGCCCGGCCATTTTTACAGATTTTATTACCAATATGATAGCATATTCACTGTCATTTAATTTATAATGCTATATAATGCTTCTTACAAAGTCACAGGAATCCGTACAATATGTCTGTGATGCCATAGGATTGAAAGCCTTCCATTAGAAATTAGAAATCCTGAATTATTTAAGGAAACAAAACATGGTAAGTATAAACAATCATGAATGGTTCCTTTGTCATAGCTTCCTCATATTCCTCAAATTTAAAGTCACTTTTTCTTATTTTGGTGTTTTAAGCTTTTTACTTGAAAAGCATTCATTATTGTATAATGATTAAATGGCATGTGACTTATTTAGCAAGTTGATTTAGATATTAAATAGCATTAACATTCTATGGAATTCAAACTTCATACTAAGTATTTGCTTGTAAAAAGACTCCTAGAAAAATTTAATTTCAAAAATTACATTAAAATGTAAGAGGTCTTATAATCCTGTTATAGTCTTAATTTCTTATTATTCCTTGCCTCGTTTGTATTTTACACATTGTTAAAATTTTTTTCAGTTATGGGAGAATTTATTCTGAATTAACACATCCCATTCTCTATGTAAACAAAGTTATAAATTTGAGGGGAAAATGCTATGGTTAGGACAGAAATCTGTGATAAGGAACAGAACAGAAATTCTTAATGTATGTCTTAAGATATGTAAATAGCAGTATCTTATATAAAATTATAAAATAGATGTTAATTTTCTTCAATCCTCAAGCTAGTCTTTCCAACTTTGAGGGGAAAATGCTATGGTTAGGACAGATATCTGTGATAAGGAACAGAACAGAAATTCTTAATGTATGTCTTAAGATATATAAATAGCAGTATCTTATATAAAATTATAAAATAGATGTTAATTTTCTTCAATCCTCAAGCTAGTCTTTCCAACAATTAATTCATTTTGTGAATTTTTAGGTAATTTCATGTATAACCTAACATACTGAACTCTCAGTTTCTGCAATGTAGAGAAGGAATATTAACAGTCTTCCTGATGAAGGCAGAGACCAGGCGAGTGATACCTTTGCTCTATTGATAGGCAATCTAGTCTTCTATTGTCTACGGTCATGTCTAATATTAGAATCAGGTTTTTTTGTGTGTGTTTGTTTTTTTGGTTTTTTTTGAGACGGAGTCTCGCTGTGTCACCCAGGCTGGAGTGCAGTGGTGCCATCTCAGCTCACTGCAAGCTCCGCCTCCTAGGTTCACATCATTCTCCTGCCTGGGCCTCCCGAGTAGCTGGGACTACAGGGCCCACCACCATATCCGGCTAATTTTTTGTATTTTCAGTAGAGACGGGGTTTCACCATATTAGCTAGGGTGGTCTCGATTTCCTGACCTCGTGATCCGCCCTCCTCGGCCTTCCAAGGTGTTGGGATTACAGGCATGAGCCACGGCTCCTGGCCTAGAATCAGGTTTTATTCTAAATTATGAAAAAGCATTAGGTAAATGCCTTATAAATCTATATAAACATACATTTGAATTCTGAATTAGAATTTTTAACTTGAATACATAAATTATGAATTTGACTTTTATGGATATAGATATGTATTTTAATTAGTACCAGCTTAATGGACTCATGAATCTTATAAGAGAATATTGCCTTTTGCATCTCAAAACACTAGTTTTATAATATTTGTCATGTATATAAACATATGAATGCAATGATTTCCTAATGGTGTGTTGATCACCTACATTAAACTAGATTAATTGGTTTCAAATGTAGTTACCTTAAAAAACATACGTTATTGTGTCCCTTAATATACTGAGCATCACCTGGGATATTAGAAATACAAAAAAGTTGATACGTCTTAATAAACTATTTTCCACTTTGTGGGACTTAATAGAAGTGCTTTGTTTTCCAATAACAAAGCACTTTAGTAGTGATAAGAGCTAGAAGGAAATGCATCCTGAAATCAACCTACAGATACTTATACACACTTACTATGTTCTGAGATACATTGCTTTACAAGACAAGCTAAGATCCTTTCTCAGGTTGCTTGCTTAACAAATGAATGACAGGTAGATGATGCCTAGCTAGCTATCTAGAATGGACAGTGTAAAATTGGGATACACCTATTTAATAAAGAATAATATGAAGTGTTTTAAAGTGACTTGTCTGCTTAGCAAGAATCTGACTGTTACCCAATGAATGTTAAAAGAAAATTGCACCCAAGAGAAACTAGACATTAGAAATGAGGGGTAATAATAGTCTAGGAATAAGAAACGACAGATGGAAAAGTATCAGTTGGGAATGAACAGGAAGTTGAAAGAAATAAAAGGAAAGTAACTCTATACACTGGTGGATGTGAAGCATGATGATATAGGGAAGGAAGTTGATCAGGTATGCTAAGAATAGATCGATTGGAGTTAATTTGCCGCAGTTATAAGTTTCCATTGAATTTCAATATTGATGAAAAACATTGAATAATTTTAAGAAAAAGTATGTAATGATGTGGTTTATGTTTTTAAAAGGATCAACTTTTTCTAGATTCAAACAGATTAAGTAAAGGAAAAGAGAAAAATGATTAAAAGGCTGTTGCAGTAGTTCAAGCCAGAGACATCAGCTAGGGTGCCTTGTTATAAGGGCATGGAGGAGTAGGTGATTTCAGATATACTTGTGAGTTTGCAGCATTTGCAAATAGATTATGTATTGGATACTTTTTTAGAATATGTAAATCAGAGATAAATTATATATTTCAATTTTATTTTTATTATTATTATTACTTTAAGTTCTGAGATA
This sequence comes from Homo sapiens, assembly GCF_000001405.40. Classification (NCBI taxonomy): domain Eukaryota; kingdom Metazoa; phylum Chordata; class Mammalia; order Primates; family Hominidae; genus Homo; species Homo sapiens. The sequence continues at coordinate 171,230,045 of NC_000004.12, read as the reverse complement.
CATTTGTGAAATGTGCAGGTTTGTTACATAGGTATACATACGCCATGGTGGTTTGCTGCACCTATCCACCCATCATCTAGGTTTTAAGTCCCGCATGCATTAGGTTTTCATCCTAATGCTCTCCCTCCCCTTGCTCCCCATCCTGCAATCAGCTTATGAGTGAGAACATGCAGTGTTTAGTTTTCTGTTCCTGTGTAAGTTTGTTGAGGATGATGGATTCCAGCTTCATCCATGTCCCTGAGAAGGACATGATCTCATTCTTTTCTATGGCTGCAGAGTATTTCTTGGTGAATATGTACTGCATTTTCTTTATCCAATCTATCATTGATGGTCATTTGGGTTGGTTCCATGTCTTTGCTATTGTAAATAGTGCTGCAATAAACATATGCGTGCATGTGTCTTTATAGTAGAATGATTTATATTCCTTTGGGTATATACACAGTAATGTGATTGCTGGGTCAAAAGGTATTTGGAATTGCCACACTGTCTTCCACAATGGATGAACTAATTTACATTCCCACCAACAGTGTAACAGTGTTCCTATTTCTCCACAGCCTTGCCAGCATCTATTGTTTCCTGACTTTTTAATAATCACCATTCTGACTGACATGAGATGGTATCTCATTGTGGTTTTGATTTGTATTTCTCTAAGGATCAGTAATTATGAGCTTTTTTCATGTATCTGTTGGCCACATAAATGTCTACTTTTGAGAAGTGTCTGTTCATATTGTTTGCCCACTTTTCGATGGGATTGTTTGTTTTTTTAATTGTAAATTTGTGTAAGTTCCTTGTAGATTCTGGAAATGAGACCTTTGTCAGATGGGTAGATTGCAAAAATTGTCTCCTATTCTGTAGGTTGGCTGTTCACTCTGATGCTACTTTCTTTTGCTGTATAGAAGCTCTTTAGTTTAATTAGATCTCATTTGTCAATTTTAGCTTTTGTTGCAATTGCTTTTGGTATTTTTGTCACGAAGTCTTTGCCCATGCCAATGTCCTGAATGCTTTTGCCAAGGTTTTCTTCTAGGGTTTTTATGGTTTTGGGTTTTACATGTTAAGTCTTTAATCTATTTTGAGTTTTCTTTTTTATAAAGTGTAAGGAAGGGGTTTAGTTTCAGTTTTCTGCATATGGCTAGCGAGTTTTCCCAACACCATTTATTAAATAGGGAATCCTTTCCCCATTGCTTGTTTTTCTCACGTTTGTCAAAGATCAGATGGTTGTAGATGTGTGGTGTTATTTCTCAGGTTTCTGTCTTTTTCCATTGATCTATATGTCTGTTTTGGTACCAGTACCATGCTGTTTTTGATACTGTAGCCTTGTAATATAGCTTAACTCCGTTGGGGTGATGCCTCCAGCTTTGTTCTTTTTGCTTAGGATTGTATTGGCTGTATGGGCTCTTTTTTGGTTCCATATGAAATTTAAGGGTATTCAAATAGGAACAGAGGAAGTCAAACTGTTTCTGTTTGCAGATGACAGGATCCTGTATCTAGAAAATCCCATTGTCTCCTCCCAAAAAGTCCTTAAGCTGATAAGCAACTTCAGCAAAGTCTCAGGATAAAATCACAAGCATTCATATACACCAACAATAGATAAGCAGAGAGTCAAATCATGAATGAACTCCCATTCACAATTGCTGCAAAGAGAATAAAATACCTAGGAATACAGCTTACAAGAGACGTGAAGGACCTTTTCAAGGAGAACTACAAACCACTGCTCAAGGAAATAAGAGAGGACACAAACAAATGGAAAATGTTCCATGCTCATAGATAGGAAGAATTAATATCATGAAAATGGCCATATTGCCCAAAGTAATGTATAGATTCAATGCTATTCCCATCAAACTACCATTGACTTTCTTCACAGAATTAGAAAAAAACTACTTTAAATTATATAGTTTTAAATTTGAGAGACTGGTTAGTGGTAACTTGGGGGAGACTGTGGGACTGGTAGGTCAGGGGATAATTAAGTGCAGTGTTGGCCATGTTAATTTTGAGATGCCTGTTGTACAGCAAATCAGAGATGACAAACATGCAGTCAAATAAACTCATCTGGAGTTCTTGAAAAAATCAGGGTAGGAGATACAAATTTGAAACTTGCCTGTTCTCTAATGTTGGAATAAAACTCTCCACAGTGATATTTGATGTTCTGAACATATTTCAAATGCAATCTAAAATGTTACACTGATTATGTCTCCAAAGATTTGGTTAGGGAATAAATTTTTCTTTTTGTATTTTAAACTATATTGTGATTTTAATAGTTTCCAATGTAACACAGTGCAACATAGAATAATATCTTAATTTTCCACCTAAATATTCTTGTTACACATTAAAACTGATTATTAACAAAACTGCTTTATACAGAAATGTGAGGAAACAAAAGATTATGAAACAACATCTAGGTAAACCTTAATATTCTCACACCCAATCAAATCCATATATAATTTTGTGCTTTCTTAGATTTTTATTCTACTTAAATTGATAGAGTTTTGACTCAACAAATGATGTAGATTTGACTGCTGTAAGTTATACTTGAAGTAATAATTTTTATTATAGAATATAGTTATGTCCCTTTTAATATGACTAAAAATATAATGACTGAATTGTATGAAGGCTTAATATTTATGAAGACATAAATATTATGTCACATTTCTGCTCTGCATTTTAAATGTTGCTTTCAAAGCATGATGGAATATGTGCAATATGAAAATAATGTGACTGTGATGATTGTCCTGCCTGCTAAATATGGTCCACTTACAGTCTGTGTTACAACTCAACACATTTTCCATGGAATTCACTGTGTTATATAATTCAGCTCTCAGATATTACCAAGTATCACCATAAGAATCACCCGAATGAAAAAAATTCTGATGATCTGTAATACCATTATTTTATTCAACAACAGAAAATGTGTGAACATGTCAACTTCCCCTTTTTTATGTTATCTCTGAAGTATTCTAAGGGAAGAAAAAGTAAGAAAACAAATATAGCCCAACTAATTTAAGAGTTGCTCAGTTGCTCTCATATTTGCACCATGAATTTTACTAAATTATACTTTAATTTGCCATCACTATTAAATGGTAGAAGCTTATGAAGGAGGCCAAATACGAGGAAATATGTATCTGAATCTGAATACATTTTTGATTCTCACATCTCTTAGAAAGTTCTAAAGAAATAATCACATCTGAAAAAATTTTTGTGAAGTTGTTTCATGTAATTAATTCATAGTGGGGAAAGGCTAACTGTCAAAAGTTGCAGTTTTGACAAGGCACTTTTTCTAGTTCCATTCGTCTAATGAAAAATCTTGTTATTTATATAACACAAAGTCATAAAATGGCTTGCAAATGAAAGTCAGATAGTTTGTGCCGAATATTTCTTTTTGGTAGGAAAAACTATTGAAGATATACAATTGAGAAAAAGAAGGAACTGGAAATATAAATATTCTGAATTGAAAGGTATTTACAGATAAGCCCATGGGAGCAGTCTGGCCCTGGTAACCAAAACAACTGACAATTACAGACACTGCTACCTTGATATTCCTCATAAAATTCCCACCTTTCGGCATTGTCTGTAGCCTTTGCAGCATTTTTGGGTTCAATATAAATACTGCTTTTTATAACAGACAATTTTAAGGAATTCATCTGAAAGCAGAACCTGAAAATAAATGAAGAAAGACAATAAAAGAAGAAAAAAATGCTACTCGAAGTGCTATTACTGAAGTCTACACTGAAAGCAACTAGAGTTCCTTCTTGCTCAGGAGAGTCTGAGGAAAGACAATGCTTATCAGAATCAGGATTGACCTTGAGAAGCATCTATCCACTGGATCTACTTCTTTCTGGTTGAGATGTGCGCTTAGTGGCGTTAACTCAAGCACACAGGTACAAAACCAAAGTGCAGGGAAGAGACAGGCCACCGTCTTTATAAAACATTTAGTATTGGAAGGTTAGTGAGATAATTCTGCTGCTCCTGGTCCCAAGGTTATCTTTGATATTCATCATCCTCACCTTCCACCACTCATTCTAGATTTTCCTCACCCTCAGTTAGTACTTCAGCTGATCTTGGTGCTTGCTTGGTGGGAGTGACCCAGAACTTCACATTTGAGGTTACTGAGGCCCTGTAAGGCATGGTTGCTGCAACAGACTTTTCTCCATTGTTACTATTAAGTATACTAATATACTAATAAGTGTAAGTATTAATACTTCTATAATACTTACACTTATTAATATTATTAGTATACTAAGTATTAAGTATACTAATATACTACTAAGTATAAAAGCACCAGGACACACTCAGATAAATTTCTCAAGTTCAAGGAATACTGTTACTTCTTCCTATAATATAGAAGCAGCTTCACCCCTTCATGATAATCAGTACCAATGGCCATTGCCATATAGTAACTCCTTTCTTTGTCATCTTTTCTAGTGGCATAGAGAGAAAAAGTGAAAGGGCAGTATTTGTCATTCAAGTTAAATAGAAATCGTAATAAATCACTTGGTGGAAGAACAAGAACTTCCAATCCAGCAGAACCAAGGGTTGCAAAGACAGGAGGAAAAAATTTCAATTGCGTCCCTAGAGATGATGATGAGATGGTTAATACTACTTCCTCTACTTGATTTACACTATAGCATTTTAGCTTTTGGATACATGGCTATGGTTCAGTGCATATATTGCCCCCCAAATAGGACAATGTCCTGAACACAGAACTTTAAAACTGAGCTAGCCATTGAATGATCCTTTAATAAACCAACACATTATTATATTATAGCAGCCACTACCAGATGATAGAGTAGGAGGTAGGATTAGTGGACCCTGTGATGCCCATTATCTCACCTCCTTGCCTTTAAAGAGGTCATGTGGGCTGAGGCAAGGTTATAAGATCCCATGTCTGTTAGCCCTCTGAAACTATGGGCTAAGGGAGTAAAACCATATCCATCGTAAGTGCCAATTCCAGTAAGAATGAATTAATGCCTTTCACCCTCCATTGTGAAAATGTTTGTGTAATCAACTTCCACAAACTGATAGCTTATTTTCACAAAAGATGGTTCCACATTGAGAGCTCACCAATTAACTTTACTATTAGAAAACTGGGCATTCAGCCAGTTTATAGATGCAATGGAGCCTGTGTTCTTGGACACATATATAGTCTCCACCCTTGGCAAAGGAGACAGTTTGGCTGATATGCACCACATAAATTATTCTTTACTATCTTTCTTCTAACAATTAAGTGTCACCTTGTAGCCTCTGCCACTCCAGAATCTTATTCATCCCTTTAATATATGTATATATAAACAGTTTCATAACAGCATGTCCTACTGTTAGCCTGGACTGCAGCAGTCATCTATCACTGACTGCCTTACAGATGCCAGTAACTCCCTTACCAATGTATTTCTTATGGCCTTAGTGAAGCAAAAGTCACCTGAGTCTTTTCATGGAATATGTTGAAGTGGTGGGTTTTCCAGTCTCACAAAGCAATTCCATTATAAAATTCCCAAATTCATCGTCCTTTTGACGCCTTCCTCAGATAGTACCAGTATCTCGTTCACTGTGGGTCTTTGGCAAGTTCATGTTTCAAAGAACCTTTTAACAACAAATTGAGAATGACTTAAGATGCTAAGATATTAAACCTCAAATCATGAGGCACTAATCCTACATCAACAAATATCTCTTATTAAGCCTTATATTTTACCTTTAACCCTGGTTCAATGTCCTCAAGTTCCACTCCCATAAGTTTTCTACCAGCATATATTGCCAGGACCTTTAACTCTTTCAGCCTGTGTTGTTGTTGTTGTTGTCATCTTTCCCCCAACAAAAGGACTGCATTTCCCTGCTGCGTTATGCTGAGATGTGACCCTAGTGATTATATTGTGGGGTCAGGAATGGATCTTGAGAAAGATAAGCTTTGGCCAATGAACTATCTGCCTCAGCTAAGACGTTTTCAGGATCTTGTGAAGAAAGGAACCGTCTCTCCTACAGCAAGGAGAGGGGAGTTCTGTCTCAGCCCAGAGAATTCAGAGGATCTGAAGTTCAAAATTCCTAGACTTGTTTAACAAAATATCCCTCAAATGTCTCAAGCTCCCAACATACTCCTATCAACATCCTCATATTGGCAAATGATACTTCTCCAGGCTAATCATTCAGAATTCTTTGCAGTCTAAAAATTAAATCCTGGGCCTGTTATTCAACATGGTTTGTGCTACCAATGAAAATAATAAGGAACTATTTAAACACTGCTTTGGAGGCCTTATGGCTTTTTTTTTTTCTATCTTTCTTTCTTCCATAAAAAAAGAGAAGGATATATGTGGAGAGCGTGCAGGTTTGTTACATAGGTATACGTGTGCCATGGTGGTTTGCTGCACCTATTGACCCGTCCTCTAAGTGCCCTCCCCTCACACCCCACCCCCCTACAGGCCCTGGTGTATGTTGTTTCCCACTCTCTGTCCATGTCTTCTCACTGTTCAACTCCCACTTATGAGTGAGAACATGCGGTGTTTGGTTTTCTGTTCCTGTGTTGGTTTGCTGAGAATGAAGGCTTCCAGCTTCATCCGTGTCCTTGCAAAGGACATTATCTCATTTCTTTTTATGGCTGCATAGTATTCCATGGTGTACATGTACCACATTTTCTTTATCCAGTCTATCACTGATGGGCATTTGAATTGATTCCATGTCTTTGCTATTGTAAATAGAGCTGCAATAAACATACATGTGCATGTGTCTTTATAGTAGAACGATTTATATTCCTTTGGGTATATACCTAGTAATGGGACTGCTGGGTCAAATGGTATTTCTGATTCTAGATCCTTGAGGAATCACCACACTGTCTTCCACAATAGTTGAACTAATTTACAAACCCTCTGGCTTTTTTAGCACTGTTTGAACTGGTGTATGGGAAATATACATACCCACACTCCACTTACTGCTATCCAATGAGTAATCCAGTTTCAACATCTCATAAGGATACCTTTTCTCAGGCCATTACACTTACCAATTGTATGTGCACTACAGGAACAAGGTCCATCTGAAAATAAAGTATGTAACACAGATTTTTTATGCAGATATTAACATGAAGCACCACTAAGGGACTTGGGTGTGCCATTAAGGACACAGCTGAGGGCAAATAAGCCTGCTTGGGAGTTTCTGAGCAGTTGATAAAATGCCTCAAATAATTGCCTAGGAAAGAGTTACCATTATTTGTGGATGGTTGTCTCTGGGATTATTTACATCTTCATAATTCCGGTCTGCACTCGCATGTCTGATGAGACTCGTGCATGTTTCTGCACCGTACAAGATGCCTCAGAAGAAAAGGTGAAATTACACGTGGAATATGCTTGAAGTGAGATGCTTAAAAACCATCCCCTTCAATTTTTGCGAAAATTAGATGAGATCAAAATTATGTGAGTGAAAGCACCAGAAGCATTCATGCACTTGAAACGGACTTTACTGGTTGTGTATATAATTATATAATTTATAACTTATAAATTATATTTTATCAAGGCTTTCATGTTGGCTTGGTTAATTGGATAGTATTGTTTCTTATACAGCACTTCATCTCCAGTATCCTGTTTAATTCCTGGAACTTGGTAGACAGTGAGTTAAGAATTCCTGAAATAACATGCAAATTAAGTAAGTAATCTACCTAGATATTCAAACTTTTCCTTCTCACATCTTGTGCCAGTTCTATTCTTGGCCATTTTCCTTAAAAAATACTTATCCAGATATCCTCCACCTTTTATCATCTTGTAAATCCCTGGGCATGCTGTTTGGAGGTTCCATCAAATCTAAATACCAGTGTTCAGAAACAAAATGAAACAAAATTATATAGTCAGAATTAGATCATGTTATCCCACTGTAAAAGTAGTCTGCAAGCTCCTTATTATGAAATATCAGCTACCTTGCATGGTAAATGGAGGTCAGTCACAATCTGGAGAATAACCTATAACATCCTCTCAAATCATAACCCAACATTCTATGTTCTAACACCATAAACTAGCAAATTCATTTTAAAAGCATATTTTCACACTTCTGTTTCATGCTACCCACTGGCTAAGATATTTTTCTCTCTTTCCTTAGTGTGAGAAACACTACTAAAGAATTTTCAGTGATGTGCTCTCTTATTTCTTTAGGAAAATCCTTTATGTCACTGATAATTATCATGTGATATGTCTTTTCTTTTCTTTGATTCTTCCACATTGTTTACATAGCCATTTTTTTCATGAGTCTGAGAACTTCCTGAAGTTAGGGGCATATTTAGCCTGATATTCTTAATATCGTGATAGCTCAGAGGAGAAACATATTTCTTGTGAAAAGGAAAGAAAGGAGGAGGCCAGTGAATAAGTTAGGCAGGCAGAAAGACAGGGAGTGGGGGCAAAAGGAGAGAGAAAATGAATATCACCCAATAAATACTCAGTGGTCACAGATGTAATTTTTATCTATGGCTACCTCATTCCCACACAATTTAAAATCCTTCAATATTTTTACCAAAGAAGGTCATACAAAAAGGTCTTCCGGACTCAACGTTTTTTTTTTTTTTTTTTTTTCAATTTCTCCACACAATGGAAATTCAGACAGATGGTCATGCCCAGGAATTCCAGCGTCGAACTGAAGACAGAGATTAATGGAAAAGTTGACAGCTGGGACCAAGGCTTATTGTGCACATCAAAGGAATGTCCTTGCCAGATGTTTTCCCCTCTCTTCTGAGCATTATCCCACTGTGGACACACAGTAGAAGAACAACATGCACATGTTAGCTGGCTCAGGTATTTGTGCTCTAATTGTCATCTTACACATGTATCCCCATGTACGTGCACACACACACACACCCCCCAAGCAACGGCACACAAGTCAGTTCTCAATCGCCTCCTCAAGAGAGGATACTGATATTTTAGATCTGTGTTCCCTGTTCAGTTGTAATTCCCTTTGGATTACAGCTCCTGTTCAGTTGTAATCCCCTGTTGCAAGTGGGTCCTGGTTAGAGATGACTGGGTCATGGGGGCAGTTTTTTATCAATGGTTTAGCATCATCCCCTTTGGTCATGATAGTGAGTAAGTTCTCATGAGATCTGGTAGTTTACAAGTGGATGGCACCTCCCACTCTTGCTCTCCCTCTGCCCCCATCATGGGAGACACCTCTCTTCCCTTTTGCCTTCTTCCATGATTGTAAGTTTCCTGATGCCTTCCCAAAAGTGGAGCAGATGCTGCCATGCTTCCTGTATAGTCTGAAAGCACCATGAGCTAATTAAATGTTTTTTTCTTTATAAATTACCTAGTTTTGGGTATTTCATTATAGCAATGGGAGACTAAACTAGTACAGATGCTCAAAAAGAGAGTTGCTATCTGTGATCTTCTGAAATGATCTTGTGGCAGCTGGATTCTGAGATGCTCGGTCTTCATTACCTCTCTGCTCTGATCTTTGAATGGTCTCTTGTCCTACCTAGATTGAGTGTTGAGATGCTTCTCTTATTGTATAGTAAGACTTCACTTCTATTTATTACACTCAGCTCTATCTGGATCGATTAGGGCTGATCTCAGACTGAAAACCGGCGCTATATATATTTGTGTGTGTGTCTGTGTGTGTGTGTATATATATATATATATATATATATATATATATATGTATGTGTGTATATATATATATGTATGTGTATATATATATGTATGTATATATATGTGTATATATATGTATGTATATATATGTGGATATATATGTATGTATATATATGTGTATATATATGTATGTATATATGTGTATATATATACACAGACACACACACAAATATATATATATAAAGAAATATATATATAAAGAAATATATATATATATATATATATATATATATATTTCTTTTTTCTGGCTGAATTTCTTGGTTGTATTCTTTACCTATATATCCTGTCTTGCTTAGACAGGACCAGACTCCTCTTTCTCAGAATTAACCTAAGATTTGAGATGCTCAGTTCTGGATCTCCCCGGGACCATTATCCTAACTAGACAATCTCACATCTTTAAAAATCTGATCCTCCTCCTATAAACCCTGTATACAAATGACAGCACTGTATTATTAATTATACATTCAAATATCTGGTAATCTTGTGATTTACTTGTTTTATCAAAGTCCTTTGTAAAAATTATCTTCTTAACCTAACCTAGTTCCTGACACATTGCAAGCACTAAATAAATTTTTGATGAAAGGAAATTAACTAATAATAAAGGTGTGTAATATATATCCATGGCTCTAGTCTTACCTCCCACAAATCAATACATTGAATACGTTTTTTTTGTTTTTTTGTTTTTTTGTTTTTGAGACAGAGTCTCTCTCTGTCACCCAGGCTGGAGTGCAGTGGTGCAATCTCAGCTCACTGCAACCTCCTCTTCCTGAGTTCAGCAATTCTCCTGCCTCAGCCTCCCAAGTAGCTGGGACTGCAGGCAGACACCACCATGTTCGGCTAATTTTTGTATGTTTACTAGAGATGGGGTTTCACCATGTTGGCCAGGCTGGTCTCAAACTCCTGACCTCAAATGATCCACCTGCCTTGGCCTCCCAAAGTGCTGGGATTACAGGTGTGAGCCACCACGCCCGGCCTGCATTTCTTTCAAAGTGTTATTTCTAAAAGGAAGATAATAAATTGATCTATGATTCCATTTTCAGTAAGTTAGAATTCTAAATACTTTCCATGGCATATGGAGTCACTTGTTTTCTGTGTTAGGCTCTTCTTGCATTGCTATAAAGAAATACCTGAGACTGGGTAATTTATAAGAAAAGAAGCTTAATTGGCTCACAGATCTGCAGGCTGTACAGGAAGCATAGTGCTAGCATCTGTTTCTGGGGAGGCCTCAGGAAGCTTGAAATCATGATGGAAGGCAAAGGGGGAGCAGGCACATCCCATGGTGGGAACAAGGACAAGATGGGGAGAGGTGCCACACACATTTACACATTCAGATCTCATGAGTACTCACTCACTATTGCAAGGACAGCACCAAGCTATGAGGGATCCACCCCCATGACCCAAACAACCTCCCACCAGGCCCTACCACCTGCATTGGAGATTACAATTCAACATGAGATCTGGATGTGGACAAATATCCAAACTATTTCACTTGTCATCCAAACACTGCTTGTATTTCTTGCTTATCTTCTGCAAGGGTTATTTCTTCTTCAGGGATTCTGTTTGTTCTTGTCACTTAGTGGGACTCTTATTCTTTGAGACTAAGGATTTTCTCATATAGTTCTTTTTGTATGTTTTACAAAGGCATTTATCATAAGGCATTGTCCTTATTCCTCTCTCCCCTTACTAGATGTGACCTCACTGAAGCAAGGATTGCCTGTTTTGTGTAAACCAGCATAGTGCCTGGCACAGAGCAAGTATTCAAGAATTTTAGTAACAAACTCTATCCATATTCCTCATTTTCATGATCTGTTTCTTATTCCCCTTCTCAGACCACACTATTTTAACTTCACAAATATGCCACAGTCTCTTCCATGACCTTTTGCCATTGTTTGTTTCTAGCTTAGCATATTATACTGCAGGAATACAAGATGAGATTTTCCAAGTTTGCACAAACCTTCTCCATCATTCTTGTTGTCCACCTCTTTTGCCTTGGCATGAGCTTGGACTTTGGAAGAAAGATTGGTTTTCTTTTATAGATGTTTGAAAATATAACTTTAAATCTCTCTTCAAAGATTTTCTTATATGTGTATAATATAAAACGTCAAGAGAAAAGAACATCTCTCTGCTTATTTATAATTGAGAGTCTCCAGCTTACAAATGGAGTCATATCTTTTTGAAAAAATGTAAGACAACACTTTGAAATCTATTTTACTTCATAACAGAAATAATATACATCTAAGAAATTTGTCAGGCCAGGCCAAAAGGGATTATATATATATATATTATATATATATAAAAATAAAATATATATATTTTTTGAGATGGATTCTCACTCTGTCTCCAGGCTGGAGTGCAGTGGCATGATCTAGGCTCACTGCATCCGGCTCCCTGTTTCAAGCTTTTCTCCTGCCTCAGCCTCCTGAGCAGCTGGGATTACAGGCTTGCGCCACGATGCCCAGCTAATATTTATATTTTTAGTAGAGATGGGGTTTCACCATGTTGGCCAGGATGGTCTTGATCTCCTGACCTGGTGATCTGCCTGCCTCAGCCTCCCAAAGTGCTGGGATTACAGGTGTGAGCCACCATGCCCGGCTGGGATAATATATATTTTTAAAAGAGAAAAAATTGAATAAACTGGCCAGTAGACTTTTCGTAGATGATGATTCTGGAGGGAGAGGAAGGCATATTTCTCATGGAACCTTGAACTTATGCCAGATATCATGCTCTGCACATCACAGTCATGATCAGTCGGCTCAAGGTAGGAGCCATGTGTTGAATTACCTAATAGATATGAAGTCGTGTTAGGTGCAGAAAAAAACAAATAAATATAAATTAATAAGACAAACTCCACATGAGACATCAGGGAAAACACAGTCTTCAAAATACTTCTATGGACAGGTAATAATATATCCTTATAGAAAATAAATGATATCCCTGAGGCCACATTTAATAAATGAAAAGTCCAAGAAAACCAGACCTGTCCATGTCCACAAACCTGTATTTGGCAACTCAATTACCAACACCCAAAGAAATACATAAGTAGGATGAATCTGTTCTAGTTTACTCAATAGAAATCTTCTGGCGGGAAAAAACAAACAAAACTATATTTCTTTATTTCTGATTAAATACATAGGTAACAGGAAGTAATAAATTTTTTGTCCAGATATCCAAATAGTGGGATTTGAAAAAGTAGCTAATAGATTAATTAGCGGTGAAGTTCCTAAAGAAGATAAGTGAGGTTTATTTTGACATCCATTTAAGTTTGTTTATTTTTTATTGTTTTTTTTCCTCTTTTTTTTTCCTTTTGGTTTGTTTTCTGAGAATGGTGTTGGGGTAGCTCAGTTTCAGTTTAAAAGAAAGAAAGCACCAGACAGGCAAGGAGTAGCCTGGTTAGTACCCCTGAGGAAAGAGAGGGTAAGAGGTGGTTTTCGTCAGGGAGGTTGATAAAGAAGAGGATATGCAAAACATTCTATCTTTCTGAGTTTCACAAAATCAAGAGCTTCCACAGGAAAACTGAAAAGCAGATCCTCTTGGGAACTCCTTCTTTTATAACCAAAATATGAAGCCTTTCAGGAACACTAAAGATTCACGAATGTAGGAGAAAAATACAGCATAAACTTTCTTTTGGAAAAGTTCCTTTTTCTCCTACAATCTTTTATCTTTCTCCAATAATATGCAGGCATTATCTGCTTCCCTTAGTTTCTCCAAGTCTCGCCTCCTCAATGATTTCAGTGAGAGCCTTCTCCCCAGGAGTCAGAATAAATTCTTTGAACTATTTTTCTCTTTCATATTCACCCTGCACACTGCATTTAGATATGTCTTCCTAAGTCTTTTTACATACATCAAATGCTGATACTGGTTCTCATAACTGTTGTCACTTCAACCAGTAACTTTTCTTTTGCTAGATATAAATCTAGCACTGCACTGAAATTGATGTCATGCTTAAAGTTATTAATTCACAGACATAAGTAGATTGGAAAAAAAAAGGAAGGTGGCAGATTTTTCTGTACTATTATTAAACAATAGTCAACAGAAGCCAAAGAGAGCTGTTATTACAATGATGCATAAGCATGTTCTAGTCTTTTCTGCCTTCCAGGGCACTTGTTCAATCAATTAGCTGGATTTTTTTCTTCTGTCTTAACAGTTTCAACTCTGTTGTTTCCTTTCCCTCTATTTCCATATATGCTCAGATATTCAAATCTTTAAAAAATAATAATTTTTAGGATCTGAGGCTATTTCACACTCTTTTTCTTCATTTCTACTGCTTTGCTGATAAACTTTTAGAATGGAAGTTATCATTTATGTCTGTAAGTCCTTCACCTTTAATTGCTTTTTACTATTGTAGCCTAAGATTTAAAAATAATCAATGCCTTACCCCACACTTTCCACCAACAAATTCAACCATCTCTAGTCAACCACTTTTCCTTCTCTACTTACTTCTCCTATTTACTTCTTAATGCCACATAATAAATATTACTTGATTTTCTAATATTAGACAATATCTAGTATCTTCCAAATACAAAAGAGAAACATATATCTCTCTTATATTAGTGTCCCTTTTCCCCCAAAACATATGGTACCTTTGTTCTCCTTGTAATGTTAGGTAAAAATTTACCATAAAATTATTATTCAGTATTAACATTATTTTACTAATAAGTAATGTTCAATGCAGACCTATATTGGATAAGATAATTAAAATTTCCTTCTTGCCCATCATTTTTTTCTGAAGTTACTAATTACCTCATATTTTTTTAAATTCAGGGGATACATGTGCACGTTTGTTACATGGCTATACTGCAGGTTGCTGCTGAGGTTTGGGCTTCTAAAGATTCCATCACCCGAGTAGCAAACATAGTACCCAATGGGTAGTTTTTCAACTTTTTCCCCCTCCTTCCCTACCCTCTTTTGGAGTTTACAGTGTCTATTGATCCTGTCTTTGTGCCTGGTATACCCAATGTTTAGCTCCCACTTATAAGTGATAACATGTAGTATTTGGCTCTCTGTTTTTGCATGAATTCACTTAAGGTAATGGCCACCAGATGCATCCATGTTTCTGCTGAGGACATAATCGTATTATTTTTTATAGCTGCATGGTATTCAATGGTGTATATGCACCACATTTCCTTTATTGAATCCACTGCCATTGGGCACCTGGGTTGATTCCATATCTTTGATATTGTGAATGGTGCTGAAATGAACATATCAGTGCAGGTGTCTTTTTAGTAGAAAGAATTATTTTCCTTTGAGTTACGTAGCTACCCATCAATAATGAATGAATATGAGAATATAAAAGGTTTCTCCTAATATGGTCAGGTACATGAAGTAATGGATGCATTCCTTTTTTCCTATATAAATATCTTGAGAAACCCTTTACCTTCTTACTCTAATTGTATGGGCTGCCCCTTTCCTATTTGGGGACATTTTCTTGGCTCTTAAGAGTGGGAACTTCATTATTTCTCTCCTTTGTCAAGTTTCCCTTTCCTAGTTCCTATGTCTTTCTTCTTCCCTCCCTTCCAAGTTTTCCCTTCTTCCCTCCCTTTTTTTCCTTTCTTCCATCATTCCTTCCTCCCTGTTTAATTTATCATCTTTGGAACACATCTTGTGGTAACTTTCTGATATATGAAGGGTAGATTTTTGAGGCATCCCACTTTTGGAAAAAAAGTTCTTACCTAACATACATAATTGAAATTTAGCTGAATATATCATAATGGGTTGAAAATAATTTTCCCTTAGAATGTTGATGAAATTCTTCTATTTTCTTTTATCTTCTAGTATTTCTGTTGAGAAGTCTAAGGCCAATCTAATTCCTGATCTCTATCTTTACTAACCTGAAAGATTATTGTTTACTGAAACAAACTTTGTTTTCCTCTCTGTTTTTCTATTTTGGACTCTTCAGTGGGCGATTTTGCTAAATTACCTATTGAATCATGACATCTTTCATTTGTCAAAATCAAGTATTCTGAGAATAATGTGCACACTTCTTGGCATTTTTGCATAATTATTTATACTTTACCCACCATCCTCATCTCTTCACAATGAAGTCTTGCACTCAATGTCTTGAAATAGTATAAACCTTATTTCAGTTAGCTGAATATATTATGTTCTCATAAACATGTTGGCTTTCTTACATATTTTTTTGTGGTATACCCTTTGCATTCACTCTTACCTTTAACTTTCATCCTTCAGGTTCTAGACTTAGTAACTTAGCTTTGTTTAGGGCTCCACATACATCTCTAAACCAGAAACTAATACATTCGATCATATTTTTCTGTTTCTGTCTCCATGTCTTTCGGTCAGTTGACCATTTCTTTAGATAAAGACTGTGACTTGTTTAGGATGTTCACCCAAGTCCTAGATAAAGGCCTGACATCAATAAATACTTTCTTTTAATTAAGTGGATTCCATTGGTACAAATCATATTTTTATTCAAGTCATGCTTCACATGCAATAACTTCCTTGAATTGTGAACTTCTATCATTTTCATTTTAAATTCTTGCAATGTTTTAAACATTATTTGCATCTATCACATTTTTCCTTGTGGTTAACCTACTTTTGAATACACGTAACTAATTAGCAAACATGATTTTTGTTTGTTTGCCTAGCATAAAGTTTTGTACCTAACAGTCATACACTGAGAAGATCAGAAAGAAATAATAGGAGGTGGTAAATAAGACATTTCTCTTATTTAACCTCCAACTTATTATCATTCTTTAGGGAACTTCATGAGGATCAATGTAAAAAGATTTAGAGTAATTATCAGTGGCACTCTAAAGTTGTCTGCATACAAATAGGACACTAATAAATCAGGTGTGTGTGACTCAAAGAAAGTAATTATTAGTAAATTTGTCTGTCAAATATATTTCATTTAAAATTTTCTGACTCCAATTAATTTCATTTCAACATGCAGAAATAATCCCAAGAAGCTTATTACTCATTCTGAAGAAACAGATGCTGTAAAAACCAAGAATAGTGGAATAAAATCTTTTTGTTAAATAAGACATCTAGCAAAAGATATTCCCTTCCATCTGTGGTCTAATTATCAAGAGATTCCAGGATATTAGACTTCTAGACTGGCATCATATTTTTTAATTACTGAGGAAAGAAAAAGGAACTAAAAAATCTTCCAGTTTTTAAAAGCACTATTTTAACTGTTATTTTTTAAAAAGTCCAAAAAAATAAGATGAAGTAAAACTTCATTCAGATTTTATGTTCTAAACCTGAAATTCTCTAGGTACAAAATGTTAGGACTCGTATTTGAACTTAACAATATTTGTTTAAATAACTCCCTTTCTCACCACAAAGATAATGTATCTCTATGAATTCTGTAAGGTTTTGTCAAGCCTTAAACAATCAATTGATATGTGGAAAGTTTCAATAAAAGTTCGTTATTCTCTAAAGTAGACTAGAATATGAATTGAAAATAACCTCCTTGTAAAATATATATTTGCTTTCCCTGATAGAGAATTACAAAGAGGAGAAAGCCCTTGAGAAGTTTCATATCACGCTAATACAGAAAATGCAGTGTAGAGGTTAGAGGAGTAGATGCTGGATTTCACTGAAAGGGATCTAGTCCCATAGACACCAGGGTTAGTCGTAAACTTCCCTGCCTCATATTCTCCTCATCCTGTAACAGAAAAAGGTAGCACTATGTACTGCATAGGACTTTTAGCAATGTTACATAGGTAGTAAGGAGAGTCTATGAGGCAGCAATTACCCTTTTAGTATTTGGCCACCCTTGCGGGTGGATGCCATCAGGCAGATGTGGGCCTCTGCAGAGTGATTTAGGCTCAATATTTAGGCTTCATATCTAGACACAGATAACCACTTAAGATGTGATCCTGACCAATAGGCATCCCGTTGTATTCTTATATATGCTAATTTGGTATACTACATTAACAGAATGAAAAATAAGAATCATATAATCATCTCAACAGATGCAGAAAAAGCATTTGACAAAATTCAACACCTTTTCATGATAAAAATTCTCAATAAACTAGGAATAGAAGAAAATTACCTCAACTTAATAAAGGTCATATGTAAAAAGCCCACAGCTATCATCATATTGAAGATGAAAAACTGAAAGCTCTGCTTCCAAGATCAGGAACAAAGCACAGATATCCACTCTCATCACTTTATTCAAGATAGTACTAAAAATACTACCCAGAGAATCAGTAAAGAGAAATAAATAAAAGACATTCACACTGGAAAGGGGAAAGTAAAATTGTCCCTGTTTGCCAATGACATGATCTTATATACAGAAAACCCTAATGACTCCAACAAGAAATTGTTAAAATGAATAAACAAATGCAGTAGAGTTACAAGATACAAAATCAAGTACACAAAGCAAAGTAATAAACTTAATACAACATATATAGAGGTTTCTGAAAAACACACAATGAACTTAGTGAGTGTACCTTCCTAGGTTAAAAACTACTAAGAAAAGGCTGGGCATGGTGGCTCACAACTGTTAATCCCAGCAATTTGGGAGACTGAGGCAGATGGGTCACGAGGTCAGCAGTTCGAGACCAGCCTGGCCAACATGGTGAAACCCCGTCTCTACAAAAAATACAAAAATTAGCTAGGCATGGTGGCATATGCGTGTAATCCCAGCTACTAGGGAGGCTGAGGCAGGAGAATACTTGAACCCGGAAGTCAGAGGTTGCAGTGAGCCAAGATCGCACCACTGCATTCCAGTCTGGGCGACAGAGTGAGACTCCGTCTCAAAAACAAACAAACAAACAAACAAACAAACAAAAATTACTAAGAAAAGAAAGCCTTTCCTCACCATCTTGGAATCATCATGACAACACCAAAGACATTTGTATTTCTTATTTCTTTATACCAGTGAGTCTGTCACAGGGAAATGTGCTTCTCACATGCTTTACTGGTAGATTTTAAAAAAAGAAAAAAAAAGAAAATTAAAAAAAAGAGTATCTTTTTTCTTTGTGTTATTTATTTATTTATTTATTTTTGAGACAGGGTCTCCACTCTGTCACCCAGGCAGGAGTGCAATGGAACGATATCAGCTCACTGCAACCTCTGCCTCCTGGGTTCAAGGGATTCTCCTGACTCAGCCTCCTGAGTAGCTGGGATTACAGGTGCCCACCCCCATGCACAGCTAATTTTTGTATTTTTAGTAGAGACAGGGTTTCGCCATGTTGGCCAGTCTGGTCTCGAACTCCTGACCTCAGGTGATTCGCCCACCTCAGCCTCCAAAAGTGCTAGGATTACAGACGTAAGCTACCATGCCCATCGCTAGTATTTTTTTTTTTCTAAAAACATGCTAAAAGTGTTTAAGTCCTGAGAGGAGTATATAAAACCATGTTTAATCCATAAGAAAACAAAATATTGCGTATATCAGCAATAGTATCATCTTGTTTTATTTTTATAGTTTACTTTTAAGTACTTTACATTTTTACATTTTATAGATAAAGTATAATCTGACCTACAAACCACTATTTAACATTTTATATACAAATATATGTCAAAATTCCAATAAAATAAAAATGTATTATTTTTTGCTTTCATTTAATACATGCGATTTATATATATAATTTTATTTTATTTGCTTATCCTTTTTCATAGAGTTATTTTAAGAGATATACAAAATACACAAAATACAGCAAGAGGTACTAATTAGAAGACAACATTTTTCACTTAAAATATCTTTTGTCTTTATACGTATTTTATCTTATCCTAATGTATACTTTGCACATACTCTTACTTTTAACTTCTAGCCATCATTCAGGTTGTAATAGAAGTTTGGAACCTCAGCCTTGTACTAGAGCACCACATATATTTCTGAACTGAAAACTAAAACACTATGTTGGTGGAGGCTCCATCACCTTTTCAACAAAAATATGAAGAAAAATGTAAAAGATACAACTCACAACATAATTAAAATCTAAAATTCTAATAAAATATCCTTTCAGAATTTGGAAAACATTCCAATAATTATAATTCTAAGTGCAGTGGGGCTGTGTTGGAAAATTGAGAAATTTATTGATACCTATTTCGTGGCCTACCCAGTTTTTAAGTCCAAAAAGAAAAGCCTCCTGCTTGGTCTGTATCCAATAGAAAGTCATTTCTCTATCAGATTGATGCCACTCTTTTAGGTAGACAAAAACACTGTTTCTTCAACTCAGTTTTAGTCATCATTGCACACTGAGTTACATAATATAGTAGCATACTCTTTCTAATAAACCCTCTTTCTGGTAGAAATAAAAAGAAATTTATTTGCAACTTCAGCAAAGCCTCAGGATACAAAATGAATGTCCAAAAATCACAAGCGTTTCTATACACCAATAGACAAGCAGAGAGCCAAATCATGAATGAACTCATGTTCACAACTGCTACAAAGATAACAAAATACCTAGGAATACAGCTAACAAGCGATGTGAAGGACCTCTTCAAGGAAAACTACAAACCACTGCTCAAGGAAATAAGAGAGGACACAAACAAATGGAAAAACGTTCCATCCTCATGGATAAGAAGAATCAGTATCATGAAAATGACCATACTGCCCAAAGTAATTTATAGATTCAGTGCTATTTCCATCATACTACCATTGATATTCTTCAAAGAATTGGAAAGAAAAAACCACTTTAAATTTTATATGGAATCAAAGAAGATCCCATATAGCCAAGACAATCCTAAGCAAAAAGAAAAAAGCTGGAGGCATCACACTACCTGACTTCAAACCAAACTACAAGGCTACAGTAACCAAAATAGCATGGTTCTGGTACTAAAACAGACATATAGAGCAATGGAACAGAACAGAGCCCTCAGAAATAACAACACACATCTACAACCATCTGATCTTTGACAAACCTGAAAAAAGCAAGCAATGGGGAAAGAATCTCCCATTCAATAAATAGTGCTGGGAAAACTGGCTAGCCATATTCAGAAAACTGAAACTGTTCCTTTTCCTTACACTGTACACAAAAATTAACTCAAGATGGATTAAAGGCTTAAATTTAAAACCCAAAACCATAAAAACCTAAAAGAAAACCCAGGCAATACCATTCAGGACATAGACATGGGCAAAGACTTCATAATGAAAATGCCAAAAACAATTGCAATAAAAGCCAAAATTGACAAATTAGATCTAATTAAACTAAAGAGCTTCTGCACAGCAAAAGAAACTATCATCAGAGAGAACAGGCAACCTACAGAATGAGAGAAAATCTTTGCAATCTACCATCTGCCAAAGGTCTAATATCCATAATTTACAAGGAACTTGAACATATTTACAAGAAAAAACAACCCCATCACAAAGTGGGCAAAGTATATGAACAGACGCTTCTCAAAAAAAGACATTTATGCAGCCAACAAACATATGAAAAAAAGCTCAACATAACTGATCATTAGAGAAATGCAAGTTAAAATCACAATGAGATACCATCTCACGCCAGTCAGAATGGTGGTTTATTAAAAATTCAAGAAACAATAGCTGTTGGAGAGGCCGTGAAGAAATACAAATGTTTTACACTGTTGGTGGGAATGTAAGTTAGTTCAACCATTGTAGAAAACAGTCTGATTATTCCTAAAGGATCCAGAACCAGAAATACCATTTGACCCAGCAATCCCATTACTGGGTATATACTCAAAGAAATATAAATCATTATACTATAAAGACGCATGCACCTGCATTTTTATTGCAGCACTATTTACAATAGCAAAGTCATAGAACCAACACAAATACTCATCAATAATAGACTGAATAAAGAAAATTTGGTACAAATACACCATGAAATACTACACAGCCATAAAAAGGGATGAGATCATGTCCTTTGCAGGGACATGGACGAAGCTGGAAGCCATCAAGCTCAGCAAACCAACACAGGAACAGAAAACCAAACACAGCTTGTTCTCACTAGTAAGTGGGAGTTGAACAATGAGAACAGATGGACTCAGGGAGGGGAACATCACACATCTGGGCTTGTTGGGGTGTAGGAGATGAGTGGAGGGAACTTAGAAGATAGGTTAATAGGTGCAGCAAACCACCACAGCACACGTATACCTATGTAACAAACCTGCACATTCTGAACATGTATCCCAGAACTTAAAGTATAAATAAATAAACAAAACTACAATAATCAAGCAAGTATGTTAACGGCTTATGGGTGGATATATGTATCAAAGTAACAGAACCGAGTCCAGAAATAGATACACATACATATGTGGTCAACTGATTTTCAATAAAATCAAGGTAATTCAATAGGGAAAAATATTATTTTCAATTAATAATTCTGGAGTATCTAGATATTCAGTTGGGGATAGCCCAAAATTTTCTCACACTGAGATTATAGTTATGAATTTGGGATATCAATATATGAATGCTATAGATGTGGCACTCTGTTCTCAGTGCATTCTAATAGAAAACCCATGAGGCCAATATGTCCTATCACCTTGATAGTTGGTGTAAGTGGTGTCTGCTGAGTCTATCCACTATAGTTATATATATATACATATATATATACACACACATATATATATATACATACATTTCACGTATTTTCTAGCTTTAATTGCTAAGGCTAGAATCAATGAGTAAACTCAGGACTCAGGTTCTGTCTCTAAACACCATTATCTAATGAAAGGTGCCATATATATATATATATATATATATATATATATATATATATATATATATATATATGCTGGTATGTGCTTGTCTTTAATAAGTACCTTGTGGGGAGACACTTTGATAAATATAAGTTTCTCATTACACTTTCTCCAAAGAATTTTGACACCCATTAGATTTTGCTGATAACATATACTACTGAAGTGTTTTCCTCATGGTGACCTATTACCTTCATTAATTCTACTTGTAGTAATTGAAATTTCACTCTAAGGAAGAGTTGTTCTGTCTTATCAATTTATTTATTTATTCATTCACTCAGTTGAGTATGGGTTAAATTATATTTATATTATTTTATAGATTATAACTAATATTTTCATGATTTCAGCTCCCAGCATTCCATTTTTGCCATGAGAAACTCTCTCAGTGTCGCTCTTGTGTCCTTTCAACATGCCCCATAGTTTATAAGCACTTTCCTACTTTCTGACACCACAAAATGTTACAGGTTCCTCTTGGACTTTTCCTGCCCTGGCGCTGGAATTAAACGTCTTCAAGGAGTCCCGGCACCTTTCATTAGATGATGGTGTTTAGAGACAGAACCTGAGTCCTGAGTTTACTCATTGATTCTAGTCTTAGCAGTTAAAGCTAGAAAATATATGTATATATACTACCATACATATACATACATGTATTTGATTTGTGCATCTCTCCAACATTTATATGAACGATTACCTCTAATCCTAGTGAAACACCATAGGGTTCATTCTAATCTTCCACCCTTCTATTTGTTTTCTTGGCAGTGAGAAACCTGTCTCTCATTAGCCACAATACATTTTCTTATTTATTGAACCCAAGTGCACACATAAATTGGTTTCAGAATTGCTAACTCATATTCCTGTGAGGATCAAATTTTCTAACTACAGTACATATTTATATTTCACTTTGTGTTTGACTTTACAATATGGTAAAAATATTGTTTTCTAGCATCACTTAGGTTAGTCTTCTTTTTTCCCAACTCGTTGAGTGTAGTTATGTTATTCATTCATAAACAGTTAGGTTATGTGTTACTGTTTGTATTCCATTTTAGTCCTTCCTCCATATACTGGTTGATTGTTGTTATTTATTTACTTTGGGATATATGACACAATACCATGGTACTAGCAGAGGCATAAGAGTCCAAGAAATGTCCTAAGAAGTGTCTGTCCTCTCAGATGCCTATTACCCCATTCCTTTTCCCACAATTTCTACCCAGTGCCCACCAACTCTCTGTAGTAATCAACCCTACTAGTTTGTAATATTTATTTATTGTATTCTCTTGCACAATGTCTCTCAACAATAATTTGTAGGTCTTGATTATCTTGAGTCAAATGTATTTCTAGATATTTTGCATAACAGAACATTTAAAACATTGTTTTGGAACGTTTACATTGTAGTAGAGAGAAATTCAATTGATTTTAAATACCAGTCTCTATCTTTAATAGGTATATATTCCCTTGCTAAAATCACATAAAATTCTTGTAACTATTTTATAGATGGCTTAGAAGTGTCAATTTTCACAGTTACATCACCTGCAAATAAAGATTTTGCATTTTCCTTTCTAATCTGTATGTCTTTGATTTTCTTGCTTCGTTGCACTACCTGAAATTTGTAATAAATCACTTAATAGAAATGGTAAAGGTAGATCTCTTTATCTTGAGGCAGCTCTGGATTCTGTTTTGTTCTCCTAAATTGTCTTAGTTCGTTCTTGCTGCTACAACAAAATACAGCAGAGTAGGTAATTTATAAACAATAGACATTTATTTGCTAACGGTTCTGGAGGCTAGTAAATCCAGGATCAAGGTGCCAGCAGATTTGGAAAATGGTGAAGCTGCCCTGCTTCTGAGAATGATGGCTTGTTTCTGTGCACGCTGGAAGGGAAGAATGATGTGTTCTTACATGAGAAAAGAGATGGAATTGTACACAGAGCCCAGCTAGTTCCCTCCAGCTCTTTTATAAAGTCACTAATCTCATTTGTTATGGCCCACCCTCCTGACTCAATCACCTCCTAAAGGCCCCATCTCTAAATAGTACCACTTTGATGATTAAGTTCAACACGTAAATTTGAGGCGGGGCACACATTGAGACCATAGGATAAGTGTTGTTGATTTTCTTTTTGAAAAAAAAAAAAAACTTTAATGTTAATTCCAGGGGTATATGTGCACATTTGTTACATAGGTAAGCATGTGTCATGGAGATTTGTTGTATAGATTATTTCATCATGCAGGTATTAAGGCTAGTACTCATTAGTTATTTTTCCTGATCCTCTCCCTCCTCCCACACTCCATCCTCCATGAGGCCCCAGTGTGTGTTGTTCCCTCTATGGGTCCGTGAGTTCTTATCATTTATCTTCCACTTATAAGTGAGAACATGTTGTGTGTGGTTTTCTGTTCCTTAATAAATTTGCTAAGGATAATGGCCTTCAGCTCTATCCGTGTTCCTGCAAATGACATGATCTTGTTCTTTTTTTTCCATGGTGTATATGTACCACATTTCTTTATCCAGTCTATCATTGATGGGTATTTAGGTTGATTCCATGTCTTAGCTATTATGAATAGTGCTGCAATGAACATATGTGTGCATGTATCTTTTAACATAACTAGTTATATTTCTTTTCTTTTTTTTTTTTTTTGAGACCGAGTCTTGCTCTGTTGCCCAGGCTGGAGTGCAGTGGCACAATCTTGGCGGCTAATTTTTTGTATTTTTAGTAGAGACAGTGTTTCCCCGCGTTAGCCAGGATGGTCTCGATCTCCTGACCTCGTGATCCGCCCACCTTGGTCTCCCAGAGTGCTGGGATTACAGGTGTGAGCCACCGCGCCTGGCCACTAGTTACATTTATTTGGATATATACCTAGTAATGGGATTGCCAGGTTGAACAGTATTTCTGTCTTTAGGTCTCCGAGGAATCACCACCCAAACTAATTTACACTCCCACCAACAGTGTATAAGTATTGCTTCTTCTCCACAACGTCACCAGCATCTGTTATTTTTGACTTATTAATTATTTTCCTTTTGGTTAAGCAATAATCATGCCTGAATTCCCAACATGAAATCTCTTTCCCCACAATGTACAACTACTGGTTGCTTTGTTTTATTTTGTTTTGCATAAGCCTGCCATCCCTAGGTGTCTGCATTTTGTCTGAATAGGTTAGTGGAAAATCACTTAAGCAGTGGTATGTTAAGATAATTTATGCCATCTTGTAAGATTTACACTCTCTGCCCCCTATGCTGATTGTGGGTTGAAGGTGCAGCAAAATTGCAAATTTCCTCAGGCTTCCAGTTTTCTCTAGGTATTTGGGGTTTCTGGCATGCATTTGTAACTTACCAGTCAACCAGAGATGTAGAGACAGCTTATCAACTCAATCTATCTATGGCCCTCTTGCTTCCAAAATAATTTTTTAGTGGCTCTACCATTCACCCCAAAAGGGATCTCTACCCTTCATCCAGAAAAAACGGGCAGATTTTTGTAGCCTGAGGTGGAGGTAAACCTGAGTTAGCAAAATAGGAATGCATTCAGGCTAGCAAGCCACAAACTTTCCACTAGCAGTTTTCATTTGTAAGCACTTCTCAACTTCTCATCTTTAGTTGATTTCTAGTGCACTGAAATGTTTCTTTCAAATAAGTGTGTGCAGTTTCATACTTTTTTTAAGGAGTTTGCTTTAATTCCACACACTTTCATTTCCAGGACCTGCAAACTACTTAACAGAATATAGAAAAATATCATTATAGCCTCAAAGTAGCAAATGTTTCTTAAATAGGAAAAAATGCTAACTATAAATGAAAAAAAAAGATACATTGGACCATTTTAAGTCTAAGAATTTTTGTTCATTAGTAGATATTATTAAGATAATAAACAAAAGGAGAAGACAAGTGTACCATATCTAACCAAGGGCTTATTAAAATACGGTTTTCTCAAGATGGTAGAACCCCTACAAAGGGGAGGGTTGCAGTATCACAATCCCACTCAGTTGGCTCCTGAAGGACAACGAAGGGAAATCCTCTCAGTGTGCAGAACATTGAGAAACATACCTGGGTGTTTAATTTTGCCCTTTAAGGCATAATGGAATACAGATCTATGCTGATTCACTGTCTATATGGTAAGTAGTGTTCTCCAGAGAAATGAAACCAACACAGGGTGTGTGGGGAGAGAGAGATTTTTAAGGAATTAGGTTACATGACTATGAAGGCTGACAATTCCAACATTTGCAGAATGAGTCAGCACCCTGGAGACAAAAGGAAGAGCCAATTTTGCAGTTCAAGTCCGAAGGGCATATGCTGGCAGAATTCCTTCTTGCTCAGGGCACATGAGTCTTTGCTCCATTAAGACCTTTAACTGATTGGATGAGGCTCATTCACATCATCACAGACGATCTGCTTTACTCAAAGTCCACTTATTTAAATATTAAACTCATCCACAAATCTCCCTTACAGAAATATCCAGAATAATATTTGACTAAATATCTGGGCATTGTGGCCCAGCTATGTTGACACATAAAATTAGCCATCACAATAAGAGACACAAAGGTGACATAATTAAAAATTTGGTAAAAAAAAAAAACACTTTTGAGAAAAGGATATTTTCTTTGACTTTTAAGAGTGGGTACGAAGATATCTGTGTCCAGGGTGTTACATACACAATGGGTGGGTTTAGTCACTTGGCAGGTGACAGCCCAATGACTGCAATCGAGGAGGATTTGACAAGTAGGGAGAACACCTGAGATAGTTCCCAAGGCAGTGCCTCTCTGGACAAAGGTCATAGCAGAGCTTTTGTTGCACTGGTTAGCTGAGTTATTCTATGTAAAGGCTGGGCAAAGGCCACATAGGCATAGTTCTCGATCATGGTTCTTCATACATCACGTCTATTGAAAATGGCCAACAAGCTACTCCCTGGGCAGAGTTTTTAGTATGTTAATGTGGAGAGATTACCAAATTTCATCTCCAACTCAGGCATCTCTGGATCAAATGGGTTTTCATTTTGCTGGAGCTAGATTTCTTCCTGGGACTATTTGAAACAACAGAAACGCAAGTTGTCACAGTTACATGTCGGTACTTTTTTACAGTGTGTACTCCAAAATCTGGGGTCTCTGAGATATGACAGGAAAGCTCTCAAATGGCATTCCTGCTGAGGAGGCTCTTGGTAATCTTGAAGCAGCATCCCCTAGGGCAAATGACAGTCAACAGTGGCAAGTTTATTTAATTGGAATGCTTTGTAACATACGGTGCAGCAGCTTATCCTCACTGGACTACAAATTTTCTACAGATACGAATTTTTCTTCCTGCCCATTCAGTACTTGAAGGATATTTCATTTATCACCATTGTTTTCCAAATAGCATTACTTCTGACCAAGGAGCTTATATTGTGATGGAGTAAGGCACTAGACTCATGCCCATTAATTTACTAATGTTACTAATGTCTCCTTACCCCAATAAACTGGCATAAATAGTACAAGAGTGGAAGAGCTTTTGAAGGTCAAGTCCTGGTGTGATCTGGGTGGCGACAGCCTAGAGACTAAGAATGTCTTTATCTGTATGAGGTTAATCTACTTAATTTTAGGCAGAAGCATGGTTCTGATCCTTTCATTACTAAATTAAATATTGGTAAAAGTGGCATGAATGAGGCCAGGCGTGGTGGCTCACTCCTGTAAACCCAGCACTTTGGGAGGTCAAGGCAGGCAGATCACGAGGTCAGGAGTTCAAGACCAGCCTGACCAATATGGTGAAACCCCGTCTAAGTAAAAATACAAAAATTACCCAGGCATGGTGGTGCGTGCCTGTAATCTGAGCTACTCAGGAGGCTGAGGCAGGAGAATCACTTGAACCTGGAAGGTGGAGGTTGCAGTGAGCCAAGATCATGCCACTGTACTCCAGCCTGGGTGACAGAGTGAGACTCCATCTCCAACAACAACAACAACAACAACAACAAAGTGGCATGAATGAACACTGACTTAGTAAATGAACAGGCAAGGTTTGGTTCTCTGTTCTTGAAGCATCTTTATTGTAATTCCCCTTCTCTACTTTTTATGCTATTCATAAGGAAAACTCAAAATCATATTCCCAGTGTCCTTTTCCCCAGAAAGTTTCTAGTCAGTTTGTTAACAAGATGCAGTCAGATAAGACTTGGAGGCAGCAGACTTTGGGGAGGTTACTGTTAGCTGGAGGCAACTGCACACTTGTGAGAGAGTAGACTGCTGTTTTGGGAGAGTTCTAGGTTACTCTGGAGAAGCACCTGTTTAAATGTTTATGACTGATATTATGGGTGAGAGGCTCCGTCTCCTCTGCTCCACCAGCTCTTGCAAATGTTGTATTAAATCCTCCTTTGCTATATTAAAGTCCTTATGCTTATAATAAATAGCATCAGTTCTGATTTTTTCTCTTATGAGTATTTTCCTATACTTTGCTATATTTAGGTCCTTATGCTTATAATAGTGTCAGTCGTGATCTTTTTCTCTTATGAGTATTTTTCCTATACTTAAAAAATATTTGTTATTGGTTTTTACTGCATATAAGTAAATATATGTTAATAAATAACAAAATGACTATCAGTTATTTTTGGCACAAGTTAGTATTTACTGAGATTTTATTATGTGCCAGGAATAATGCTAAGGGCTTTAAATATATTGTTTCAGTTCATTCTCACAATACAGTTCTCTTTTACAGAGGGGTCTGCATTTTTAAAATTAATTAATTAATTTCAATTTTTGAAAAAAATTTCAATGGCTTTTAGCGTACAACTGTCTTCTGGTTACATGGATGAATTGCAGATTGGTAAAGTTTGAGATTTCAGTGCCCCTATCACCTGAGTAGTGTACATTGTGCCCAATATGTAGTTCTTTATCCCTCACCCCTCTCCCAACTTCCCATTTCTGAGTCTCTAATATCCACTGTACCACTCTGTATGCATTTGCATACCCCAAGCTTAGCTCACACTTATAAGTGAGAGCATATGATATTTGATTTTCCATTCTTGAGTAATTTCACTTAGAATAATGGCCTTAAGCTCCATCCAAGTTGCCGCAAAAGACATTATTTCATTCTTTGTTACAACTGGGTATATATAAATATGTGGCTTTATTTCTGGGTTGTCTATTGTGTTCCATTATTCTATGTGCCCATTTTTGTACCAGTACCATGACATTTTGGTAACTTTAGACTTGTAGTATAATTTGAGGTCAGGTAATGTGATACCTCCACTTTCTATGATACTTACATTAAAATCACTGTATATATGCGTATACACATATATATATGTATGCCACATTTTCTTTATTCACTCATTGGTTGATGGGCAGTTAGCATGGTTCCATGTCTTTGCAACTGTGAATTGTGCTGTAATAAACATACATCTGCAGGTGTCTTTTTGATACAATGACTTATTTTGGGGGGTTAGATACCTAGCAGTGGATTGCCAAATCAAATGACAATCTACTTTTAGTTCCTTAAGAAATCTTTACACTGTTTTCCCTGGAGGTTGTACTAATTTACATATCCACCAGCAATGTATAAGCGTTCCCCTTTCACCACATCTATGATATCTATTGTTTTCTGACTTTTTAATAATCGTCATTCTTGCAGGGGTAAGTTGGTATCTTATTGTGGTCTTAATTTTCATTTCCCTGATGATTAGTGATGTCGAGGTTTTTTTTAGTGCTTGTTGGTCATTTCTGTATCTTGCTTTGAGAAGATACAGAATATCTTCTCTCTACAGATATCTTCTCTACAGAAGATACAAAATAATCATGTCATTTGCCCATTCTTTGATGGGATTATTTGTTTTTCTCTTGCTGATTTGTTAAGTTCTTTGTAGATTACGAATATTAGTCCTTGGTCAGATGCATAGTTTGCAAATATTTTCTCCCATTCTGTTGGTTGTCTGTTTGCTCTGCTGATTATTATTATTTTTTTGCTGTGCAAAAGTTTTTAGTTTGATTATATTCTATTTATTTATGGTTGTCCTTATTGCATTTGCTTTTCAGATCTTAGTCATAAATTATTTGCCTAGGCCAATGTCCAGAAAAAGGTTTTTCTAAATTTTTTCTAGAATTTCTATGTTTTCATGTATTACATTTAAATCTTCAATCCCTCTTGAGTTGATCTTTGTATAAGGTGAGAGACAGGAATTCAGTTTCATTCTTCTGCATGTGGCTACCAAGTTTTCCCAGCACCATTTATTACACAGGGTGTCTTTCCCCCAATTTATGTTTTTGTACGCTTTGTTGAAGATCGTGTCTTTTGCAGGAACATGGATGGAGCTGGAAGATATCATTAGCAAACTAACACAGGAACAGGAAACCAAATACTGCATGGTCTCACTTACAAGTGGGAGCTAAATGATAGGAACTCATGAACACAAAGTAAGGAACAAAAGATACTGAGGTCTACTTGAGGGTGGAGAGAGGGAGAAGGGAGAGGAGCAGAAAAAGTAACTATTGGGTACTAAGCTTAATACCTGGTGATGAAATAATCTGTTCAACAAACCCCCATTACAAGAGTTTACCTATCTAACAAACTTTCACATGTACCCTTGAACCTAAAATAAAGGTTGAAAAAAATAAAGGTCAATTGGTTATAAACATGTGGCTTTATTTCTGGGTTGTCTATTCAGTTCTATTGTTCTATGTGCCCATTTTTATACCAGTACCATGCCGTTTTGGTAACTTTAGACTTGCAGTATAATTTGAGGTCAGGTAATGTGATACCTCCACTTTTTGTGGTACTTACATTAAAATCACTGTATTGAAAATGTCTCTCCCAAATGAGGAGAAGGGTGGATGGAGACTACCATATCTAGTCTTCTCTAATAAGCCCATTGGTATTCAAAATCCTCTAAAAATTTTTGGTTGAGATCTTAAAAAATTTCTAAATAATAATCCCTAGTAATTTTCTGGTTTACTCCTTTATTTTGGCTACAGAAGAATTAGAAAGCACAATTTTATTATTTAAAGGTTTAATGGAGATGATATTTTATTATCTCAGGGGTATTGGTTTCATTTTCAACCATTGCCTTTCTCATCAGACTCAAATACTTATTTGTTTTGCCCATAAAACTAGATCAGTGATTCTCAAATAAAGGCAGTTTTCTTCCCAGGAAAACAATTGTCTAGAGAGAGTTTTCACTGCCACAATTTGGAGAAGTGGTTTGTGCCACTGGCACATAGTGGGTAGAGGATAGAGATGGTGTTAAATATCACATGATTCAACAGGAAGTCTCTACCCCCACTCAACCCTGCAACAAACGATTATTCTGTCCGAAATGTCAATGGCGCCAAAGTTAAGAAATAATAACCTAGATACTTATAAGGGTAATGTGATTATTCCTAATACAGTGATAATCAAACTGAGGCTCAGAGAAGTTAATTTATTATCTATCTAAAATTATACAATTATTAAGTGAAATAATCAGATTCTTCTTATTCTCACTATGTGGATTTCTTCTAAACCTACTATTAAGTAAAGTTGCTTTTACCAGCTGCTAAGTGAGAAAATTTTTCGAAATGTCAGACGTGACATTGTATTTAAAGTGCACAGGATATGAAACAACTAGCTACAGCTCTTGAAACTGCATGTAGTCTCACTCATAATAAAATGCTTTCTTTTCAGTGACATAGATTAATTTTCTTCTTCAGACCTACGTTTCCAAGTAAAATGATCTGGTAATTAGTGTAGAAATATTCTATATAAGTAAATAAATGTATTTTACAGCACCACTTTATCTTTGGAAAGTAACTTTTTATACATATACTTGTGTCTTACCAATAAACAACAGTAACTTTATAATAATTATTCTAAAATAGTAACAAATAAATTTAACTATATTTGATTTATAATTATATACTACACTTAAAGAGATAAAGGAAAAATTAGCTGAACTAAGTAAATTTGGAAAGGAGTACCTTGATGAGATATTGTAAAGGTAAAAGCAAAAACAATTGCATTAAAACACTGTAATCTAGTTGGTAAATGTATTTTATACAGGAATATGATTACTCATTCTTGAAGCCCTTTATACCTATACTAGGGTTGAACAAATAACTACATAAATTATCAATAACGGGAACCAGGTTTCTCACTGCAAGAGAAAGAAGTTACAAATACTCAAACAATGGAGGAAATATTGATCAAACTCTGTGGTGCTGAATTAGAGTAAAAAATATTAGCATGAACTCATTTTTATTTTAAGAAATACAGAAATAAATATAGAAACATGTATATGTGGGTTAGTATAAACATATTATTATGAATACAGATATCTATATTTCCTTCCCTGTCCTCTGAGAGGTGTATACTCCAGTTGCAATGAACACACATACCACCCAGATTTGGTTTCTAAATACCATTTTGCAATAAAAGAAACCATGGCTTTTTGAAAAAGCAGTTGGTTCTAGCGTTGGGGAAGAAAAAAAGCAAGGTAAACCTGGAGCATCATGTAGTTGCAGTAACAAAAAAGTGCTAAAAAAAAGGGTCGGGTTCAACTTGAAGGAGTTTCCAATAACCACAGATGAAAACATGTGAGCAGCAAAATGAATTATAATAGTATTGCATTAAAACCAAAGTAATAACTTTAAATAACATAGGTGAGCACACCCTGATATTAAAATGATTGAATAAATAAGTAAGAAAGAATAAATCTGTTTTACAAATGAATGTCAATGAATTAATGTTGAAGAAATTTTTAAAAGTCATCTGAACACTACAGTCATGGTTAGAGTAATAATATTAGGTTGGTGCAAAAGTAATTGCTGTTTTACTGTTACTTTCAATGAAAAAAAAAGCACAACTACTTTTCCACCAACCTAATAATGAAGATCTATGGATGGCTGCTAAAATTAGTTGGAAAAGCTTTAAGAAAAATAGGATATTTGTATAGCCCAAAATATTTATTGATTACCATGGTATATTTAATATGTTTTCACAAATATTAATGTTTTTCTACCAGCGTGTGAAACTTAACTCTCTTTTTCCTTGAATGTAGACTTTATATAGTGACTTATTCTAAGAAATAAAACATAGAAAGGGAAGCTAATGATGGTACAATTTTATAAAAGCAAATTAGCAGACATAAACTTACCTAAATAATCAAGTTAACAGCATCAGCAATAAAGCATGTTGATGCCATGTACCCCTGACATAATGCAATAAGAAGGGCATCTTGCCCTGTGATATTCTCTTTCAAGTTTCACAATGCCAGTACATTCACTAGGAAGCATCAGATGAACCCAAATTGTGGGGCGTTCTATAAAATATCCGACCAATATTTTTAAATATGTCAAGGTCATGAAAGTCAAGGAAAACACAATAAACTGCCACAGACTGGAGAAGACTAAGGAGACATGAAGTCTAAATGCAACATGATATCCTGGGTTGGATCTTGATCAGAAGAAAGCTATTAGTGAGGAAACTTGTGACATCAAATATGTGTGTAGTTTAGTTAATAGTATTGTACCAATGTTATTTTCTTGGTTTTGATAAATGTACCCCAAAATGTTAACATTTGGGGAAACTGGGTGAAGTTCACATGGGAACATTTTTCACTTTTTTCCAGTTCTCTTGAAAATGCTCTTTTCCAAAATTAAAAAAAGTTTTTTAAAATTTTGTGAATGCTTCAAACATATCTAAGTATTATAAATATAGATTAACCTTTAAAAGTTTAAGTGACTATTCTAGAAGCTTTTGTTAAACTCAACTAAAATTACATATGTATATGTATGGGTCTGTGTGTATGTGTGTGTGTACATGACTGTGTATGTGTGTCAGTCTTTGCTGAGTCTTCTTGAGAATAATTACAGAGGAATCAATTTGTAACACAGGGTGACTCTTACAGGTGATCCATTTATTCTCATCTCCAGTAGTGCAAGATCCTGAATGTTTTAAAGCCTCTGTCTCCTTTCACACTCCTGGGCATGAGAGGTGCATGCCTTCCATATTTTCTCCAACATGATCCACTGCTATCACTCTTACTTTCCCAAGAGGTTTCAGCTATGTTTATACAATCTAGAGCAGACACAAGACCCAGCAATTAGAGCTCTATGGAGGTTTATATTTATATATAATGTTGAAATTTTTTATAAACAAAAATTATTTGTATATTAAAATGTGCATCCATATTTTTACTATTGTTTAATGAATATTAGATTAGATTAGATGGGTAGATATAATAGATATAGATTTTTCACTGCTGGTTCTCAAACTTTATCATTTATCAGAATCACATGGAAAGCTTATTAATGCAGTTTCCTAGGCTCTATTCCTAGAAGTATTAATTCAGTCTTTTGGGATTAGTATGGTCCAAGAATTTGCATATCTAATAAGCTCATCGCTTACGGCAATAACTGCTGGTCCAAATATCAAAATTTGAGAACTACTAATCTAAATATCTTTCTGCAATTAGATTATTTTTTATAACATGGTGCATATATATAATGCATAGATATAAAATATTTTATATAATCTGTCAAGAGAGATTCTTATAAATATTATTTTTACTCTAATAAGTCATCTGTACATAGGTATAGGCTGGACAGCTCTATGTCAAGAGCCATTGTGGCTAACACATTGCTTATGTTAAAATATAAAAATATGATTATCATAACCCTAAAATCAATGGCATGCATGTAAAAGTCCTGTCTCTATGTATGCAGTATAAATAAGGTACCTACATGGTATGCAATTACACATACAGAGCCTCGTTTTGCTAACATATCATTGCCATTTTAAGGCAAAGCATCAGCGAACAACATTTATTACTTCAGAAGGAAAAAAGTAAATTTGAAAACACAATAGCTGAGAAGCAAAAGTAAAGGTAGTGTTCAAATTGAAAATCCAGTGACATATAGAAAACGAAAACGTCAACTACGTTAACTACCATTTATGGTATCCTATGCATATAGAATAAAAATTACCAGGCATTAAATTTCTATCAAACATATTGTCATGTTTTCTATACATATTTGAAAAATTGTATAGAAACATATCCTGCTGTTTCTACAGCACTTGTTAAAAAATGTGTAATCTAGGTTATGAAAGCAATATTAATAATTATTTTCAGACACATATGATAAAATGGGGACTTTTCTCCTTCATCACAAAGGTCTTAGATCACCAACTCCATTCACTGTTATTTTGGAGTATTCTTTATGAACTGCACACTGGTACTCTCTCACTGAATTTTAGGCTGTGTTCACAAGCAAAGGGCAAGTTGATTATTCTAGAGTGAAAACAGACACAAATGTATAATGATCTCATTTTTGTGTTCATCAGTTGCTCATCTTTGCATTAAAATTTATCACACAGAATAAATGATTTGTCTTGGACAGTACACGTAAACTGATTTACCCCCAGGTTTACTTCCTCACTTTAAACCACTGGTCTAAAGAAAGTCATCATGTTCCTCAGATAAAGAATATTTAGAATATGTGAGCCAAAACAAGCAACACATTCACTCATTGTAGTTAAAGATAATCTAAAGTATATCAACAATATTTATTGTGGAACGAACATTTTGTATAAACTGCTAAGAATTTTTACAGAATGACCATTCTGCTCTATAGGTTTATAGATTGTCTCTTTCCAAAAATTAAGCCCACTTGTTTGTTAATTTACCACACAATAAATAAACATTTTCTCTTTTAAAGCACTGCCATAGGCATAATCAAGAAGAAACTAAGGTGAATTGGCGATTCCCATCCAAACTAAGGGTCATATTGTAGATTTACAGAAGGAAATTCACAAAAACACTCAATAACTAATAAAAAATACACTAAAAGTATAAAACTTCATTTTATAAATTTTGTGTAGTTGCCTGAATGTATACATATCTGAATGTATAGGTGGTATAACTTCAAATCTGAAAGTAGATCAGTGATCAATGTTGCCTTTGAAAATGAACTGATTATTCCTGTCCTGCATCTTCAGGAACAAGACTGAGTTAATTACAGACAGAAATTATAGGATGGAAATCTGCAATGTGAAAGTTCTAAACAATGGGAACAGCCACACTAAAAAAGGAATTGTATGTAATACACACAATTTGATATGTTTAACGTATAAAGAAAAGTGATGAAATACAACTTCTAATGAGATCTGGATGGGGAGTCAGAACATGAAAAATAAAGATTAAGAATCTCAAGTAAGTAACTATACTGGCTCAGGCTTACTTTTTTACCTCATCACTTACAAGGTCTGTGAGCTTAGAAAAATCACTTCATTTCCACAATTCAGTTTTTCCATATGCTAAATGTGATAATAAAAATACCTACGTAATAAGGTTCATTTGTAAACTGTGTTACCATTTCTGGCA
Source organism: Homo sapiens (assembly GCF_000001405.40). Lineage (NCBI taxonomy): Eukaryota > Metazoa > Chordata > Mammalia > Primates > Hominidae > Homo > Homo sapiens. The sequence continues at coordinate 171,193,540 of NC_000004.12, read as the reverse complement.
TACAGGGTATATATGTATGTGTGTGTGTGTGTGTGTGTGTGTGTGTGTGTATCATGATACTCATGATACTAGAGTTAATTTTAAGCTAAAAGACATAGTGATTCAATGAAAGAATATATAGGAATCCATATTACTTCAAATAAGTTCTAGCTCACAATTTACTCCAAATTTGTAACAACCAATTTCATACAGGTACGTAAACCAGCAGAAAATAAAATTAATAGATGATAATTGAATGAGTATTCATGGTGATTTGATATTAATGAAATGTTAGGTCCTAATCTGGCTACATTATTTACTGAATTTTGCAACTTGACAAGAGATCCTAAATCCTAAATTTTGATCTGAGGGAAGTAGTTTTCTTTGTTCAAATGAACAAATTCATGATCTTTAAGTAAACATCTCAAATGCTGTGCAAATAATAGAGACTCAGTATATTTACCAAATGGATAACTGGAACCCTGAAAAATTGGGAAGATTGTATTAATTTATAGAAATAGAAGCACAAAGAACAATTAATTTGAGATTCAAAAATACATCTTTCTTTTATTTTTCCCTTTCTTAGCTGTCTTACCTTCCTTTTCTGAAAAAGTCAGATATAAACTATTAGATGGGAGAAAGCAAGATAGGCAGCCATTTTGGAGTGGGGGTAGGGAGCACAGTGGCGCTGAGCCCTGTAGGAGCCCAGGTGGACTGAGGCAGGTTTCTATGAGGGCAGAGAAGGCCAGGCATAGGAGGCACAGTCAAAGAAGGGAGACAAGACATACACACAGAGAAGCAGGCTGACAGGAGTGCTTGGAACCTGATCAAGGAGAGGAGCATGCCTATCTTCAGTGGGGGTAACTACATGTAAAGTGGGCATTTAGAATCATAGCTCCCCAAAAAGATAAGTGGGGCATCCATGCACTAGGATGGTTCAGCAAGGGATGCTAGAGAGTAAGTGGAGTGAAGCGAAGTAAGGTTCACACAGGAGGCAAAGAGTCGCACTGGGATGAGGAGAGCAGCTGTGAATGGGGGCTGCCAGAGAATGATCAGCCTGAGAGGGTCATGTGTGCCTGTGAGTGGCCTGGAGTGGAGTGTTAGAGCCCAAGAAATTTCAGGAGAGCTTTCACATAGAGGGGTACTCTGTTGTAGGATGTCAGAGCCCAAGCAGGGTGAGAAGGTCATCCTGGGATGAAACTCTGGAACCTAGGTGCAGGGAGGAAAGTCTGCATTTGGGAGAAGGGTAAGTGCAGAAAGAGGAAAATCTAGAATAATATTGTAGTTTGGATAGAAATGGGATATGAAAGTATAAATGTGTGACTTTTAATATAGAAAGATAGGTCAAAAAATAAATATACATATTAACATGCACATGCATGTTTAGGAATATGTGTGTAGGAATTCACATGCACTGCCTAATTATGCTCACTGAAATTGGCATAATTAGAATAAAAGCCAGTACATTTCGTGACTATACATTCGCCTCAACTTAACATTTTTTATGAAAAACAAATAGAGGACCTTGGAGAAATAGTTGATTCTTAAACTGGGCCAAAGAAAATACAAAAGAACATGCAATATTTTGTACGAAAAAGAAAAGAAATACTTAATGAATCAAAGGGATATGAAAAAGGACACAAAAGCTAGTCTAAATGGGACTTCTCTGACCAAATCTGGGGCAATTTGAGCATCAAAATAAATAATGATGATAATATAAAATATAATTCATTAAACAGGAAATCACAGCTTCATACAGACATAAATAAATGAGTAAATTGAAGTTTTAATGAGATATTGAGAATTACATAATTACAATGTATCTCCCAGACAATCCTTATTAATTATAGACAGAAGCATAACTTTATAGTGAAGAAGTCTGGCAGACAGGAAATACCTGAATAAAGTGAGCAAGGTGCACATTATCAGTGACAGAGCAAAGTGAAATATTGTGCCAACCCATAGGATGCAATGAGCATGCGGCAACATTTGGAATGGTATTTCTGTGATAATCCTGCCTAAAATGCGTGACTTTGATCTAGTTGTAATAAAACATTGGACATTATGAACTGAGGGACCTTTTACAAGTAAGTAGCCTGTAGTCTTCAAAATATCAGGATCATAAAAATCAAGAAAAGACTGAGGAACTTATCAGACTGAGTAAAACTAAAATGTCATGGAAACAATGCACCTTTGGGTCCTCAGCTGGAATATTTGGCTCCAAAAGGCATACTGAGATATAGATCCATCCCAGGCTTAGATAAAATTTATGTTAATTAGCTAATTTTTATGGTGTTTTTGGTTATATAGATTAATGTCCTTGTTTTTAACAAATACATACTAATACTCCCACCTCAGCCTCCAAAGTAGCTTGGACTACAGGGGTGCATGCCACCACGTACGGCTAATTTTTTGTATTTTTAGTAGAGACCTGATTTTGTCATGTTGCCCAGCCTGGTCTCCAACTCCTGCACTCAAGCTGTCTGTCTGCCTTGGCCTCCCAAAAATGGTTCTTCTATCTTTATTATTGTTCATTTGTATATCTACTTTTCTGCATTTAAAAACTTTTCTCTTTATAACTGGTTTTCAAAAATTTCATATAAGATCAATCTTTTTCAAAATATATTAGTTCTGCTTAAATTTCATTGAACTTCTTGGATTTCTAGGTCTACAATTTTGATTAAATTTGTAAATTTGGGGGCATTATTTCTTTAACCTTTTTTTTCTGTCTACCCACCTTTCAATCTAAGACTCCAATAACATATTTTAGGCTCTGTTATATTGGTCAATGTTTACCAATGTTTACTTCTGTCATTCTTTTCTTTCCATTTGTCATTTTGAATGTTTTATCGTTTGTCTTCAAGTGAAAGCTGTCTTCAGTTAGTTACAATCTGCTTTTATTTCCAGTGTATTTTTCACTGTATGCATTTAATTATTGATTTCTAGAAGTTTCCTGTGGTTCTTATTATCTGTGGTAGACTCAGTAAGGCCTCCAAAGAAACCAGGTCCTATTTCCTGCAACCTGTGAATGAATAGTGCCTTATAAAGCAGAAGGAATTTTGGCAATCTAATTAAGTTAAAGATGTTAAGATGGGGAGAGTATTCTGGTTTATCAGGATTATTCTGGAAATCACAAGTATCTCATAAGAGAGAGGTAGATGGAAATTTGATACCTGTACAGAAAAGGAGTAGGGAATGTGCTGCAGAGGCAGGATAAAGGTGATACGGCTATAAGGAAAGAAATTCCAGCAGTTAGCCAGGTGCGGTGGCTCACGCCTGTAATCCCAGAACTTTGGGAGGCCGAGGTGGGAGGATCTTCAGAGGTCAGGAGTACGAGATCAGGCTGGCCAACATGGTGAAACCCCATCTCTACTAAAAATACAAAAATTAGCTGGGCATGGCTGTGCACACCTGTAATCCCAGCTACTCTGGAGGCTAGGTCAGGAGAATTGCTTGAACCAGGGAGGCGGAGGTTGCAGTGAGCCGAGATCGCACCATTGCACTCCAGCCTAGGTGACAGAGCGAGACTCCACCTCAAAAATAAAATAAAATAAAATAAAATAAAAGCCAGGAGTCTTCAGATATGGGAAAGGACAAGGAACAGATTATCCTCTAACCTCTTATGGGAGTGTAGCCCCACCTTGAATTTGGCTCAGTGAAACTGACTTCAGACTCTGCCCACTGGAGCTGCGAGAGAATACATTTCTGTTGTATTAAGCCACCAAGTTTGTGGTAATTTGTCATAGGAGCCACAGGAAACTAATAAGTTATTCATTTTTCTGTTCACCATGTCCAAGAATTCTTCTACCTTCTTGAACATTTAAAACCTATAATAGCCATTTTAAGAAAATTATCTATTTGTTAAAGTATCTGTTAGTCTTTCATCTGATTCTATTGACTGAGTTCTCTACTGATAAAATAGGTTATATATTTCTACCTATTTGACAGGGTAGTACTTTTTTTGTTAAGTTTACTAAGGTATAACTTTTGACTGGACATCTCATATTGTGGATTTTGGTTGCTGAGTCCTGCATTTTTTTGAATTTTATTAAAATACTTTTGAATTTTGATCTGGCACACTGTTATGCAATTTGAGGATCAATTTTCCTCTTTGGAGCCCCACTGTTAGGCTTTTTTTATCGCAGGCCCAGAGCCATCTTTAGGACTATTTGGCCTCACCTCAAGAGCAAGTCTTTATGCCCAATCTCTGTGCGACATAGAACTCTCCAACCTTGCTGCTGAGAAGTGAACTTCCAGCCTGATGTGGATTATTTGGCCTTTGTTTCCACCAGTTCTTTCCTGTCCTCTCACATTTGCACCTTTCACCATCCAAAGATTCAATATAAGTCTCCATAGCTCTTTTTCTTTCTCTTTATGTAGCTTCCTCCTTTCCAAACCTTTTGTCAGGAATTCTTCATCAGCCTCTCAAATTCTGATTCCCAAGCTGTTGCGATTCTCCAGTCCTGAGCTATCCCTTGGAAAATGAAGCTGGGAAGAAATCTGGTAAAATAATAGGGCTCCCTTTCTTTTTGTCAGGGTTTATAGCCCTGCACTGCCTGTTGGTCAATGTCTGAAAACTCTTGCTTGAGTTTTTGTTTGTTTTTCCCAGTTGTTTGTGGCAAAATGGCAAATTTCCTAACAGCTAATACTTAACGGACAGAAGTAGAAGTCTTTCTTTCCCTTTTTTTTTTTTTTTTTTGTTGTTGTTGTTGTTCTCATTTTCATTAAAGAAACCATAAGGTATTTATAGGGAGGAGGAAAAGCATTTAGATGATTATAGCATTAACATGAAAATAAGCAGTCAAATTAATATAATAATATCCTAGAAGAAATAGAAGAAGATGAGACAGTAATGATAATAACTATAATTGATTTAAGACTCAATATGTGAGAGGTCAGCTAATGCAATATACACCAATTGGTTTCCCAAAAAGGCACTGAGGAAAAGACAGACTTTTATTTACAAGTAATTAGATAAGTCTTAGGGTATATAAAAGCATACATTTATGTTGTAAATAAATAAGGATTAGAATTGAGGGAGAAAGACAGTATAGTTAAAATAAGAGTACCAGCAAGTGATTATGATGGATCTTTTTCATTTTCTTCCAGTAATTAGTATCTAATCCTTCTAATTTTGACGAGTTTCTCAAGCCGATTCCATCAGTATCAGCAGCCTCTGTCTCAATCTAAAATGTTTAATCCTATGTTGCGATACATAGATTTGCGCATTACTGCATAATGCCAACTTTATTAACAGCATTGACTTTTGTGGCATATGCTGTATTCATCAGGTTCCACAAGTGTATAAGCCTGTCAGTCGTTTCCCTGTGCTGACCAGTAAGCCATCAATGTCAAAGACACTGGCTCAGTAAAATGCAGAAGAATCCACTGGGGTTTGTTATCATTGGGGCTCAGGCCGCAGAAGCAATACAAAGTCTTTCAGTAACAGAGAATGATGGATATTTAGAAAGGATATCTAATATATATAGCTACATAAAACATTAACACATCAGTGTTTAGTTAGCACTAAAAGTAATATTTATATTTATTGTAGACTCATGAAAAGAATGAGATTTTTATGAGAAAATGAAGTTTTATATCCCTAAAGCTTTAAAATTTGGATTGGAACAGTTAAAGGAAATTCATTATTAAAAGATGTTTAAAATGCAAAATCAAACAAAGGTGAGTCATCATGGGTCAGCCAAGCAGAGAATGAACTAGATTAACTCATTAGATCTTTTAGAAGTTATGACAAAGATGGAGAACATTTTGTATAGGAGGTCAAATTTCAAGGTATTTCTATTCACACATATTACTGATACTCCAGATGAATTGGGGACCATATATTAATAACCATTTTGCTCCAATGAAGGAGAAAACGTGAGACAATGGTATTGTAATAGGTAGAATAGTGACCCTTCAAATATGTCCACTTCCTACTCTCTGGAACCTGTGAATGTGTTAGCTTACATGGAAAAAGCGTGTTGCAGGTGTGACTAAGTAAAAAACATTGAGATTATCCTGATTTATCCTTATAGGTATAATGTGATCATAAAAGCTCTTGAAATTAGAATATAAAAGCTGGAGAGAGAGTCCAAGAACCAGAGAGATAGCAGCATGAGTATTGAGCCCCACTTTGCTGATTTTGAAGATGGAGGAACAAAGCCATGAGACAAGTAAATCACCACCTCTAGAAGCTGGAAAAACACAATGAAATAGATTTTTTCCTAGTCTTCAGAAAGTAACGCCACCTGCTGTTATCTTTATCTTAGCCCAGTGAGATCTCTGTTGGACTTCCAATCTACAGAACTGTGAAATAATAAATTTGCAGAGTTTTCTTAAGTCGCGAAATTTGTGGTAATCTGTTATAGCAGTAATAGAAAACTTAGCATCACCATACCAAGGAAGATAAGACATGTGGTTCATCAATGCAATCAATATATTTAGAATAATCCAGGGAAACTATTAGTTTCCAGGAAATGTTTGCCTTTGTTATCTCTATTTGTTGAGATTTATCATAAGATAGTGTATTAATCAATACCATTATAGCAACAAATGGCCCCAATACCTCAGTAGCTTTCAACAGAAAGCTATACGTGTTGCTCAAATTATAGGTAGGCTGTAGATGAGCTATGACTCCATGCCAGGTGGCGCTCTGGGTCTTCACATTCAGGGAACCAGAGAAAAGAAGCTCTATTTATGAGACATGTCCATTCTCATAACAGACATAAAGGGGAAGGCACCTCTGCTCTGGGGTAGTGTGCAGAGAATTTACTCAAATTCAATTGACCAATTCATGTCATGGGATGATTACATAAACTTGTCTTCCAGTTTTAACTAGACATGTTAGGTGAAAATTACCAGTGCCCTCTAAAGAAGTAAATATTAAGCACAACAGAATTTCAAGAGAATAACAAGAGATCACTGCTCCGTTTAAGGGAATGGGTGAAACAGGGGTTTCACTAACTTCCCATATAAATAACTCCTTCTGGCCAATGCACAAGGAACATGTTTCCTGGGATTTGATAGACTATTAAAGATTAAACAATACGGTTCCTCTGATTGCTTCTGTTGTATTTGATGCAGTAGAGCCTATGAAGCAACAATAGGTGAAGGGGAACTGGCATGCCCTTGAAAACCTGGATAATAACTTATCTTCCATTCTAATGCAGGAGGACAGTCAAGCACAATTTTCATTCATGTGGAACAGAAACCCATTTATGACAGGGTCTGCTCAGCTCAGGAAGAGTTAAGGACTGTAGTTGTCCATATGACAAATATAGCCCAGTCAATGAATCCAGCTAAAATCCAAGACCCGATCCAGTCTGTGGACTTTCTCAGAATTAAGTGGACTGGATCAACCAGACGTATTCTTCAAATTGTGAGAATTACATTGTTCTCTTGCACAGATTCTGCCAATCAACATGAAGCTCAGAGACTACCCATTTTCCAGGTTTTGAAAAGATAATATTTTTTATTTAAGAATCCTTCCAAGCCCTGTTCACAAAATCAATAGAAAAAATATCTGAATTTAAGAGAGGTCCTAAAGAAAAATAATCATTAAAAGACTGGTGGAGATTAGTGGCACAGTCTACATAAAACTTTATGATTCAATTGTTTAGTTGACATTAGAAATATCTGCAACTGCAACATTGCAGACCAGCATCTGTGGTATATATTGAAATGGGATGCTCAGTGAATACCTCTTAGTATTTTTACTCCAAAAATGCCTGAGGAAGCTGCTGTTAAAAGCCAAAAGTAAAACATGGCTAGAGTCTTACTGGGTGTTGGTCAAACCAGATTGTATTAATGGATGACTATAGACCTCTATCAGTAGGCAGAAAATATGATATGTGAGTATTAATTGGGATCAAACTCTATTTTCCTGTAGAGTTCACTCATGTTGTCTGGAGCAACACCATGAAAACAAGTAAATATTTCAAATAAAGAATTAGCTATCAATTTAGCCCATCTGGATATTTTTCTCTGAATCACGGTACAGTATGCATTTCACTGTTTTGAAAGTAGAAAATAGAAAAAAAACAGGGAAACAATATTACACAAATTTTACTTAACAATCTCAGAGCAGAAGCCTCATTGAAAATTAGAATGAATAATTAAAATCTTTGTTTCACAATGGAAGCGTGTTTTGAACAGAAAGTGACAAATGGAGATCTAATTCCTAAACTGTGCATCCTACACATATAACAATTTTTTGTTTGGTACAGTGTTCTATGCTCAAGGTTAAACTTACCTTTATCAGAAAAGCTGAAATCAATACTCAAGACACAATATTGATTACTTCGAAGTTGCTTGTTCGTATTCCTAAAGGCATTTTGTAGGTGAGCAGTATCTTTACTGCCTTGAAGCATCAAGGCAGCTCCATTGCCAAATAACACTGCCTGTTTTGTTATTTCTTTTTTGTTGTTGTTGTTTGTTTTTGTTATTTTACCAGATATGTAGCACCTATGCTGAAATAGAAACTCCAATTATGGGGAAAAAGTCTGGGTCAAAACAGGTAATAAATGTGGAAAAAGGGGAGAAGACATGTAGATGGCAAAGACAGTCACAAGTTAATCTAATCCCAAGGAAGGATGTAGTTACATAATTCCCCATATTAGCCTTGCAGAGCAAGAGAATAAACTCAGTGCTCTTTCTTAGATCTGGTACTGAGTAATAGCCAGTGCTGAGAGAAATCCTAAACTGGTTACCTCTGGAGAAAGGAGATTGGATTTCTACTGATCTTCAGTAGAAATTCTACCTGGTGAATCTGAGGAAAAGACGGTATGTAGCACACTCTGATGACTCAAGGTCAAGTCAATGGGATAAAGTGAAAGATGCTGTGGAGTTGATCTTCTGTCATCCTTGAGATCATAAATCAAGACAATATATGATTCAAACAGCTGCCTGGGTGTGATATAAAGCAAACTGTGGCTGCCTGTTGAGTATGTCCCAATTTGTATGATCGTTTGATTAAGTTAAAAGTGAATTTCATGGATTTCATCTAAATAAAATCGAAATGGAACCTGAATAACTTCAAAGATGTTAGGCATGGATGTGATTGTGAGATCTGACAGGATAGATATTTTCCCTCCAGAAGCAGACAAAAAAAAAAAAAAACTTTTATGGGAAGCCTTTTAGTATACCCAGCTGAAGCTATATTTGGAGGTAGAAAAAAAACCATTGACAGTTGTTAGATATCCAATGTTTGGATGTTCAGATCATTTTCCTAAATTGTACGGTTGTTTAAATGTACAATGAAACAGAATATGAGGTAACTTGTTCAGCAGCTGCCCAGGAGATAGCAAGAGTTTAGTGAAGACGTTAGGAGTTAGTCATGCTATACTAAATGAGGCTAAAAAATATTACTAGAGGCTTTTTGAAGGGAAAACTTTTTAAACTAAAGGGAATTAGAAGCGGCTCTCACAATAGAAAGATAACACCATTTTAATAGAATAGAATGATCAATAATGATTGTATTTTCACTTCTGAACTATTCTGGGAGTAGTCCTAACCTCCCCCAGGGATAACTATTAGATATTCAAATCACAATGAAATTTGATTTTTTTTGGAAAGCTTTCTGGTAAAGGGCCTTACAGAGCCAAGTCAAAGACATATACCTACGGGGAAACTTTGGTAACCTTAGGTTTTGGTAAGTCATCACGAATACTATGGCTTTCATTGTTTTCCAATGACTCAAACACCTCAAGTTGGAATGATTTGCATCTTCTTTTTATTTTATGCTATTACCTATATCCTGGAACTTGTTGTGCAAGAGGATAGAAATGAAGGAAAAGGGAACCACTCAGTGTAATTTCTTGGGGGATAGATGGACAGTGTTACATAATTATGATGACACAGAAGCTGGTGTCCATGAAAAACCTATACAATGCTATCTGGAATATAGATATGTCCACAAACCAGATAGAATATAGGATTAGCTGAAAAAAAGTCTCTGTTCACACTCCCGTCATTGCTAATATGGAAAAATTTGCTTCTGTTGGGAAATGATGAAATATATTGCTGTAATCTTAACTGACATATAGTGTGAAAAATACTAATCTATTTGTCATAGAAACCTGGTAACAGAGTTTTAAGTTATTTCGCCTGAAAATCTGAGTTGTGCATACCATAACCTCAGGATAAGAAAATATTTTGGACGCTAAGATTAAGTCTTGAATTGCTATAATGTCTGTAGAAACCAACTGAAGTGAGTTTGGCCTTATGAAGATTACATACCCAATAGAATGCCTCCAACATATAAAAGTTTCAATAATTATGTGTAACAGTTGATAAATTGTAACTCAACTTACAAAAGAATATCAGTATACCCATGAAGGATTATAAATAACAATTTACATGTTTTGTAGGGGAAATTTCTCCTCCCCTTTGTAAAACAAATTCTAGTGATCACTTATGTCTTAATGGCCTGTGTCATATATTTGCTACTCTTACTGGAAGGAAGCACCCACAGGAAACAAACAAGATGGTTCATTCTACTCCTTTGACAACATAAATTCAAGTGAACCTAAGGGTTAGTAGACTTATGAAATTTGTGACCAGGGTCCTTATCTATGGAAGGTTCTAAACAGAGTATTTCTGACTAATGATTTTAGGAAGTAAATAAACCTAGAATCTATAGCTTAGTGGGTTCAACTCCCACAAGCTTCAGTATAAAATTGGGATATTGATAAGCTAATCATTATCCACTAAGTGAGGGGAAGTGACATCCCACTTACCTTCTTACAAACCTCATCTAGTCTAGGTTTCAAAAAGTAATTTCCGCTGTGGGGATGATGAACCTGAAGCCTGCATTTCATGTCTCAGATGACTTTCTGCTTCACAGAAGCATGTCCATTGCCTGCATTTTGGAATTAGTTCTAAAATTTGAATAATGGATAAAATATTGGATTCTATGAATCTCTGATTTTACAGTCATATCTTCATATCTCTTTCTTAGCTCGGTAGCACTTCTTAAATCTGTGGATTTTTTTTTTTTTTTTTTTTTTTTTTTTTTTTTTTGAGACAGACTCTTGCTCTGTCACCCAGGCTGGAGTGCAGTGGCGCCATCTCGGCTCACTGCAAGCTCCTCATCCTGGGTTCACGCCATTCTCCTTCCTCAGCCTCCCTAGTAACTGGGACTACAGGTGCCCGCCACCATGCCTGGCTAATTTTTTGTATTTTTAGTAGAAACTGGGTTTCACCGTGTTACCCAAGATGGTCTCTGTCTTCTGACCTCGTGATCCACCCGCCTCAGCCTCCCAAAGTGCTGAGATTAGAGGTGTGAGCCACCGCGCCCGACCAAATCTATGGATTTTTAAAGATCAGTTTAAGAAAATTCTTAGCCACTAGGTGTTTCTTACACTCTTTTCTGCTTTTCTTTTTTTTTCTTTTTGCATCCTTTTTTTCCTTCCCCATACTAAAGTATAGAGACATCATCTGACATATCATTAAGTTTTCAGCTATGCTTAATTCACTGTTAACTATATCCACTGATTATTTAATTTCATTTATTGTAATTTTATTTTAGAAATGTTGTTTCCTCTTTTTAATTGTATCTAGTTTTCTGCTGAAATTTTGAATATTGTTATTTGACTCCTTCAGCGTATTACTTAATTTAATATAAAATTTAAATCTGATAAATTCAATATCTGTATATCCTGTGAGTCTGTTTTTCTTGTCTATTTTTTTCTCTTGGTTTTCAATTAAGTGTTATATTCTCCTGTGATTGATTACATTTAATTGAGTGTTGACATTATACGTAAAAGAAATAGGGATAATTTGAAGCTCTGGATGTAGTTTTCTTTTACTTTTGGCAGGAGCAAGCCCAGAGAAGTTCACTTTAATTGAATCAAGAAATTAAATTATTTGAACTTCTCTTATTTCCCTTATTTAAAAGTCTAATTACTACAAAGATGTTGTTCCCCAGTGTCCCAATCAGAACCCTCGGTTGTTTACTAAGCCTTTTAACTTTCTGCAGTTTCTAAAAGTAAATTTTTGTCCCCTCATCTCAGACTCTCATACTCCCAATTGTGTCTTTTGCTTTATATAAGGTTGAGTCAATGGAAAAGTTGTACAAATATCATGCTCATGACTTAGCTTATCTTAACTTTCTGATCTTATTCCTAAAAATTCTCTCTGCATTGGGTTCCTATTGAATAAGAAGTGTGGTGAGGAGCATGGTGGGAAGGAGTGACAGCTTTATAGTGTAAACAGGTTAGACCACAGCATAATATATGCCAGGCACTACTTTATTTGCATTACGTCATTATTTCAGTTAACAATATTTTCCACAATTCTGTGGAGTGGGGTAGTTATAATTCTCATATTGCAGATCATGACACTGTGGCTTAATAAATTTAAGTAATTTTTCCAAGTTTGCAGATTGTTAAACAAAGAATTCATTATTGACTGTAAGACTTCTCAACTACACAAAAAGCCTCACATGGAAGTACAACATAAAGATCCAAATAATTATGACATAAAATCAATACCCCATGCTGAGCCTTAACATAATATTATATTTTGTGTTTTTTGTAATTTCAAAAATAACTTTAAAAGGCCCACCAAGAAAAAAGTATTTAAATTTATGTGCTTTAAAAATATGCCTCTCAGATTTCAAACTTAAATATTTATTCTGTATCTTATTAATGCCAAACATTAAAGTTCAGAGTATACACAAAATTACCTACCTTCTGATTTCCTTATCAGGTACACTTCCAGTACAAATAATGAAAAGTGAGGACCTTTGCTTAGGAAAATCAAAGCTGCTTATTAGCACCTAATTTAGTTTGTTGTCATCTGCTTTTCTTTTTGGTATTTCTGTATTTTTTTTAACTAAACTTTAAAAAAATTCTGTCATCAATTAAAATCCTCTTTAATCTCACAATAACTATGACAGGAAAGCAAAGTGTTTTATAAACTAATTAAATGTTAATGAGACATGCCTGAAAGACTGTTTGTTCATAAACATAATATAGCTGGAAGCAAATCTTATCAGGAATTAATTAACAATGTATGTGATTAGGATAAATGGCTACTTATTTTCTTTGAAAACAGTTTTACTCCACTTAATACACTTGAAATAGCATATTTCATTACGAATATTATCCAAGTTTGTTATTAAAATACTAAAATACTTCTGGCACTGGTAAACAAGCATCTATAAATGGATTGTTACAATTCAAAAAGAAGCAGAAACCTCTGGCTGTGATTTTCAATGTCCTCGATATTAAATTTTTTTTTTAGAAAATACAAATCTCTATTTTCCTCTTAAATTGAATAAAATTTCATAATAAGTACAAAGTGTATGATTTCTGCTTCCATTCAATCCAGCTGGAAGAGGTTTTTTCATGTGACCTCCCAAAACTTGTTAATTGTGCCTGTTCATTCTTCAGTGATGGAGAACCTATTGATAGTTTGTGTGTACCGTGCAAGGGACAGGTGAAAAGTATCTCGGTGATATCCAATGGTGATTATCTAATAGCATCAAGAAAAAAACTACATAATAAGAGTTTTAAAATGTAAATTAAACAGGTAATTTGTGATGTCTAGGAGTGATTAAATTAATTGTTACTAGTCTAATAGAGGTGTTTTGTCCTTGATAATATTAATTCCACAGTGTCTTTCTATGGCAAAGACAAATGTCCACCTGCTTTCTTCCCCTAATATGTAATTTATTTTCATAACCTCACACATACAAACTTCATCAAATATACTATTTATATTTTCTAGGACAACAATAAACATTATCAGTCCTGATTTTTCCCACAATGCTATTTTTCCTTTAAAAAATACCTTATATGTTAATGTTTTAATTTCTTCTCCCTGTCTATGTTGCAAAAACTAAAATAAGTAAAAGACTGGCGTTTGCTTCCTTCTTATGACCATGTTTTATGGTGACAATATAAATGAATTTTCTGAACACCTGATTTTTTTAAACATGATAAAAATCAAAATTTTTACGTAACAGGTATATTAAGTAAATAAATAAATTCTATCAATAAGAAAGCTCTCACTGTAATCAACTACTGCTTTCTTGAATATAGCTAGTTTTTGTATCTCTGTTTCTTCTATTCTTAATATGTATTACTATATTTCTATTATATGAGGTAGCAGTAAAAAGTAGAATTTGTTATAATATCTACATCAAATTCAAGTGACTAAAAATTTTTTATTTGCATTAACATTCACCACGAATCAAGATACAGATTTTGAAACAAAAATAAAATTTTTAAAAATACACTTTTGGATCATTTTTCTTTACTAAATACAAATTAAAATTAAAAATAGCCTCAGAATCAATTAATTAAGATCTAAGAGCAGTTGGGAAAAATGAGACTCACTTCAAATATGTTTTAAATGTTTGTAATAATTTTATTTTGGGCATATAAATTAAACACAAACAAATTAAGATTGACACTAGTGAGAATAAAATTATCCAGCTACATAGTTTAACAGAAATAACATTACAAATATTTTCCCTTCTTTGTTTTTTGCTTTGACATTGTATCTCAGCTTGCACTGAAAGATCTATTTTAAAAATACGAATGAGTCATGTATTACACTGAAAGATTAGTATTTTTGATAAATTCACCTAACTCTTACAGATTGAACTAAATTTTATTTAATATGGATCCAAGAATAATTATTAAACAAAGTAATATAATTTGTGGGGTATATAACAGTGCTTTAATGATGTATAACAAATATAAAGCATAAAGATATATAAAACAGCAAACTTCAAAGAATGATCAAAAGTGGCATTAACTTTATGCACAATGTATAGGTAGATAAGATAAAATATATGCAATATAGCTATTTCTTAAAATACAAGATTCAGTTGTGAATGTAGGTTGATTCAATCTCTGATTTAAATTTTAGAACGTCAAATTAAACTACATGAAAAGAAGAAGTAGAATGAAATACAATTGCTCCTGTGCTGGGTCGAATAGTACCTACAAAGCTTCATGTCCACGTAGAACCTGTGGATATGACCTTGTTTGGCGATAGAGTCTTTGCAGAGGTAATTAGTTAAATTAAGATGAGGTCATACTAGATTAGAATGGGTTCTAAATCCAATATCCATATAAAAACATGAGGAAAGATATACACAAAGTCACACACAGGGAGAATGTCATGCATACGTAGATGGAGGCAGAGATTGGAGTGAGGTATCTACAAGCCAAAGAATGCCAAAGATTGACAGCAACCACCAGAAGCTAAGAGAGAGATGTGGAAAAGATTCTCCTGTAGAGTATCTTGAAGGAGCCGATTCCACCAACACGATTGTAAATTTCTAACCCCCAAAACTGAGACAGTGAATTTCTGTTGTTTTAAGGCGGTCAGTTGATAGTCACTTTGATAATTCAGCCTTAGGAAATTAATGCAGCCATGTACCTGGAATATCCAGGTTTCAGTTGGATTCAGGTACAGTGGGAATAATGATCAAGTAGTAAGTTCTGTCTTTCTTTGTAGTAGCTTTATTTTCAAGAAAATGGTTACCAGACTTTCTCGGCTAATGTTAGCCATATAGCTAGCAACCCAAAGAAAGAGTGAAGGTATCCTTCCTAATAGCCACAGATAAAAAGGCTCTAGATAAGAGATATTTGCCTAGCTCAAATCAAATACACTTAAAATAAATATGATGGCCAGAGGATTAGGAATTCTTATTGGAAAACCCTGAAGTATACACTAAACCTACAGCTGGGGCTGAGATAAAACTTCATAGAAAGGGAGTAGAGAGGTGATTGCTACCTAAACAAGTTATACAGAATAGAATTTCCTCACATCTCAAAGAAATTTAGCAGATATTCACAATATGAAAATACTGGATACTATGATATCTTATTGGACATTTCATAATAAAATAGAATTATCGAAATATAAATTGTTCTATTCATTTGAAAGCTAGAAAAAAATAAGCAGATAATTAGATTTTTCTAATAAGCCAATACAAACTTATCCTCATAAAAAGAGGATTAATTTCAGTTCTGGTAAGAGACTAAGATTATTTACAGTTAAAAATAAATTAGGTAGATGAAGTGATGAAAATTTATTCTACTTTTATTTATAGGACTTTTATTTATTAAGATATCATCAATATCATCTATAGAATACTATTCCTAACTACTCTATGTAAAAACCCTTCTACTATTGTTTAAATCAGAGGTCACAAACTTTTAAATCATCTCCAAAATGGAGAAGTAATGGAAATACATTTTATATTTAAAATGGTCTTTGAATATTAAGACACACAATCACAGACATGTATGCACACATGTATATAAAAATATGGTCAGCACATATATCTTATCAAAGGAAAGATAAAATTTGATTGGAAACTTTTCACTCAAATATTTACATATAATTCTAAATTTTACAGGCATTTTAAAGTCCTCCCTCTCACCATCATTTTATAAATTCTATTCTATATGTTTATAAGCTGTGTGTAGCTACTTATCTTATTGACAATATATCCTTTATATTCATTTAAATTACAGTCTAGTGAAAATCAATTAATTATACATTCGTATATGCAAGGAAATATCAAGCCTATTTTAATTCAGTGAAATATTTAAAAATAAATCTATATAATTCCTGGGATAAATGAGTCACCAATAACTTCATGCATTTATTCACCAAATAAGATACAGTGATCACTTTTGCTTAGTGGAAGAAACAATTTTTTGAGCTGAATTTCAAAAGGTAGGTGGATATTCTGTAACATCAAATTAGTGAGAACAACATAGGGTCTGAAGTGGGCATAGAGACAGAATAAGAATGAACCTACCTGGAAAGAAAGGAATTAGTGGGCTTCAAAACAAACAAACAAAAAGGACATAACCAGGTGTAAGGCCTTAGGAAGGGGGTTTTGATATTAGTTCTATTCCAAAGAACATTTGAAACTCTTGCATGCATTAAAAAAGAGAAGGGTATCCTATAATCAACATCTCTGCTTTCCTCATTGCTTCTCCTCACCCACCCACCCTCTCCAGCTTCTAGCAACCACTCTTCTACTCTCTGTTTCTATGAGATCTATGTTTCTTAGTTGCCACATGTAAATTAGACCATACAGTATGTGTCTTTCTGTGCCTGGCTTGTTTCACTTAGCATAATGTCTTCTAGTGAGCTAGACTAGAGATAAGTTTTAGTAATCTGTTGTATTGCATGGTGAGCAATGTTAAAAATAATGTGTTATATTTTAAAATTGCTAAAAGAATAGAATTTTAACATTCTCACTACAAAAAGTTGGTAGGTTGATGGATATGTTAATGAGCTTAATTACATCTTTTTACAATATATACATGAATGAAAACATCACAGGGTACCCCATAAATATACACAATTACTATTTCTGAATTAAAGAAGAAAGAAAGGAAGAAAAAAAAGAAAGGGAAAGAAAAACAGAGAGACAAAGAGACAGAGAGAGAAGGGTATAAATGTTATGCTAAAATTATGTATAAAGAATAAAACATAAGGAAGCAATGCAATATCCATAAATAAAACTGTTTTAAAATGATAGAAAATATTTTGTATTATCAACATTCCCCATGTCCTGCAGATGCGAGAGCTTCAGAGGCAGTGCTGGATACACACTACACTTAAACCTTTTTATATGCAGTTTCATATCTTGGGTATATAATTTATGTATGGACAATTTAAGTGATGTTAAATGAACTTAAATAATTCCAATAACAGTGGCATATTAATGCCACTTTAAGCCTTTGTAGGCTTTTAAATAGAACCAATTTGTAAAAAGCATGAAATCCATACCATAGAGTTGACTTTGTAATAAGAAACTGTGGGATTAACTATTGAAATAATCACTATTATTCCTTGTATAAAATTCTTCTGTAGTTAAAGATTACTGTTTTTTAATCAAAAATTATGTTGGTATTATATGTAAAAGAGAAGGGCTTTTTTGGAAGGCCCAAAAGCATCAAATGAGATATAAATTTAGCTCTTTCCCACTTCGCTTCTCTTCCCTAATGTTTCTTCTCCTTTGGCTTTCCATCTCTTCCAAAACTTTCCCTTAAAATACAGGTAAATTGGTTGGACAATATAATGTTCTCCTCCCTGGGATACTCTACTAAAATAGAACATGACATTCAGATGCATCAGTGACTAAAGTCACACCATTCTGTGTGGAGAGTACAAATCTCTGCCTATTATCTTATCTGAATAATTTCTCATGTAGTAAAATAGAGCAAGGACTCAGAGTTTCATGATGTAGAGAACAACATGATGCTGGGGTGGAAAGTGGTTTATAGAAATAGCCAAAGAAACTCTTAGGGTCAAGGGCTTCATAAGCTACTGCTAGGATAACCTAAAGTTACTGTGCATTATACTTTCTCCTTAACTTCAAAAATAGCAAAATTCTTAGCAGAGCACCAATTTTCTACTACCTTTATTACAATACTTATATGGAGAGATTATTGTTCCTTCCTTAAATTTCATTTTAATTAGAATAGTTATAAAATTTTAAGACCAATTATAGGAAATCTATTTTGTGTGTTCTTATTTTTAAAAGGCTCCAAAGTCCCTTTCCGAAGACCCTTGACTTAAGAAAAGGATAAAAGCCTCCTTATGCAAATGTCCCTTTCTTGGTAGTCTATCATTGGCAGCAATATTAAAATTGCTTTCCCTTTCCTGAACAAAATAAAGGCTACGTATAAGCCATGGTCTTCATGGCTAAGAAGATGAGTGCCAGCATTAAACAGGAAAACAACAAATTAAATATTGTTAGAGAATAGGAAATAATGAAGATTTGAAAAGAACACCTAAAATTTGAGGCTAAGCCAAAAAATTACAATGCTTACATAAAGTTACCAGATTCATTCTTTACTTGCCCATTGTTTGATATTTATTATCTCAGCAGACTGCATAAATGCACTAGCAGTCCTCTGAGTATTCAGAGGGCAAGACATCCTCAGATATTTATCATTTTGATATTATTTTGAAAAAATAAAATGTAACTTTTTAAATTTAATTTATTTGAAATCTACAATTATAGGCGTAGTAATTTCTGAACTAAAATTACATATATAGTTTAGCTAAACTCTTGATAATATAAGTAAATGTAGATTGTGTATATTTTAAATGTATACAAATCTTTTTCAATATTTAAAATGAATTAGAGAATGAAGAAAAATTTTATGAGCTACTATAGCAATATTACTGACACTTAAATATTTATTGCATGCAGTGCACTAAGATGTGTCTTCTCAAGGTTCTAGAGACATCAAAGGTATGTTTCCTTGTTATACAATGATTTTTATATGTATATTGGAAGGTAGACCATTCTTATGAAAAACTGCAGTCTCCCTGCTTAATATTAAACTTTCAAATAAAATCCATAGACCACAAGCTCACAGCTAACATCATAATCAATTGTGAAAAGTTGAAAGCTTTTACTCCAAGATGAGGAACAGGACTGGGATGCTCAATCTTGCCACTTCTATTCAACATTGTAATGGAAGCCCTAGCCAGAACAATTAAGCAAGAGAAAGAAATAAAAGGTATCCAAATAAGAAAAGAAAAAAAAGTAAAACTGTCTCTATTTGCAGATGGCAAAATCTTATATTTTGAAAACTACTAAACCCTAAAGACTCTGCAAAAAAAAAAAAAACAAAAAAAACTGTTAGAACTAATAAACATATTCAGTAAGATCACAAGATACAAAATCAATGTACAAAAATCATTCATGTTTCTATTCTCTAACAATAAACTAACTGAAAAAATAATGAAGAAAAAAATCCCATTTATAATAGCATCAAAAGAAACAAAGCACTTAGGAATAAATTTAACCAAAGAGGTAAAATATCTGTATACTGGAAACTATGTAACATAGATGAAAGAAATTGAAGAAGACACAAAAAATGATGGGTCAAGAGAATCAATTCCATTAAAATGTCCATGCTATGCAAAGTATTCTGCAGAGTCAATGCAATCATTTTCCAAATTTCAATGGCATTTTTCACAGAAATACAAAACAAAGCATGGAATTATTGTGGAGCCACAGAAGAATGTGAATAGCCAAGGCACTTTTGAGCAAGAAGAACAAAGCTGGAGTCAACAAACTTTCTAATTTCAAATTCTATTACAAAACCATAGTAATCAAAACAGAATGATACTGCCATTAAAACAGACACAGAGACCAACAGAAAGAGCTGAAAACCCAGAAATAAGTCCATGCATATAAAATCAATTAATTTTTGACAAAAGTGCCAGGAACATTTAGGAAAGGATAGTTTGGTCAATAAATGGTCTTGGGAAAACTGGTTATCTACATTGAATCCTTATTCTACACCATGCACAAACATCAATTCAACATGGATTAAATGTTTAATCTAAGACTGAAAACCATAAAACTAGAAAACAGAAACATAGGGGAAAGCTCCATGACATCAGTCTTTGCAGTGATTTTTCAGGTCTAAGAGCAAATTCGCAGGCAACAAAAGCAAAAATAAAACACATCAGACTATATAAAACTAAAAAGTTTCTGCACAGCAAATGAAACAATTAATAAAATAAAAGGAACCTGAACAATGGGAGAAAATATTTGCAAACTATATATGATAGGGAGTGAATATCCAAAATATATAAGGAACGTCCACAAGTTAATAATAAAAATACAAACAACTTGCTCAAAGAGAGGGCAGATGACCTGAACAGACTTTTTCAAAGAAGACATGGTCAACGGGTATATGAAAAGGTGCTGAACTTCACTAATGATCAGGCAAATGCAAATAGAAAACATAAGGAGATATCACCTCACACCTGTTAGAATGTCTATTATCAAAAAGTCAAATGATAAGAAGTGTTGGCAAGGATGTGGAGAAAGAGACTCTTACACTTTGCGAGTGGGAATGTAAATGGCTATAGTCATTATGAAATACAGTATGGAATTTCCTTAAAAACTAAAAATAAAACTATTGTATGACCCAACAATCCACTTATGGATATACATCCAAAGAAAACAAAATCACTACCACGAAGTGATATTTGCACTCCGATGTTCATTGCATCATTATTCACAATAGTGAAGGTATGGAAACAATCTAAGTGCCCATTGATGATGAATGGATAAAGAAACTGTGGTGTATATAAATATTGAAATATAATTCGACCTTAAAAAAAGAAAAAAATCCTGCCATAGCAAAAACATGGATGAACATGGAGGATATTATGCTAGGTGAAACATGTCAGGAACAGAAACACACCTACCGAATAATCTTATTTGTATGTGGAATCTAGAAATGTTAACTTCACGGTAACAAAAAGTAGAATGGTGGTTACCAGGGGTTATGGGTACAGTTATAAGATGAAATATTCCAGAGACCTAATGTCCAGCATGGTACCTATACTTAAAATAACATATTGTATACTAGAAATGTGTGAAGAGTAGATATTAAGCATTTTACTTAAGGTACCTGTGTGAAATGATGATTATATTAATAAGCTTGTTTGTGTTAATCATTTCACAATGTAACCTATATAAAACATTATATTGTATACCTTGAATATATATAATTTTTGTCAATGATATCACAATAAAGGGAAAATAAAGTTAAGCTTTCATAACCCATTTCAGTGCTATGTCTATTTCATAAAATCCCTTTCTTGGAACATGTATACTTTTGGATTTATTGAAAGTTATTTGGTATGTAGTGATTTCTCCCATTAATTCTTTAACACACATAAGTAAACACAGACTTAAATAAGTATTTAGGTTCTAGTAATAAATTGGAATCCTAATATAATAATTAAAATGCAATAATTATATCTCTAGCTAAAATAAGACCAGAGTTACTCTAATTGAAGAGCCTGTTTTACTGAGGAAAATTAATGTGATTTAACATTGCAAATACATGAAGTTAATTCTCAGTGTTTATAAAAAATTTGTCATTAGTATAATTTATTTTTTGCCAGTAATGTTAGTCTGTGCTTGGATATTTGATTTTAGCTGTTGGGATAGAAACACACTGAATCAGTCACTTCTATGTGAGGTCAAAGACTAAAAACAAAGTATTTTTACTGATGTCAATAAATGTTCCACAATGCTTAATAAGTAAGTTTCTAAATACTCGTGGCTTATATATTTTTTCATTTTATCTCTCCCAGAGATGCATAATTTGTATGTTAAAGGAGGTTATTGTCCACTTGAGAAAATAACTTATTCCTAGAGTGTCCTCCAAAGACTTGAAAATTTGTTATATTTTTAAAATCCAAAGGTGTTTTGGAGGAATATTTAGGAAGTGAATACAGCAATGTACAATAACTTTATGAAGTGACAATTATTTCAAAGATTCCAGTACATTGTATGATTCTCAAATACCTAAAACTCAATGACTAAACATTTATTGAGAACAACTATACATCAGGGACTGTTCTTACTTGTAAAAGCCACAAGCGTAAAAATACCATAGGAGGTCTTGATATTTGTGAAAATGTACCCACAAAGCAGGGTAACACACAATAAACAATTAAATATGCTTTAAAACCTGCAAAATAGATTTAGCAAGCAAAAAAGCAAAGTATTAATGATGTGGTTATATATGTAAGATAAGTGGTGATTAAAGAACAGCTTTACTTTGGTGGCTAGAAAAGGTTTTTCAGCAGCTTCAACCAATAGGCCAGGAGCTAACCACAAAAACAAATGAGCTAACCACAAAAACAAACAAGCAAACACAAAAGCAGACAAAAAAAAGTGAAACAAGGAAACAGAGAGAACATCTTTGTTGGTAAAGAGCTCTTGAGTGACTGTAACCCAGAAATCCCTTGGTAGTTTTAGGAAACTAGCCAGCCTTTGTGGCTGGATTGGAGACAGCAAGAAAGTTCACATGGTTAGGATCTTAGGTGTGCTTGAAATCTGCACTGTAAATCTGGATACTGGATATGGACATTTTCCTCCTAATTTTAGGAGGTAGCAAAGAATGGATTTTAAGCAAGAGATCGACATAATTTGACTCATATATTTTATAAATCACTCTTGCAGGTATTTGGAGAATGGACGAATGAGGCAAAAATAGAGACAAGAAAGCAAATTTCATTACTGCATCTCTCCAGGTGAAACTTGCAGGGCAAATGGAGAAAAATGAATTTGTAATATGATCTGAGTTGAAATATGAAGGATATTCTGATGAATGAAATTAAAAGTAGCATAAAAAGAGCATCAGGAATGAGTCCTTCCTTTTTGAGTTTCACGGATAGATAGAAAGTGGTGCTATTTATTGAAGTAAGAAAGTTTGGGGAAAATAGCAGGTTAAGGGGCTATTTAAGAAAAATTATAATCTGCATTAAATTTGTTAATTTTCATGCATCTTAGAAGATTAAGTGAGGGTTCTTAATAAACAATTAGATATACAAGACCGGAATACAAGAGCAAAATCAGGACAAAAGATGCATATTTAGGAATCATAAACATATAGATGAAATTAAAAGCCCCCTGACTCTATGAGGTTACCTAGCTAGATAATGTAAAAGTAACTCCAAAAGATAATTGAGAAGCAGATCATACCACATTCCTCATATGTATTGCTCCTGATTCAATTAATTCAAGATTTCAAGTTTTGTTTATAAAAAATGATACAAGGTATGGAGTACCACCCTGAGGTGATGATGGGGTCAAGGCTGGAGCTGAGCCTGGTGTAGCTGCTGTGCATTGAGAGAGGACAGCGATTGTACAAATGTCATCTGCAAAAGTACATAAGTTCCCTGGAGGACATAGTGCCGGTCTTGAAGGCCCAAAAGAGTCTCCGAGGTGATTCATTAATATCTCTGTATGGTGGATTTTCCAGAGGAGATGCTGCAGGCAAAGAAACCGACCTCCTTCTCCATGAAGGCACCAGCCAACAAGTGTCTGGTCCCTGCCACATGCAGCCCACATCACAGAGAGAGTGCCTGCTGCAATGACAGTGCATGTGTGGTCACCGTGGGGTACACCAGTGAGATGTGGAGTGAACTGCCGGCACTGGCTCTGCAGCA
Source organism: Homo sapiens (assembly GCF_000001405.40). NCBI lineage: Eukaryota > Metazoa > Chordata > Mammalia > Primates > Hominidae > Homo > Homo sapiens. Next base: position 171,169,573 of record NC_000004.12, on the reverse strand, counting down.
AAGCCTGTGCAGAAAGTGAGAAAGAGGGCTGGAGTGGCAGGACAGAAGCCAGCGGAGGAGAAGCACTTGGGGGTGAACTAGACCTTCTCCTGCTGTGACATCAGAATCCCCAGGAAAAACTGGTGCAGGAGATTCTAGGCTTGGCCTAGAGTCTCAAGACACTGGCTACACAGAGCATCATCAAGAAGGACAATCAGACCGTCACACTCACTTACTATGGCTGAACAGTACCTGTAGAAGCTCAAGACAGAGTGAGAGCAGCTGGAGCAGCACATGCAGAAGTCCATCATGTGGGTGCTTTGGGCCATCCCTGCTTCATCTTCATTAGCATGGTCTTCTTCATTGGTGTCATGCCCAAACTCAAAGATAGAAAAGCCCCCTACCCCAGGGGGAAAAAAAAGATACAAAAGATGTTTGCTTTCATATTCTCAACAAGCTAAAACCAGATACGATAAAAATCCAGGTTTTCTAGTGTGCTATCAGAGAGCCAGGGGTTCATTTCTTGGTTAGATAAAATATATTAAAATAAATAAATAAATAAATAAATAAATAAATAAGTAAAGAGCCAGGGTAAAGAAAGTCTTAATAAACAGAATTCTAGAGAAAGACAAGCCTTTCACTGGTGAGCAGTGTGTGGACAGTATATTCCTGTTTTGAGTGGGGACATGTGTGGGATGGTGCCAGCCACAAGGGGTAAGACTTTGCAGGCACAATTTTTCCACCCATTTGAACGTTGTCCACATTTTTCACAATATATTTCATATATCATTGATAGTTATTTTAATATCTGTTTGTTAGTCTCAACACATAGGCCATGTTTGTGTCTATTTCTGTCAACTGGTTCATAATGTAACAAAGGACAACCTTTTTTCTTGCTTTACATATGTCTAGTAATTTATGTTTAAATTCTGGAAATTGTCTGTAAAAGAACAATAGAGATAGAGGTAAGTAAAATTTTTGACTGAACGTTGTTGTGCCTCTTTTTTTGTATGTCGGTTAGCTGGGAAACTGAGTTGAGCTGGGTTTGAGTATTTGTTGTCATGGTTTCTTTCAGTATTACCATCTTCAAATTCCTTCCACTGTTGATTGATGCTACCTTGTTCTTAGTGTTGTTCATGCAATGTTGGTTTTTAGTGCAACTTTTCTGCTTACTTTTAGCTTTCAGTAGATCTTGCAAACCTTTGTCATGGAAGGGCTTTCTCTCTACATTCTGATGTTTCTTTCAGTGGCAGTCTACTCTTGTTTCTCCATGCATGGCTTGTGGAGAACAGGGGAATTTTCGTTATCCTCTTTATTTTGTTCCAGGCTTAATATTAAGTAATCCCTCAATGTTTGACCTTCAGAGATGAGAATTTTTCAGTGTTTTTGCCCTTCCTTCTTAACAGAAAATCTCTTCCTCCTACTCAATACAGAGTCTAGCACACAGACAGGACTTCCACCCCTCCTGCAGTGATAGAAGACCTCTCTTTTTCATTTGAAAAATATCTTGTCATAAGTTAGTTTGCTACCTATCTTCCAGCAGCTGATGACTTTTGCCAATGTCATTGTAATAGTTTTGCCTAAAACTAAAGGAATTGGCGGGGGAGGCGTGGATTTCTACACTTCTCTTTGTGGTAGAAAACTTTCCAGTCAGATCAGGGTCATTTCCTTGCTCACAGAGATGTTAGTTTCTAAGCTGAACACAGTTTCTCAAGAAAAACAGCTTTTGATCCTGCCTCTCTATCCCCTGCAAAACAGCATGAGAATTTTATCTGAGTGCAGTACACTGTCAAGAAAATAGTAAAAAGTGAGAAAGAGCAATTTCTATCAATTTATCCAGTATTTCTGGAGGAGGTCTTTTCTAATCTTCCCTGTGATCAAGGTTCTTGCTTTTCCTTCAGTGACAGACACCTGCTGTGTACCAGCCTGAGTCTGTGGTGTGATGGGCTTCATGTCTCTCTTCCAGCAGCCAGTCACTGCCTTTTACTCATCCAGGGTGCAAATGAGTTTCTCCACCCTTAATCTTTGCCAAGTTCTATGGGCCTGCATTACCAACATGGAGTGTATTAAGTAAAAAATGAATATTTCAAACCCTAGATCAACTACTACTGAAAAAAAAATGAATCAGAATGGTAGTTAGAAAGCCAAAAAGGGAACACAACAGAATACTAAAGCAATGATTCACTTCATCCTCACTGCCTGAGCCTACCTACCTGTTCTTAACTGCTTGCCATGCTTCTGGGCCTAAGGGTAAAAACTCTGGCCACTTTTATCATAATATTACTTCAGAGTGTTTTGGCCTTTCTTATAGTCAAATGCTGGGTTCAGCATGACTTCTGCTGTACGTGATAAGCTTGGGACCACAGAAACACCAGTGTCCATTCAGACTTGACTGTAACCATAGAAGCTCTATGTTCTCCAACAGCTGCCCATAAAGGCTGGCTAACACATTCCGAAAGTGCAGGGGAGGATAATTTCCCTTAGGGTGCACTTTAAGCAATAAGAGGCAGGATACTGGATAAAACTGATAGATAAATTTTTCTTTCTCCTTTTTTTTTTTTCCCACAACGTACTGAACCCAGATGAAATTCTTCTGTTTTGTGCTATTTTGCCGGGGGTAGTATTTCTTGAGAAATTGTGTTCAACTTAGAAATTAATCTTTTATTTGCTTTTCTCTTTTTCCTTGTTTATTATTAAATAATAATTTCCTTTATTCTAACTTTCTTTGAAGTCATTTCCTAATAAAACATTAGCAAATGATCTTTGCTTCAGGTTCTGTTTCTAGAGGAACTTGGGCCAAGACTTGGGACACAATAAAGTAATCTGAAAAAGACAAGAGTGTGAGGTCAAAGAGACCAATGGAGAAATGTGATTTTAGGAAGAAGTGGTCTACTGAAACAAATTTGGCTGCTAAGAAATTGAATAATATAATGAGATACAACCATTATATTTTCAGTGTGAAAGCCATTTATGATGTGATAAGACTCAATTCATTTCAGGAAGATTAAAATTATTTATGATTATAAAAATCCAACCATTACTGCAGTCTTCTATGTATAGTAGATATTTTCTGTTTTCATTCAGCTCCATTCATATATGCCAGATTAAACTGCTAGAGTGGCTTCTTGTTAAATGATCTTGTTAGTGTTAAATATCCTTGCCTTCTAAGTGAATAATGATGCCTCATTGAATTTTATTCTTTTGACAAAAACCAACTCGTGGCATGAATATACCTAATTTCTCAGGTGTAGCTAAGAAATGTTGCCTTAATTTACAACATCAGGAACGTTGTATTACATAGACCAAAACGTTTTAGTTTAAATGGAATCTTCCTCCAAAAACAAAAACAGTTGTTGATTAGACCAATTACTATTTTAAATTTAAAAGTAACCTATACTGTATTATCAAATTGACATTGAGAAACTAGTTGGTAGTTAGATTTTTTTTGAACAAAAGCCTTGTAATTGGCTATAAAAATGTTTATATTTCAGCTGACACATACTTTTTGAGTCCTTCTATACAATCAAAAAGAAGGAAATCAGAAGTGGCTACATTCCACAAAGCAAAAAATACATCTCTGCATTGCAACTGGGAAGACTCAATGTTTAAGAAAAGCTACATTATGAGAGTTATTCAAAGGCTAGTGCATTTACTTCCAGGACCCAGAAATACTAAGCAAATATGAAAGCTCCATATAATGGGTTTGCATTCTACCCACAGTGCCACAGTGAAGTCCCAGTTAAGTACAAGTCATGAGAACTTTATTTTTCAAACCACCACTGCTTCTCTCAATGTCCACAATCTCTTTTTCTATGTTGAAGGTTATAAAGATAAAAGTCTCCAAGCCATTGAAAGACAGAAGCTCCAGATAGGACAACAGAGATAGCGATCTGAAAATTTCAGTACACAAGTGACAATCATTTCTGCTGAATGACTTAGGGGAACTGTGCCAACTGGAAGCTGCTGACAGTGTATTCCTTCACTAAAGAGAAGGAAAAAACCTAGTAATCACCTTAGGTGACAGGTGTAATTCACTAGGCTGACAAAATCTATAGACCAAAGGTGTCCTATCTTTTGGCTTCCCTGGGCCACACTGGAAGAAGAATTGTCTTGGACCACACATCAAATACACTAACACTAACAATAACTGATGAGCTTTTAAAAAACTGCCAAAAAAAAACCTCATAATGTTTTAAGAAAGTTTATGAATTTGTGTTGGGCCACATTTAAAGCCATCCTGGGCCACAATGTGGCCTGCAGGCCACGGATTGAGCAAGTTTGCAATAGTCAACAGGCATTGGTTTGATTTTGTGTAGCTAATTTTTGGCCCTCACTGTGTTTCTTCCCATGAGATCCACCCCTGAAAAGCACAAACTCTTCTCTCTCCAGCCCTAATAACTTCCACTAAAGACAAATCCCATTAAGTGGCTTCCCCCTTTTCAGACCAGATGACTCTCATCTATTGTCCCGAGAAATGGGCTACATGGACTGTTCCTCTAGTGTCCTTCCAGTTCATTATTAAGGTAGTAACTCAATAACCTGCCTTTTGGGGGGATGAGTTCCTTTTAATATTCATTACTCTTTTCTTTTTAAATTTTACTTTAAGTTCTGGGATACATGTGCAGAATGTGCAGGTTTATTACATATGTATACATGTGCCATGGTGGTTTGCTGCATCTACCAACCTGTCATCTAGGTTTTAAGCCCTGCGTGCATTAGGTATTTGTCCTAATGCTCTCCCTCCGCTTGCCCACCACCCCCACAACAGGTCATGGTGTGTCTTGTTCCCCTCCCTGTGTCCATGTGTTCTCATTGTTCAGCTCCCACTTATGAGTGAGAACACGCACTGTTTGGTTTTCTGTACTCTGGTTTATCTTCAGATAGTATAAACCTTTAGCTTTTTTTTTTTTTTTTTTTTTTTGAGATGAAGTCTCATTTTGTTGCCCAGGCTGGAGTGCAGTGGCGTGATCTCGGCTCACTGCAACCTCTGCCTCTCAGGTTTAAATGATTCTCCTGCCTCAGCCTCCCGAGTAGCTGGGACTGCTCTTTTTTCTTTTAACAAGCTCTTTACGAAAACAAAATATATTCATTGATAAGGAATTTGTGAGCCTGTTTTTGAAGGTAAGAAATATAAAAGTATCTTATAGAGTTAAATATGCAGCTGTGCAATGATCTAGCAATTTCATTCTAAGTATATTTCCATGATAAGTTAAAAGATAAGTCCACAAAATGTTTTGTATGAGAATGACCATTGCAGCTAATTCATAGTGTCCCCAAAATGGAGACAACCCAAATGTCCATCTACAAGTGAATCTATATACACCTGTGACATAATGGTAAAATGAAAATCTACTCAGGGATAAAAGTAACACACTACTGATACATTCAACAACATGAATAAATGTTATTGACTCAAGAAGCCAAAGACAAATAATACATGCAGATGAGGTGAAAAAATATGAAAACATACTAATCAGTGGTAATAGAAGTCAGTAAGTTATTCCTTTTGGTACGGAGGAGGAGATTTACTAGAAAAAGGTATGAGGAAACACTCCAGGAGGAAGGAAATATTCTATATCTTGTTTGGGATAATGGTTACATAGGTGTAAACAATGACCAAAACTCATTGAATGGATAATTCGATATCTGTACATTTTTGTTATGTCAACTATTAATATATTTTGGTTGAAAAAGAAGTTATTTTCTCTTTGAATTTCTGATATATCAATGTTGATTCTTTTTTGGAAAATCTTAAATGTTATGATTTACTATGCTTCCTCCTTAAACAATATTGAAGTATTATTTTTGTTATACTTTATAACTTTTAGAGCAGTAATATTCTCACTAAGCTTTCTGTCATAGCTCCTGTTTTCTCGCCACCATGCTTAAGATAAACAAGACTTTTTTTAACCTAATATATATTTCTTCAGAGCAGTAGCTTCTATGTACCACGTGGCTTAAATGAGCATTCTCCCTAACTTAGCAGAAAATCACACCCATTTTTATGAAAGTAACTCATTGTTCAATCCTTTCTTCATTCCTGGAGATTAAGAGATAAAACATATACTTTCTCATTGAGAAACTGTCCCTGCTCTTGTGCACATCTTCTCTGAAAAGGATGGAATACATGACTACAAAGAGAATATTACTCTTGGAATTCATATGTGGGAAATCGATTTTTCTACAGACAGCAAACTAGCCAGTCTCAATCTTCTCTATAATTTTGTATACAAGTAATATAAGAAAGAGCGTAGATGTTCAGATCTTTCTTTTACTTGAAAGTCTACAGCATTGTAATTGAAATTACAATTGTAATAGAAATGATAGTCATAAAGACTCTTTCAAATATTCCAATTCTGCTTTTAGACATATGGCAGAATTGTACTTAACATGACTCTTTGACATTAGTTACAGCTTTGTTACTTTATTTGGCCAATGAGATGTGGACTAAAGTTGTGTAAAATGCTTCTAGGTCTGGTGCTCTCTTTCCCACTAAAGTGAAGGTGGACAGTATACTCCACTGTGGCCATTTCCTCGGCCTGAATGACAGGAGAAGATAGAGCAGAGCAAAATCAGCAGGTGGCACAATGGACATGTATCATGAGTTGGGAATAAGTGTTGCTTTGAGCTGCTGAGATGTTGAGTTGATTGATTACCAAAGTATAATGTAGAGACCATCGCAAATAATACACTTTCTTCTCTCCTTTGAATATCAGTTAGACATCATTCCATTGTTTTTTGTTTTTGTTTTGTTGTTTGTTGTTTGTTTTTCCTTTTACATTATCTAACCAGAGTAACTAACCAAAATTTTCTTGCAGCTTGCCCCTCTGGTTAGCTGCATATTGAGTAAACATTTCCCAATGCCTGACTTCCTTCACCCAGCTCAAAGTGGTGATCAATATGTAGCCTAGACTCCCGACCAAACATCATGAAACAAGAAGGAAAATCAATAACTGCATTCCTAGTGCCATCAGAGGCACACAATGGTAATTCTGCATCTTGTTTTCAGTGTAGTTTCTACAGCATATTCAGCAGCATTTAATTAAACTCCCAGGTCCTTTGCAGTGTTTTCGTTTGGAGATGGCTGGGATAGTGTCGAATTTCTTTACTTTAGAGGCCTGAAATTCATACTGTGGCAGAAGTTTCTGTGAATTCTGAATTAATAATAAAATTATCATTTTCAAAGTGCCTGAGAAATGGCACATGACTCATGACCCCACATCAGAAATACTCATTCTTTACTAGTGAGGTTATTAGATATGACCCATATTTCTTCTAGACCTTGGCCATCAGTATTTAATGTCAGGGAGGTAATGCAGAGTATCCCATAAAGTTTATGACTTTGAATAAGCTTATGGGTATAAATCTTGCAGGAATCTGCCCTAAGCTGCTCAAGGCAGTGGGCACTAGTTATACTTTGGGATTGGCCTTTACATTCATACGGGTCAAATAAATCCTTTAGCTAAGATTATTTCTAAAGCTCTTTCACTCCCCACTGGACCCATGTGGCCATAATCTGCTCTCAAAACTTTTCTTCAATTGGAGTAATGCAATGCTCAGTCCATACTTTTTAACAGTGAATTCCTTCAAGAATAGCTGACACCTGGTAATGATTAAATCTTCCCTTTTGTTGCCTCCATTTGTTGCTTCCATTTGCAGGTGATAATAATCAGAAGAGATGTTTTGGGGTCAGCTCAACAAAACTAAATTAAAATATCCTCTTAAAAGTTTCACCTGGCAAGGTGCAGTGGTTCATACTTAAAATCCCAGAGCTTTAGAAGGTGGGAAGATTGCTTGAGCCCAAGAGTTCCAGACCAGCCTGGACAACATAACAAGACTCTGTCTCTACAAAATATTTTAGAAATTAGCCAAGTGTGGTGTCATGGGTTTGTAGTCCCAGCTGCATGGGAGTTTGAGGCTAAAAGATCACTTGAGCCCAGGAGTTCAAGGCTGCCATGAGCTCGCTGTGCCACTACATTCCAGGCTGGGCAACAGAGCAAGATCCTATCTCTAAAAAATTACAAAGAAAAGAATTTTACCTACCTTTGGAGTCCTCAATTTTCTTTATCACTCCCAGCAGATTAATTTAATTTTCTTACACAGGGAACAGTGGGAAAGGCCATTTCTATCTTTGTTCCTGATTTATAAGTAATTCTAGCATATCCATACAGTAAGATTATACTCTATTTGTTGACTGCCACTATCTAGAGAGTTATGTAATAGAATGTTATAACTATCCATGTCAAAATATAATCATATGTTTATGATATATTCAGTCCTTGTAATAAATGGCTAATTTTAAAGCCAGAAATTTTTTTCTTTACAAGAGAGTGAATTTGATTAATACTCTAATTATATAAATATTACCTTCTTATAAATAATGTACAGATAAACATAATGAAGAAAGATTAAATTCTAACACTTTGAGATAAAATCTATTTATATTTTGATACACGCTCTATCATGTATTTCTTCATAAATATATACAGCCTTACACACAAGTAGATTAACAGATATGAACTTTTTAAATCCATTTTATTAAAAGATAATTATTTTTGGTAATGACTGTACAAAGTTCATGGTTGTGGTTTTGAATGCTTCCTGACAGAACCTAACATTAGCATTGACAACATGTGCTAGAAATGGCATCCTCAGCAAATTCTTCTTAAACGTGGTCTTGGCTTACCCATTGGCAAGCCTTTCTTCATTTCTGCCTGTTTTCTCAGACTAACTTGTTAGCCTCCAAAGGAATTTTATAAGCCCCCAAATGTCTTTCCAATAATGATTCCTTTTTCTGCTTAACTAAATTAATTTTTTTTCCTGTAACCAAAAAATCTTACTTATAATCATTTACTTCAATCTTTCTATTGTACTTCCTAAAATTGTTTCTTATTCTGGCTTGTCGTTTCAGTGTTTGGTTAGAGAATAGGAGGAGATGGAAAGATCAGGTAAATAACTAGGACCATTTCTCTCACACATTCCATTTTTCTCCAATTCCAAAGATTTGCTATCACTAACACAGCACATAGTTTGTAGCATCCAAAAATCTATTTTAAGATCAACCCTACTAAAGAGTTCTACTCTTTTCATTCTCCAGAATACTCAAGCCAAATAACATTTCCTATTATTAAACACAAGAAAATGAGATAAGAAAAGTCATACATCGACCACACATCTTTTCAAGATACTTTATACAATGTGTTCTAATAATTTTATATCACAGGAATTATGCTGCCCTCTTTTCAATAGAGAATATCAAACAGGGGGAAATGATTGCTGAGATTCATGGGTAAATGACAAAGTCAATGTAACCTAGAGTCTCTGACCCTAATTTAATGTAATTTAAACTGTATTATCTTCCCCCCTAAATTTTCAAATATATTTAATCTTATATTTTCTTATAGGGTGCAAGTGAAAATTAAAGATAGTGTGTGTAAATATATGAAACGTGAAAACCTTAATAGTCATTTTCTAATTCCTTGTTAATACAATTATCAGTATATCTTATAGGACTAACTTTAACTTTGGGGTTACTTGTATGCTCTAAAAGGGTCAAGGAATCTGAGATCAAAGTGAATGGGGATCAAGACTGGCTCCAGAGTTTGTCCTTTGAAAACTATTACAAATTTCAAGACAGTGATATCAGAGCATTCAACCAAGTGTGAGATCTTTCAAAGCATAAAGACCTAGACTTGTGACTGCACAGGTCATACCCTCATGAAGCTGGCCTGGACTTATATATTTAATTCTAAATACTCCAAGTGGGGTTCATGACTGTATAAATGGAAAATATGTCACAAATTGATAATTAGTAAATTTCAAGGATAGGCTGGGTCATGATACTGGCCTCTCTACCTTGTATATCACTGGAAATTTTTGGAGCAAAATGTTAAAAATAATTTTTAAAATATTGAACAAAGAAACATTCAGGTAGATGGAGAAATACCTTAATGTATACATAAACAAAACAGAAACGTATATGACAAAATATGATAAATATGAAAGACAGATTTGAAAGATCTGACATTCACAAAAATTATGTTTAGAGGAATAGAACACCACAAAATGTATTCAATAATACTACAGAAGAAAGCTTACCTCAAATTTCCTGAAACAAATATTTAAAACTGTGGATCAAAAGAATATCCACTCTATGAGGACAAAAAGATGCAAAATGATTGGCATCTAAATATACAGAGATGAATTTGCTGAAATATAATAAGGAATAAAAAATATGGAAATCCAAGCAGAAAAATAACTACTGAAGTAAAATAAAACTGAGAAAAAACTTAGGCTGGCCTAGATTTTCCCTTAATAAGATTTTATGAAAGAACATTATTTAAAAGTATACACAAAGTTCTAGATAAAAGAGAATATGACCCAAAAATTTCTTTCAAGTGGAAGGATTGATAACAGATAGACTTTTAATACTCCAAGAAATAATGCATATTTAAGCTTGCCTTGATTAAAAAACAAACCAACCTTTTTTTGATAATCAACTGTTATCCTCATTTAGCTGTTATCCTCAGCACATTAATGCGGGAACAGAAAACCAGACACCGCATGTTCTCATTCATAAGTGGGAGGTGAACAATGAGAATGCGTGGACACAAGGAGGGAAGCAACACACACTGGGGCCTGTGGTGGGAGGTGCGGGCTGGGGGAGAACATCAAGAAAAATAATTAATGGATGCTGGGTTTAGTATTTAGGTGACGGGTTGATAGGTGCAGCAAACCACCATGACACACCTTTATCTATGTAATATACCTCCACATCCCACACACGTACCGTGAAACTTAAAATAATATGAAAATTATCAGCATGCAAAAAATAAAAAGAAACTTAGCCAATCAAGAGATGAACAAAAGCAAAAACTCAAGAATAGAAAAACTATGGGGAAAACACTGGTTTCGAACGCTGACTTTTAAAATATGGATTAAAGGTGAGAAAATTCTAAACATTGTAGTTGCAGAAAGTAGGCAAATGAAATCTGTTTTCTAATAAAAAATCAGTATTTATAGTTTGGGTAAGCTGAGCAGCAGTGCATACAACCTCATATTGCAGAGTAGGAGTTAATACCAATGCCTGAAACTAAAATTTGTCACAGAAAAAAAATCACTTATGATAACAACTTATTATACTCAAAATGTTATGTTAGAGGTATCTTTTCAAAAGTAATATTTTTGTTTTTGAAGAAACGTGTGTCTACAATTTAATAATTGCTTCAGCTTTACTTCTATTTTTGTTGTTTCTGACATTCTATACATACATATATGTAGTATAGTATTTACATATATATAGTTGTAACCAAGCGAGTTATAGAGAAACGCCACACTTTGAGACTAATTCAGGAGTCCTTTATTAGCCAGCAACCAAGAGACGGCTAGCACTCAAAATTCTCTCGGCTCCGAAGAAGGGGCTAGATTTTCTTTTATACTTTGGTTTAGAGAGGTGAGGGGGAGCCTAGCTGTAGCAATCTTACAGAAGTAAAACAGGCAAAAAAAAGTTAAAAAGACAAATGATTACAGGAAAACAAACAGTTCCAGGTGCAGGGGCTTTAAATTCATCACAAGGTGATAGGTGCGGGGGCTCTGGGTGCTGCTATCTGCCGGACACAAACGTGGGGGCTTTAAGGTACTATCACCCAGGTGAATTCCTGGGAACTGCAGACACAGCTTGCCACAGTACCTTATCAGTTAATTGCACTCTTTGATATGCTGGGAGTCAGCTTGCACAAGTTAAGTCCTTGAGGAAGGGGGTGGGTAAGGAGCCCTTGACGTCTTGCAAATGAAGGAGCCAAAAGGGCTTTCTCAGCTAAGGGAGAGTCTATTCATATTAAAACAAGGTAAGGTATCACTATATGTGTATATTTATTTATTTGAGACAGGGTCTTGCTCTGTTGCCCAGGATGGAGTGCAGTGGTTCAATCACAGCTCACCACAGCCTTCACCTCTGAGGTTCAAGCCATCCTCCCACCTCAGCCACCTGAGTAGCTGGGACCACAGGTGTGCACCACCGTGCCCAGTTAGTTTTTTAATTTTTTTGCAGAGACAGAGTGTCGTTATGTTTCCCAAGCTGGCCTCGAACTACTTTGCTCAGTCAATCTAACTGCCTTAGCCTACCAAAGTTCTGGGATTACAGGGGTGACCCAACATGCCCCACCTTATTTTTCATATTTCAGTTGCAATGGGAATATTGAGAAATATTCCATTTAAGAGCAATGGTTTCTGTCTAACTTTCTACCTCTCCACCTTTCTGTCATTGTAACAATCCTTCTATCTGCATATATATAGAGCGTTAATTGTGGTGATATTCTGCAAATGTTGTCAAAGGCCTGTACTAGAAAGTGAGACATTGAATGGTTCTAGTTAGTTTTCAGTTGATTGTTGGAAGACTTGCTGATTGTTTTTAAATATTCACCTATTATTTAATTTTTTTAAAAAAAATTAAAATCCAGAAATTTATAATATTTTTATTTTATGGTATGGACACATTTTGATTCACCTTGTTTTTAGTTTGAGATACTATTTTTAAAAGATAATTTGTGCAATTAAAATTTAAGTTGTACTTGATATATTGACTGAGGTTTTTTAACTTCAACTACCATTTTGTAGTTGTGTACACCTGATATTTTTTATTGCTGTTAGGCCTTAATGCAAGGATTTTACATGATTTCCAGCTCCGTCTTTCAGTTAACTTCCGTACCTCTCCTCTCTAAAGCTGACTTCCTCATACTTCATAGTCATTCACTGCTATTAATCAACTACAGTTTATTATAAGTTGGGAGTGTTCTGATTGTCATTTGAGCCTTTGATTTAACTCTTTCCATATACAAAACTAGGCCTAGGTTTTCAGTTATGTATTGGAATTTGCTGCTTTTTCTAACCAAGACAAACATTTTTAACTCTAGAATGTACAGAATAGTCAATCCCTCATTCACAATAAAAATGTAATTAGATATTATTGCAGATATTTAGAAATATAACACCTATATTATCAAATCTGTTGTTGACTGAGAAAGTAAAATCTTCAATTTATTCACTAGCATTATTATTCTTGAGGATATCTTCTCACGAAATATAATTATTAGACGTGTTAATAAAAAACTCTGTCAAAAATCGCTATTACTTTTCCCTTAAACTCATATTTTATCACTTATCTTCTATTTGCAATATCCAGGAAATACATTCCATTAAATATTTTAAAATATGTTCAGAGTGTGTGTAGTGTAGCATACTAAAAACAGCACAAACTAAAAGCTGGGGAAGGCGTTTCCACTTTCTAGTTTAATGGAGTTAACAAAAGAAATGTTTTGGCTGTGTCCTCACCCAAATCTTATCTTGAATTTTAATCCCCATAAACCGCACGTGTCATGGGAGGGTCCCGGTGGGAAGTGATTCGATCATGGGGGTAGTTTCTCCCATGCTGTTCCTGTGATAGTGAGTGAGTTCTCACAACATCTGATGGTTTTTTAAGTGTTTGGCAAGTTCTTCCTTCATTCATTCTCTCTTCATGCATTTTCTTGTGAAGATAGCGTCTGCCTCCGCCTCACCTTCAGCCATGATTGTAAGTTTCCTGAGGCCTCACCAGCCATATGGAACTGTAAGTCAATTAAACCTCTTTCCTTTGTAAATTACCCATTCTTGGTCAATTCTTATAGCGGTGGGAAAATGGAGTAACACACCAAATTGCTTAACTGAAATTTAAGTAAGTGTTCACTTAGTGGTAAGTACAATATTTTGGGGAAGGGTGTCCTTTTGTGTTTAAATTCCCCTTCAAACCTGCCTCATATATCTGCTCTCCTGGCCTGCTCACTGGCTGTTCTGATCATCTCCTGATCATCAGATATACAGAATTTCATATCTAGGTCCCTTGTTATTCTGAATACTTATTATTACTATATAGCTATATAGCTCCTGGCTCTTTTTCTGCTCTAGCTTGAAACACCCACACGTGATTTTATTTCTATTTCCAATGTATAGACACTTATTCCTGGTGCATTTATAAATTTTGTGCACTCTGAGCACACTTTATAATTTGTATTGTGGTCACTGTCCTAGTTTGTTTTCTGTTGTTTATAACATACCTTAAACTGAAAAATTTATAAAGGAAAGGAATTTATTTCTTACAGTAATGGAGGCTGAGAAGTCCAAGGTTGAGTGACCACATCTGGTGAGAACCTCCTTGCTGACAGACACTCTCTGCAGAGTTCTGAGCTGGTGCAGGGCATCATGTGATAGAGTTGAGCATGCTAGCTCAGGTCTGTCTTCCTCTTCTTGGAAATCCATCATTCTCACTCTTCTGATAACCCATTAATCCATTAATACAGGAACGAAATAATACATTCATGAGGACAAGAGCTCACATAACCTAATCACTTCTATTTTATTTTATTTTTATTTTTTGAGATGGAGTCTCACTCTGTCCCCCAGGCTGGAGTGCAGTGGCACGATCTCAGCTCACTGCAACCTGTGCCCCCGACCCCAGGGTTCAAGTGATTCTCCTGCCTCAGCCTCCTGATTAGCTGGGATTACTGGCACCTGCCACCGCTCCTGGCTAATTTTTGTATTTTTAGTAGAGATGGGGTTTCACCATCTTGGCCAGGCTGGTCTTGAACTCCTGACCTTGTGATCCACCCGCTTTGGCCTCCCAAAGTGCTGGGATTACAGGTGTGAGCCACTGCACCCGTCCCCAGTCACTTCTTAAATGCTCTGGCCTCTCAATACTGCCATGTTGAAGATTAAATTTCAATATGAGTTTTAGAGGAGACAAAAATTCAAACCATAGCAGTCATGGTTTGAACATAGCAGTCAAGATTTATGTTCTCAGTTACCCCTGTCAGCTGTATCAGTAATGGTCAGTGGAGAAGTCTCTCAGGAAGAAAACATAAATATTAATTATTACATTGTAATATTGGAAGAAGAGTTTTCTCTCCTTTTTATCCTGTTATACCTCCTTAACTGATGTTGATATTTAATATAAATTCTCTATATTTGATATATGAAAATGAATTAAACATGTATTAAATCAAAGGAGGCCAGTAGATCATACACAGGAGATACTGCAAAGGCTTTAGTTTCCATAAATATTCAGGAGATCAAAATGAGAACAAGTCAATCTGAGGCTATTTTGCTGATGAGAGACCACCTTGACTCCTTCACGGAGACAAAGGTGTGCTAGGTCATGTGAAGTCCCTTTCCAGTGGTTCTCAGAGCATTGAACTGAGAGAAATGAAAGAATCCCAATCCAAGGGCTCTACCAGGAATGAATTATTCATTGTAAATACTGATTAATTTATAGTTATTATAAATCAGAGGTACTTGTCCTCATAGTAAGAGTTGATTGGTGTGATGATCTGCAAGATGAAGTTCTAAATCATATGGTTAATAATTGTCCTTGGTTAAATGAAGATTAATTTTGATCAGGTAAAGGAAGTAAATATGATTAGAAGCAAACTCACAAAACAGTAATCAGACCTTATTTTTAAAGAGACACAAGAAAGTTTTTGGAGCATTGAGACTAAATTCAACTGGCTATGTTCATTCAGATATTACTACTGAATATAAATGAGATTGTCTATGTTTTTGAAAGTTGCAACAGGAGCATGTATTGTATTTTTATAAATAATTGTAACGGGCAGCTTATTTTACAAAACATAATAATTGGTCCAATTATTCCAACCGAGACTTAATGAAACACTAGATTTTCATGCAATATTAGGTGAAATAATTTATATGCAAAAGTCAATGTGGTATAACTAGCTAACGCAAAATGATCAGAAAAGGGAAGGAGACACTTATTGTGGCTATGGATGGTTTTTCACAGCTAAATACTGGATCTTCCACTGGGCTGGAAGATGCTGCATAAATCTTTTTCTGGCAAGGCAATACGAAACCCTTCAGAGGTTGACCCCACCTACGTCCAGATTGTCAGCTTGATACCTAGGATGAAATCCCACCATAACCAAACTAGCCATGTGTTGGGCTTCATAAAGGAGGAAAGAGACTCTGAAATTAAATAATTGCCATAATTAGCTGGCTGATACTAAGTCACTGAGAGATTAATCTTGGGATTTATTGATTTTTGAGGGTGCCTGATAAAGGGGAACTGGAATGTAAGACTAGATAAGAGAGAATGTATTGACTTGAGAGTGTTTCCTTGGGATATATAATTTAACATCTAGTAAGAATTCCGGAGAATATGACAAACTTGCTGCTAAGTGTAATTATTAGAAATGTGATTTTAAAATATCTAAATCTCTCCCAAGTGGGAATGCCTCAGTTGCCATGGCAGATGGTGGAGAAAGAAGTGAGGAGGCTGAGAGAGATGGGCATGCTGGATTGGATGTATTATGTAAGTCCTAAAGTGCCACCAGAAGATTAGTTTCCATGGAAAGTCTCAGAGGATACTTAATTCACAAAGACCATCAGAAGTGAGGGTGGGCGGTGACAGTATCACTAAATTATTTGATGTCAACCCTGAAGACCATGGATGATAGAAAACGAGGCTGTAACAGAGCCAGGTTCATTTATATCTATTAGGTTGAAGTGGATCCCTTCATGCCCATTAATAATAAAGGCCTGTGGTGGCCCTTACTGCTGGCATCCAAGAGACTGGAATTTCCATGATGACTGCCAAGGTTAGAAATGGGGCCAAATGAATTTGACCAATATCATTGTCCCTAGAGGCAAAATAGTTGAACAGGCAACAAATGTGCTACTTAACATCTATAACAACAATGACAAAACGATTAGAGAATCAGGAATCTGAAGGTAATTGCCTAACTAAAAAGCCACGACTCTGTTCAGATCACAGACCTGAGATGATATTTAGAACCCGAACCCACTTATCAAAAGTAGGAATGAGTCTCTGGAACACAGGGCTCTGTAACACCAATGCAAGAATATATTGTGACAAGTCTCAATTTCTTTTCCAAAAGGACTTATAACCATTTACTTGGCTGATGGTACACTGAGACAAAGAGAATACACAGACATTTCAAGGACTCTTAGACACATTACAAAAGGATATTGATACCCCAGGACTCATATTATTATCTCAGCCCTGTGTTGCATTGGGGCTCACTGGGACTAGGTAATAATAGAGTCCTGGCAAAAGTCAGTCTCACAATGGGTCTGAGTATCCACCCAGTGATCCTGTTCCCAGTTTCCATCTACATGTTTGGAAATATGTTTGGTAACTGGAGTAACTGCCACATTGGATCTCTGATCTGTTGTGGAAAGGCTATCATGATGGGGAAGATTAAAAAGAAGCCTATAAAACTGCCTCCTCTTTCCACCCCACAACCAAGATAGTAAATCAAAAGCAGTATCGTATTCTTGTTGGGGAAGGGAGTGGAGGAGATAAGTGCCAATATTAAAGAAATAAAGGATACAGGTGTGGTTGTCTATAATTTATCTCCATTTAATATGTCAGTTTAGCTACTGTAAGCCAAATGGAGTCTGAAGAATGACTATAGCCTATAGAAGACCTAACAGGGCAGGAGTTCGGACTACACAGGCTATGCAAGACATTGTGTCATTTCTTAATGAATATTTATAGCATACAGACTTTGAGTTGATGAATGTGCTCTTTTCCATTTCAAATATAAGAGGACCAGAAGTCATTTGTATTTAACATGGAAGGGACAACAGTATTTATTTATAGTTTTGCCTCAAAACTATGTTAAGTGTTCTACCCTCTGTCATAATATAATCAAGCAGAACTGGACAACCTGAACATTTCACAGAACATAACACTGATTCATTACATCAATAGCATGAGCTTTTTACATAAGACAAACAAGAGATGGTTAGTATGTTAAAAGTCTTGGTGAAATACATGCACCTCAGAAGATAAGAGATAAACTCTACGAAGACTCAGGGACTAGACACTTTAGTGATGTTTTTAGGAGTCAAGACAACGCTAGAATACCTCATGCAGTGAGAAATAAAAATTATTGCAACTTACATTCCCTACCACAAGGAAAGAAACACGGAACCTCTTACCCACTGGATTAGAGGTATCATATTTCCCACATAAGGTCACCACTTCGACTTATATACTGGAATTACATGGAAAGCTGACAATTTTGAGTGTGCCTTCTAGTAGGAAGGGATTTTTTTTGCAGAAATCCCAGGTCATTGTGTTTCCATTTCTGCTGTCTGGACCATACAATCCAGCAGACCATGTCACAGTAGAGGTGACAGTAAGGATAAAAGAGGGAATGATGGGGTTATTGACAAGCTCGTGAAAGAATATGAGTGCATGTCTTTAAAATTCTGGAGCAGGTTTATGCCATCTGCAACAATTACACACCTTTTAAGAAACAGCTTTTGGCATGTTACTGAGGCCCGATATTTGTCCATAGGATTCCAAGTAACTATGTCTGGAACTTCTCACTGTGAGCTAGATTCTTTCAGGCCTATCAACTCCTAAAGTCATATGAACCCAGTAGCAGTCCATAGTAAGATAGCAATGTTACATGTAGCCTCAAACCTAAGCAAGACCAGAAAGTATGAGTGAGCTGCATTAGCAGGTTTCTCAGACCCCTATGTCACTTATCACCATTGCATGCATACTACTGCCTGGGCATATGTTGTATAGGAAGGCCTATATAACCACCTGAAAGATGAGGAACAGTCTAAGTAGGGTTTATAGGCAAGTTAGCTCAGAACATGGGTGCATCGTGAAGAGGGACAACAACTGCATTACAGCTACATTTGGGAGCAGACTTGAAAGAGAGTGGAAAAGAAAAATATTTCTAATGAGTCGAACTGTAAGTTTTGCACCTGTTCATCCTTGTATATGTCAGAAGAAATGGCCCATGTTGAGCTTATATACAGACCTGTGGACAGGAAAGAACTAGAAAGTTAAAGATAAGGGTATCTAGGTTAGATCCTGTTAATATACCTATGGCAGAGGATAAAGTTTTTTATGTCACATGTTAACTCATACAAGAAAACATCCACTGTGAACAAGTCACTTAACAACCAAGTAGACAAAATGACTCAGTGAATACACCTAAGCTGATCTTCATCATCAGTCACTGCAGAATTGGTACAACAGGCATATGAACGGAATGGTCATGCTGTCAGAAAGGGAGGCTATTTATGGGTCTGACATCACAGACTTACCAAGGCTGATGTAGCTACTACTATTTCTGAATAACCAACTTCCCAGCAACAGACCTACATTGAGCTCTTAACGTAGCATTATTTCTCAAAGATCTCAACTACTTACTTGGTGGTAAGTAGATACCTCATTCCCTTTCTATAATAGGTCACTTGGCTTGTCCTTAAAGGGGGAAGATTTCAGGTGGGATTTGCTTTTTCTACACACAGACTATCTGTAAGAGTCCTACTATCCTAGGGCTTTAAGAAGACCTGATGCACAGACAATCCTGAGAAATATGACATCTGACTAGGGGACCTGTTTAACACTGAAGAAGACATGAGGGGTAGGTGTATGACCCATAGTACCCACAGGTCATATTAGTACTATACCATCCCAAAGAAGTCAACCATATAGAACACCAGAATGGCTTTCTAAAGGTGCACATAAAGCATCAGCTCAGAGAAAACTCTGACATGATGAAGTGCTGTTCTTTGGGGCACACTATATTTCATAAGGAGGAGATTACTATGTGGTACTGAGTCTCCCATAGGAAGGACAAATGCATGAAACTGGGAACAAAGGGTTGGAAAAAGTAGTGACTCCCTTACCATCTACTCCATTGGAAGAAGCCCCAGTGACTCACCAGGGAATATTTTTTCCCCATCTTCTTTATGGGTTCTGCAGAACTGGAGGTCCTCCTCAACAGTGATTCATTCTTGCTAGGTGGCCCAATAATGGGCCCACTATGTCTGCCAGAGCACTTTGAATTCTGTGTACCACCGGGGAGAAGAGGAATCACCATACTGGCAAGGAGGAGGAAGGGCATTTTTAAAGAGTGGGAAGAGGGAAGAGCATTTGTGAAACCCAGGAGATCCTGCTTACCAATCCCATGCTTCATTGTAAGTGTAAATGAGCATGGGCAGGTACTACACACTGAGGAGTGTATGATAATAAAAGATTACAGCTTCCTCAATGAAATTGAGATAGGCCACCAAAACATGCCAAAGTAGTAGCTGATGATAAGGGAAATTTAGAGTGGAACTTTAGATTAGCTAGTGGAGAAAGGAGAGAGAGAAGCCTCAATATCAATTGTATTGATGAAAGTGTAGTTTATTCCACTAAGTTTCTTCTTTCAAATTTTACCTGATGAAAAATGCACAGGACCACAATGTTGCTGCCACAAATCCTTTTTGGATAAGTAGATCTGTGTGGCAAAGTGGGTGAACTGGGTTGACCAGTGTGTAACCAGTGTGAATGTACCTTATAGATCTCTGATTTTAGGGAGCTTAATTAACCAAGGGCCCCAAGTGCTGAACTACACGATGTATTATTGTACATCCCCATGGGCTAGCCAATGCAGTATGGCAGAAATAGTAAGCGTTACGATTTTTGGAAAATATTGGACTTATCTGATGGCCTGTCTGAATCTTCCCTAGGCTACAAGATATTCCAAGATCCTTTCACACAAACTTTATCCCATTCTCCACACTCAGGGTCAAACACAAGTCAAGGTCTGATGCTTCTTTCAGTCTAACCTGGCCTCACACACATTTCTTTTATAGAAGTTTTTCCAAATATGATTCTTACATGTTTAATATTGTTTTGCTATTTGCTTCTCAGAAAACAGTTGTAATTTTGTCTTGAGTTTTCCTAGACTTTGCCTCTCATGTATTTTGAAGTTCTGTTACTAGGTGAATAAGCATTTAGGATTTTTGGTCCTTTTAATAATTGACACAACATTATGAAAATGTCCCTTTTTATCCTAGGTAACAATACTTGCTTGAAATCTACTTTGACCAGATTTCTCTTCATTACTATGTCTATATTCATTATTTTATTTATAATATATTTTTGTCTTTATATTTAGAGTGGGCTGCTTGGAGAAAGCATATAATTGGGTCTTTTTAATTCGATATGACCATTGATTATTTTTATTTAAGTACTTAGAGCATATATATAAAATGAGTATTGACATAGATTGAAACTACCATCTCTGTATTTTCTTTCTCTATTTGTTTCATCTGCAATTTTTCCCCTTTTCCTCTCTTTTCTGCCTTCTTTTTGAATATTTTTAAGTCATTCCCTTTCATTGCTTTTATGGGAATATTTATAAAGATATTTTGTTTGCCCTTTTTCATTGTTGCATTAGGTGATAGCTTAAAAACTTATTGAAGCCTTACTTAAAACAATATTATATCACTCAGTGTATAATATAAAAACCCTCTAATACTGTAATTCCATTTTCCTTCACCTGGTCTTCTGCTATGGTTATCACATATTTCACTTCTTTAAATTTATGTTACAAATCGCATAATACATTATTATTTTGTTTTTAAATAACTTATTATAATTTAAAGATATTTTTAAACTAGGAAAAGTATTTTATGTTTATAGGTATATTTGGCATTCCTGGTGCTTTGCATTCCGTTCTGTGAATCTAGATTTCCATCTAGTGTCATTTTCTTCTGCTGAAGAACTTTTTAAATTTTATTTTATTTTTTTAAGGGATCAGAGTCTTGCTTTGTCACTCAATCTGACATTCAGTGGCACGATCATGGCTCACTATAACCTCAAACTCCTGGGCTCAAGGATCCTCCCACCTCAGACTCCCAAGTAGCTGCTCTACAGGTATGTGCCACTTCCTGACTACTTTAAAAAAAATTAGATATGGGGTCTTGCTATGTTGCTCAGGTTGATCTCAAACTACTGGGCTCAAGCAAGCTTCTGATCTCAGCCTCCTGGGTAGCTGGGGTTACAGGTATGAGCCACCTTGTCATACTACTGCTAAAAGAAATTCTTTAAACATTTCTTGTAGGATAGGTCTGCTGCTGATGAATTATTTTATATTTTTATAACTTAAATAATCTTTATTTTGCATTCATTTTTAAAGACATTTTCACTGGATACAGAATTCTAGGTTACAGGGTTTTTTTATTTTTCCCAGTATTTTGAAATAATACTCCACTCTCTTCTCACTAAAAAAATTTAAGTCAGCTGCTATTGTTATATTATACTCTGTGTATAATGTGTCATTTTCTTTCTGAATCCTTTTAAGATTTTACTCTTTATTATTATATGATACAATCCAATTATTATGCACATTGCTGTGTTATCATTATATCTCTTATGCTTAGGTATTTTTGAAATTCTTGTATCTGTGGGGTTAGTTTTCAGCAAATATGAAAAATAATATATATCTTATTTTCTAAATGATTTTTCTGTCCCCCTTCTTTGGTGGTTATACTTACACTTGCATTCATCTTCTTGATATTTTCCCAGAGATCACTGTTGGTCTGTTATTTGTTTTCCATCTTTATTCTCACTATCTTTCAGGTTGGATAGTTTATAGTAGTCTGTATACAAGTTCATTGGTGATCATTTCTTCTACAACATTTAAACTTCTTTTAATCACATTTTATTTTAGACTTTTTTATATCTAGAAGCTCAATTTGTGTCTCTTTTATGTCTTCTATACATTTTTAAATATGTTTATGGGAAGATCTATTTTTTAAACACATGGAATATACTTATAATAATCCTGTTAATGCCCTTGTCAATAAATCTTACCATATGCTTCAGTTTTGCACCTGCTTCTATTGGTTGATTTTTCTCTGCCATATAGGTCATACTTCCCTACTTACTTGTTTCTCTGATATAGTCTTTAAAGTTTCCAAGGCATCATTATGCTTATTCACAACTTCTTAAAATCATAGAAGTGATATATGCTCATGGTAAAATAAAATTCATAAATGCACAAAGCAAAAAGTCAAAGGCTTCTCGAATGTATAAAAAAAGACTTTCTAAAAGAACAAAAAAATTAAGAATTTATTTATTTTTCCTCCACGGTATATCATGGAAATATTTCTGGTAGCATGTTTTTATTATATTTAGCTGTTGTAAATAATTTTATTACAAAGCAAAGTGCATATGAGCAGATATATGTTTTGAAGAAAAAGAGGCCAGAGTTCCCTCTCATTGGGTGTCTGGGCACTTATAATATTTACCAGTTACTCAGAGACTTTTCATTCTACTTAACTTAGGGGATGAGAAGGCAAATTACCCAGCATTAGTCTCTGCAAGAAGGGGAGGTTAAAGCATATAACTTTAATGATCTGGCAAGTCATCACCCTGAAGATTATCTTCTCTCTCCCCATGCAAAAGTGACCACTGTCCTGACTCCTAATATCATAGTTTAGTTGCTATTTTTAAAACTTTATATAAATAGAATGGCACATTATTTACTCATCAGCTTCTGGCTTCTTTTACTGAGTATTTGTTGAGTGTTTCATGTGTGTGGCTTGTATGTACTAGTTGTCTTCCATGCAATGATGTTTTATTATTATATTTTCAAAATATATATATCCACTCTTCTGTTGAAGAATATTTGGTTTATTTCTTATTTTTGGCTGTTGCTTATAATGCTGCTAGAAACATTCTTATAACTCTTTTGATGCATATATATATATATATATATATATATATATATATATATATATGGTTCATTCCCATGATTAATATTATTGCACCATAATATTTTTCCAAAGTAGCTTTATCTGTTTACTCAGTAGTTTGAGATGGTCTTAGTTGTTCTGCATCCTTACTGACACTGAGTATGGTCAATATTTTAAACTTTATATTATTATTGAGCATGCATGTTTTTTTCTGATAACTATTGAGGTTGAGCATTGTTTCTGAAGTTTATTAGCCATTTGAATATTTTATTTGAAGGGCATGTTTATGTCACTGGACCATTTTAAATTAACAGTTAACCCTTAAATAATGCAGGGTTATGGGCACCAATCTCCCATGAGGTTGAAAATCTGTGTATAACTTTTGACTCTCCAAAACCTTAACTACTAATAGCTTATCAATAACATTAACAGTTGATTAACACCTATTTTGTATGTTATAAATGTTATATACCGTATTCTTATAATAAAGTATGCCAGAGAAAAGAAAATGTTATTAAGAAAATCATCAAAAGACAAAATATATTTACTATATATTAAGTGGAAATGAATCATCGTTCCTTTGTTTGATGAAACACAAATGTTTTCATCCTCGTCATCTTCAGTTTGAGTAGGCTAAGAAAGAGGGGGAAGAGAAGGAGGAGGAGGTGGTCTTGTTTTCTCAGTAGTGGCAGAGTTTGAAGAGGTAGAGGAGGTGGAAGGGGAGGCAGGAGAGGCAGGCACACTCAGTGCAACTGTTGTCAAAAGTCTGCCTGTAAGTAGAACCACACATTTCAAACCTGTGTTGTTCAACAGCCAAGTGTGTTTACATAGTCTAGAAAAATCCTTGGTTAATATTATGTTTTAAAAATATTTTATTTTATCCTTTTCCTCTGTCTCTATTCTCTCTCAATGGTGTTTTTCCTGAATAAAGTTCTTAATATTAGTGTAGTTTAATTTGTCCACATTGTACTTGTTAAAATTATTTACTTATAGATAATGTTTTTGTTTCTTCTACAATACTTACTTTATACCAATATTTAAATTTCTTATCCATCTGTAATTGATTTATATATATAGCATGACTTTCAGAACATGACTCGTTTTTTCATTATTGATTTTCTTTTGACTAGAATTTTATAATGTATGAGATTTCAGCATGTTTCTGGCCACAGGGAAAGGCTGGAAGACACCAAATAAAACTGTATAATAATACTTTCCTACTAGAAAAAAATATTTTTGGAATATAGGTGCAAACATTAGCAATAAAGAGGAAAAACATAACATTTCAGATCTCACTCAGCTAATAAAACAGAAACAGAATCTGTAAGACCAGGCAGAATACAACCGTATATAAACAATATATTACCTGTTTTCATATAGTAACTCTCTAATATCGCTATTCAAATACCGTAAAGTTAATTTCACAAAAATATCCACTTAGAATATTCCTTACAAAGTTCAATGCTGTGGTCTCATAGATGAAACCACAAATGACAACAAATAAAACCACAAATGAACAAAGTGTTAGAAGAACTACTATAAAATACGAGATCAGATGGAATTTAAAAGCTTCCTAAGACTAATTTCTATATGAAATAGCATCGGTCAAATTAATTTGAGAGTGTCTTTGTTGCGTTGAGAAACCTTAACATATTTAATATGAAATATTAAAATACAGAGAAAATAAGATTGCAGGTGTTCATGTACCATGATCCAGATATAAAAGGCTCTTCTTTAAATATTTTAATTGAAATATAATTTTAACTACTTTTTTGTTTTTGTCAGGTTGCTAATTTACAAATAGTCATTTACTTGTCACTGCAATAGTACACATTACAGGTAGGTTGCATTTAGACTTATGAACAATGCCCTTAATAAAATGACATTATTGGTCTCCAATAAATGGAAGTAATCTGAAATAGACTTAAACCTGTAAAAATGATAATCATGGATTGATACTAAATGAACAGTGGACTATGTGATAAATGGTGGGATCAATAAGAAGGGTTTAATATTAACATTATATCCACTTTCAAAGGCATAAATTGAGGTTATACAGAGAGTTTAATTTGCACAGTTTAGTGCATTCTAAGAAATTCAGAGGTTTTTATTATGGCATTTCTGAATATGCATTTCACGAAATTATTGTTGCATTCGGAAGGATCGCTCCATCCAGACACTCCTCATTATCTCACACCGTGCTTTACTCTACCTAAATAAAGCATTAGCCTGAAGGAGGTGGGGAGGTGGGTAATAGTTCACTCTCCCAACAGAGCCATTCATTATATAAAAACACAACTACTGGACAGAACAATTATTTACTAGGTGAATAATTAAATTGGAATTTCAAAAATATTGATTTGTGAGAAGAGAGATTTAGAGAGAAGAGAAAAATAACAAGAAAGAAGGCAAGTAGCAGGCATTAATAATAAAGATCAAGGCAATGCTTGGGTAAAACAACAAAGTAACATCCTAAAACAATAATTTTACCCTCTATGGTTGATTATACATATAAAGCTAGTTATGATAGCTTTGTTTATAGGCTGTAGGCTTTGGAGCACCATAAATCCTTAGCAATTTCATTCCGGGTGTCTTTTCTTTCTTCTGCCCTTCTAAATCATTATATATTCACCTAATTTATATGTATTAAAATAAAGTATATAATGGCTAAATTATTCTAGCATTGCTTCAAAGAACTTCCAGAATAATATACTTGTTTTAGAGAAGAGATTAATAAGTTCTTTACGTTAAACAATGTCCCTAAGAGATCTCAGGTTTTGCTGCCATTTTAAACATGCATATATATTACATTTTATATTTTATTGCATTTTGAATAAAGTTAGTATTGAAATTACATATATAAGATATGTTTTGGCATTCAGAAATTTTCAAAGTCTAGAAAGAGGACATGATGAATACACAGTATATACTGTACACTTTGTAACAAGTCCAGTGTGTTAGGTACTGCAGCTTGTAATAAAAATCCTTAATATTTCTACAAGAAAATGTTTAAATATTCCAACCAAGTAAAATACATACATACCACAATAAACCTTTATTTCTTCAGGTCAAGATTTGAAACTAAATGAGATCAGGTCAGATACATTTTGCTTCCAAATGAGATACAAAACTATTCTTAGACTTTCTATTTAGACTTTCTAAAATAGAATACCTTGTGCCAAAACAAACAAGCTTATCTTTGGGCAAATCTGAGCCTAATGTTTTTACTTATTTCTAAATATAAATTCTCCTATTTATTATGTAATCATGTTCACTCGACTTCTTTGAACTTGTTTTCTGGTCTATTTTAGTTATCTGGTGAGTTTGATCCTCCTCCATGGAATGTTATTCATGCAACTAGATCTCCCTAAAAAAATAACAATACAGATAGTACACCATCTCTAATAACAATGAAAAATAAGCTTAGCTTTCATTAAGTTATTATTCATTAAGATATTCAAGTACTTTTGAATCAGTGCTTATTGAATTCCCTATAGAAAAAAAGGAAATTTGAAAGGAAAAATTATTTATAACAAGAACAGTCAATTTGAATATGTTGTGTGTATGTGTACATGCATACATGCTTGTGTTTGTATATGTACTTGAGGGGATTGCGTGGAAATATTTTGACACTTTCAAACATGTGTTTATATAGAAAATTATGTCACTGAGTTGGCAAAGTGTGCCTTGTTCATGTTTACAGGTTGGGTTTCTCAAGGAAGCAAACTTTGAGAGGAACTTTACATACAGGAATGTGATTAGGAAGTACTCTATTGAAATTAGTACCTAGGGTAAGATTTGGATGAGGAAGTTATTTTTGGCCAAGGGCTAGTCCTAAGAGAGAAACTCATTGGAGAGCTGTCAGCTGGGGGAATAAATGCTTTTGTTCTGGAAGTCAGGATTTATTCCTTTAAGATAATAAACTTATTTTGGAGTGGGGTCAAGTTGAAAGAGGAAGAATAATAGAATCCATTGCAACCCCTGTAAAAGGAAAAAAAAAAAAAAAAACAAGCTGTTTTCTACTCTACACTCACACGACACTTATGACACAAAAATGTGTGGACTTTTTTTGTTTGTTTTTGTTTTTGTTTTTTTTGAGACAGAGTCTCGCTCTGTTGTCCAGGCTGGAGTGCAGTGGAACGATCTCAGCTCACTACAAGCTCCACCTCCTGGGTTCACGCCATTCTCCTGCCTCAGCCTCCCGAGTAGCTGGGACTACAGGCGCCCGCCACCACGCTCACCTAATTCTTTGTATTTTTTAGTAGAGATGGGGTTTCACCATGTTAGCCAGAATGGTCTTGATCTCCTGACCTCGTAATCCGCCTGCCTTGGCCTCCCAAAGTGCTGGGATTACAGGCGTGAGCCACCGCGCCTGGCCGTGTGGACTTTTTTTATATCAAGCAATTATCTAATTCTCTGCAGATCCCATCTGATTGGCCTACAATTTAATTTAATTCTGATACTACCTACCTGGTGTTAGCATGAGATACAAGTTACCAGCTCAGTCTCACAAAACCACCCTCATTTCAGATGCCAATCACAAGTCTAGGTCTCCTTTCCAACTTCTGATCCACTGGCTATACATCTGAGGTTTCCAAAACTCCCCCCAGGGTTTGATAATTTGCTAGCTTGGCTGCCAGAAATAAGAAAAACAGTAACTTACTAGATTACTGGTTAATGATAAAAGAATGTTTCATAAAAGTTATAGGAAGCCATTGTTTTGGACTAAGCTCCTGTACTCGGCCTCCACAGGCCAGACTAAAAACCAAAATGGAGTCACCTATGCTGAAGTCCCACATCACCAAACTAAAGCTAAGTTGTTATCTAACCTTTTGAGAAATCAGGAAACATAACAACCAATTTCCTAAACAGGCCAGATTCAATCTTCAGTTGGTGTAATAATGAAGTCCCTTCTACTTTAATCTTTACATGAAAAAGGTAGCCTACAGCCACCTGATGCTAACTAATTAGTTATTTTTCTAGGGTTCTCTCTCCCCGCTCCTGTCTTACGAGGAAGGTAACTTTGAAATGATCAGTCTGCTTTTTGTTTTTTTGTTTCGTCTCTCTTCAGTGCTTTCTGTCTACAAAACCAATCCTCTCTGCTCAGCTTGTTGGAATACTTAGTCAATTTCATGAAATAAAGTGCTGCCCGATTCTAGAGTCACAATAGAGGCAATTGAGATCTTTAAACTTGTGATCTGAGACAACAAACTGGATGCCCCTGTTTAAACTTAGATGGACACAAACGTTAAGGAAACAAAGTTATCTGTTGAGAGTCCAGGCCTGGCTGACAAAGCAAATTTCTAAATTTCTGGGGCTAAACACCCTAACAGTAGGCGCTCTCTGATTAGAGAGAGGGGTGGCCTTACAAATTCTTTTCTGATAAGCTACTGCAGAACTTAGGCCAGTTTCAACCAGCTTATAGAGGCTGTGCATAGATAATCTTTTTGTCCTATAGTTTACTTTTTGGAAACCACCTTTGCAAATATTGTAGTGGTAAGGGAAATCTGACATAACTGACTCCATCTTGCTTCTACCAGGGTGAATTGCTTTTGCTCCTTCTTGTGTGGAGGCCATAATAGTTCCTCCTTAAGCCAATCCCCTCCTTTATATAAAGAAAATTAAAACTGTATTTGTAAAGACTAACAAAAGGTCACAGGGTTAGAATCTTGGTAAGGGCTTGAACTTTGCTAAGCAAATACCTGCCATGGCTGAGCTTGCTTTTCTATAAGTTGCTTACTGCTCCAGAGTCACATAACCAAGGGGGCACAAGTTATAACTTCCTTAACTACTGCTGTAGATAACATCACTATTGCCAAACTTAAAGAAGTGGTCTTTGAGATATATTTCACATATGGCATTTCAGCAGACCAAGAGACATCACCTGATTCTGAGATCGTCTCCCAGGAATTGACTCAGTTGCAGGAAGACAGTGAAGACACCCATGTGATTTCATCCCCAGCCAATCAATTGTTTCAGTTCCCTAGATCCTTATTGACAGAAGTTCCCTTAGAAAACCCTAGCCTCAAAATTTTTAGGGAGGCAGATTTGAGAAATAGCTCCTTTTCTTTCCTCTGACTGCTCCTGTGATTATTAATCTCTTTCTTTGCTGCAATGCCTGCTTTTCCCAGTGCATTGGTTTTTCTGGGCACTGGGCAAGATGAACCCACTGGGCTGTGACATTTTGATGTAAAGAGCCAAATTTCACCTCATTTTAATGATAAAATCCAACTCCAAAGTAGACCTGAGATGCATGTTCTATATTGTACTTGTTTACCCAATCTGCATGCACTTGATTCCCCTCCTAAATGTGTATAGCTTTTGCCCAAAACCTGCTAAATGTGTGTGATATAGATCCTTTGAGGCATAAAATCCAACCTGTCCTTCCCCTCTTTGAAGAGAGAGAAACTTGAGTCCATACTGGAGACTTTCTCTTACCAGAGTGCAAACCAGTATTACCAGCCTAACTCTCTTTTCTACTGTTTAGCCATCCTGGTGGTCTTTCAGATGACAAACTAAATTTATTGTAATTCTGTCTTTTGACAAAGTTAAAACTCAGGAACAGCCAGATGAAAGAGACACACAGGGCAAGGTGTGAGGGAGAAGTGCATCCCCATCTCAACATCTCCAGGTATTCATCCAGGAGCTTTCCAAACTCTTTTGCTTAAGGATTTTATGAAGGTTTCAGCACAAAGACATGATTGTTAAGTCATTGGCCATTGGTAATTAAACTCAACCACTATTCCCTCTCCCTTTCTTGGAAATGTGTCTGGAGTGGGGCTGAAGTTTGGACCCTCTAATGACATGTTTAGTTTCCCTGACAATCAGCTTCTCCATCCTTGGGGAGTTTTGAAAGTTACTTTGTTAACATAAACTCAGGTATGATTGAAAGGGGACTGTTATGAATAACAAAAGATGCCCCTTTCTCCTTTATAGCTCCAGAACTATTTCAGGAACTGGGAACAAGAACCAAATATTTAACAAAAGATGCTCCGATTGCTCTTATGACATGGGAATTTACCATGGTTTTAGGAATTCTGGCCAGGAACCTGGGACCAAAAACCAATATATATATCTCTTTATATCACAGTGTTACATCTTGCTTCTGTAGCAGATTTGGGGAGGTTTAAACTGGTATTTATTATCCCTCTCCTTCTTTACACATTTTTTTTTCTTCCCCTTACCCCTGGATAACACTGTTAGCACCTGAGATAACACCACTGGATGACACCTGGCTTACCTGACTGGGTGAAATAACACTAACCCCTAAGAAATCTGAGTCCCTATATGCCACGCCTTTCTCAAGCTGTGGCTATTGGACTTGTCCATTTATAATCAAGATAGGACAAATAAGTATCAGGGGACATCTCAAAAGATCTGCTAGTTATGAAAGTCCTTCTTCCCTGCTTTCATTGTATGAAGAATTCTACTTATTCTCAATGATCAGGACTAATTATTTCCACTGAGATTTCTGACTTTTTTTCAAGTCTGCTGGTGTTCTGGCATCAGGAGTCTAGAATGACTGGACAGTATCTTACCTAACGGCTTAATGAAACTCTTGCTCTGCCCTCAGAAGCATTTTGGATCTAGGAAACAGTACCTCTAAGCCTATGGGGGTTAGAGTTATAGTGATGAGAAAGAAAAATAAGAGAGTTACTGGGATTAATGATAAGAGGTCCACTCCTGCTTTCACCCTTCTACCTATTGGTGACAAAGCCATTCTTTACTATAGTAAGCCACCAGCTTTTAGACCATATGGTATATTATGAAACCAGTAGATTGCATATCATGTGCCCACTGCCATACCTTCTTTCTTGAAGAGTAGATTTTATAGTTAATGTGATGTTTATGTAGAATCTCAAGCTGGATATATTCAAACTTTTAAGCCCTTGAATACTGCAACAGTCAAGGCCCTGGAGATAGAAAAGGCAAACTTGTGCCCAGAATTGATGTAGACTCTAGTCAGTATGAATTTCTGCCCTTTCCAGAGTGGGTGGCTAAAAAAAGTCAACTTACCATCAAGTGGCTGGTTGGTCTATTTCAGGGAAGGTGCCATATTAAGAGATAGGCATTGGTCTCTGTTGCCAGCAGGCTGGAGTCAGTAACTATGTCAGCTTTAGTGAGCGGGAGTTTATGCTGTTAAGCTCATGATTAGCTTCTGTTTCTGTTATTATAGCTGAGTTATTCTGTCTACTTAGGTATTTAGTAGCTCTTCTGTTGTGAATCCTTTCTGGTTGGCATTGAGATGACACACAAAGATTTTGACACTTTGTGTCTACTCCTATAAGTTCATGCGTATGTCATTTGTTCTGATTGTCTTGTTCCCAATCATCCAATCTTTATATTTTTAGGCTCCTAATCAACCAGTCAAACTGATTACTACTGTTTATGAGTACATATATATATTCTAACATATGGCCATTATTTCTTTTCAGACTCAAGGGTAGTACTGAGTGATCATTGGAAAATTAACCTCTGCACTATTTTTCAAGGCCACCCCTGACTGAGGCTAAGATATAGCCAGAATAAGTTTTTATTTTGCATTCATATATTGAGTTGATGGAGAAGTGCCAGGGTAATAGGTTAGTTACACAGAAGTCTGGGCCACCTGCTTGTGCAACTAACTTCTGTCCTTTGGTCTTATTTATGCCTGTTGCAAATTACATCACTTACATCTTATAATGAATTGCTGCTAGTGCCATCTGACCTTATGATATGGTGAATAGGACTAAACCTAGCTTACAAAGGGAAGTTATGGCTACAAGTTTACTTAATATTCCAGGGTTCAGTAATATTACAAGATCTATTTCTCAAGAAGTACATAAAAGTATACTGCAAGTGATATATTTTGACTTATCCCTGTACAAGTCTAGCTTATGATTCTTCTATTGAATCTTACCTTTAACAACCACCACATAGCATATTTTTCTTCAACAGACATCTATGATACAATTTTATCTGCTAGGTTATGTTTCCCATGGGACAGAACCACTTATATCTTAGCCTAGAACTGTTGTAGAGCCCTATCCTTCTCTAAACTCTACTTGAAACTAGATGCATTTTGTGTCACTGGACATAAAGTCAGAATAATATTTTAAGTGTGTGTGCTATGCTTCTTTTAAAATCTGAAAGTCCTACTGGATAGTTGGCTTACCTTTTAGTGGTGGGAAATGCAAGACACAATAATATAGCCCTTATGTTCAGGGGATGTTCTGGAATACCTCAGATCTACACTGTTGTGACAATACCCTATTCTTGGTCTATCTTGCAGTTTCTGGAGTTTATGTGCCTTACCAAAGTCTCCAATAAACTTCCCACTTCTTGCATATTAATTCAATTAACATGATGTTAATTTTGGAGCATACCAATGTGCTGCTCTTGCAGATGTTCAGCTGTTTTAGATCTCTTCGAATTATATTGTGACAGAGGACAGGAAAGTTAACATATTCTTGGGGCAAGACCATGAAACTAAATCAGGACAGACTGTAGTCTGTGTCAAGTAACAGAAAATTATTTCTGGATTTTCTTTCTAATAGTAATGAAAATAAATACATCTATCAGATCACTAGCTACATATCAAGTGTCTTATGCTGTATTAATCTGCTGTAGCAAAGGTATCACCTCTACCATACCAACTGCAATAGGAGCTGCAGATTGAGTTTGCAGTAACTCGTGATCATCTGTTAGCATTTATGTGGTTTTTTGATGGGTTATGTTTGTGGATTTAATGACACTTATTGGTCTTTAAGTTGGGCATTAATCATCACTATTTCCTCAGGATATGGAATGGTATGGTTTTGATTTAGTCTCTTTGTGAATGG
This sequence comes from Homo sapiens, assembly GCF_000001405.40. Classification (NCBI taxonomy): domain Eukaryota; kingdom Metazoa; phylum Chordata; class Mammalia; order Primates; family Hominidae; genus Homo; species Homo sapiens. The sequence continues at coordinate 171,136,205 of NC_000004.12, read as the reverse complement.
AAGGGAGGTAGTTTCAGAGACTTCCATTTATCTTCACCTATGACAGCTCATATCTTAGAGACCAAAAAACAATGGGATGTGTTGACCATTTATTGAGTATATTCACTTCAATTATACATTTGGCAATCAGAGAAATTACCATCAGGGGTTCCGTAGACCCATTGCACACTATGAACCAAACCTGATCACAGACTCTGCTTATTACCTACTTCCCGTATACATCCATTCACAAAAATTCATAAAATGTCATGAATTGTCTGGTGTCAAAGTTAATTTGGAACCTGTGTCAATAGTCCTTCAAAGATTAGGTATTTCTCTCTTTTAGGAAATGACTACCAAAATAAAAAGTCATACACATCTTTGGAAAAGATTGAGAACTTGATGTGAAATATCCTTACATGATGTTATGTGATCCCTGTATTTTGGGACCAAGTTTCTTACATTCAATAGGTTCCAGGTCTGAAAACTAGCTCACATGCAGAAATTGGCAAAAGAATAAGTGTTGATTTGAAGAGATTGCCTCCTGATTATTCATTCTTTAGTTCTTTTGAACCATATTCTTGTCAGCTTCTCATCTATTTTGCTCTTAGGGATGCTATTCTATTAACAATAGCTTCTGTTCTTTACAGGTAGTGATGCCCTGTTTGAAACTCTGAACTTTGCAAGCTTATCATAATAGTTTTGCCTTCTTTCTACTTCTGAGTTAAGACAATTTGGATTTTATTACTTCAGGATCTTGCTAATTCCATTGCCATCAGAGGTGCTATAATGATACATCTTACTGTCAGCTGTGAACTATAGAACACATTTTCCACTGATGTCTTTAGAGTTCAGATTACCAGCACATTTATTATTGCCTTAATAAATAAGGTGTCTTTGTGGACCACTCATGCATCATATTTATCTGGTGAGTTTTCTTATTGTATGTAGTATATCTACTTTAGCATATCCACTTTCAGACTTCCCATTAGGTTGGTGTGCATGTATATAAAAAAATAGATGACAAAAAGCAATCCAGGATATAAGCATCTAACTATATGGCAAAAACTGCATTGCTTTTAGTGGCAAAAACCACAATTACTTTTGCATCAACTTAATATTTCATCCTTTAACATCTCTCCTGATAAATTTGGTATTTCTGCATCATATACTATGGGCTGGAAAATTCTCCAAGCTTATAATAGTCATTCTAACATATTTTTAAGTGCAGTCTTCTAGATTTTCTTGCTAGGTTGGATGTTAAATTCTATATTACAGAAGGTTTTTATATTGATAAACTCTCCTTTGCCAAACTTTATGTGATGCCTCTCCAGTCCCATATACACTTTTCTGCCTCCTGGTAAAGTATTTTGGCAAGATAACACAGATTTATTAGGATATAGCCTTTTTTCTCTTGGCAAACCCAGAGTTTACCAGAATGTGTTATATTATGACCTAATCTTTGTCATTGATATGGTAGACAAGAAGAATTGTATGAAATGCTAGGAGAAAAACACCATTGTCTTGAAAGATAGAGAAATCTTTGTCATCCTCAAGGAAGGTAGGATCAGTAGCCTCTAATGGACAGGAAATCCTAAAATTTTTTTATTTCAAGGACCCAGCATTTCTATCCCATGCCTAATAATTCCATCTTTTCCTAATCTAAGTTCTCACTTTGATGTAACAGGATTGTCAGTATTGAGACTTCAACTTTCTCTGGAGTAAAACTAGCCTTACAAGCAGGTCCTGAATTTAATCTGAAGCTTTTTTCTGACCTCTGATAGCAGAAGTTGAAATTCTCTTTGTGTGTTATCAAGGAAACCTTCTGGTGTTCACTTTTTTGCTGTAAAGGGTGATTGATCACCCTCTTCCTTTTATTTTTTTTTTTCTAATTCATCATTAACAGTCTTAAGTTAGAGCTACTGGATTCTACAGTCCTTATTTTTTCCAGTATTCCTCAAATGCCTAATAAATTGCCTAATAAATTGCCACACTAAAATTTTAACAATTGGATCTGCTGCACATCCTGAAGGCTACATGTTCTCCATCTACCACAAGTGATGAGGGCTCTGTTACCAGGAAGATAATAGATGATCTAGCACGAAAACCTTTTTTTGAGTGTGGTTTCTCAAACTATTTCTAGTGCTAACTGATGGAGTTTATTTATATTCCCTGAAAATAACTCTGAGGAAGATTTGTGTGCAGCATTTGTTGGGGAGTGGTATCAGTATCAACATCAGTAGGTAAAGAAAGCAAGTTGAATTATGCAGAGAGAAAAGTTTTACTGTGATCTAGAAATGGGAGGCTTTTTAGAATAGTCTGCAATGAGTTGGTCCTGCACTCACCAGTCATGAGAATGGAACATATTCTTGGGTGAGAAATCTCTCTTCACCTGCTGGCAAATCTAAGAGAGGGACCTATGTGGAGGTAGTTGGCCAATAGCCCTCTCAGGAGACTAGGAATAAGTGCCTTACTCTTGCAAGAAGGGAAACTTGGGGAAGCATTTTTTGTGAATTTGAAGTCTGGAAACAACATGAATGCACATCAATGGGAGATGGATAAATGATATAGAGCAATAGGCAATAATATCCAACACTAAAATGAATAAGAGTAGATCTGTAGATATCAATGTGGATGGTTCCCAAAGGTCTGAAATTGAATACTAAAAGCAACACACAGAATAACACATACATGTGTCATTTGCATAAATAAAAATGCACAGAATTTTTATGTTTTTTATATGTAGAATCAATAGTTATGAAAATTAATTGACTAAAAAGATTAAAATGAAATATTGAAAGTGCTTGTCATAGAAAAGGGAAAGAGGGAAATTAATATGAAGAGAAACCCATAAAGTACTATAATTTTTTTCTGAATGTTTTTATTTCATTTATATGAAAATGTGAAGCTAGATATTGATAGTATAAAAAATTAAACTCTGATCTTCCTGATTGCAAGGTGAATGTTCTTTCTGTAACAATGTTTGGTAGCCCCTTGAAACTTTTTTTCTGAGTATTATCTGCTATATCCCAAGATGACTCGTTTGAATTGTCTCTTTAATCCTGCTGCTTCTACCTAAATTTATAATTTTATCATATTTGTTTGAGTGATGCATATTTGCTACCTGCTCCAATCCATCTTATATACATCATTATTATGTAAATTACAATAATACCCAAACACACCAGTAAAAAATTCACTACCTGCTTCAAACCCATCAATTCTTCCTCACTGTTCACTAAATTATGTACAAAACCCTGGAGACAGAAAATGTAAGAAAATAAATGATAAAAAGCAATCTAAGATATAAGCACCTAACTAAAGACCCCTGGAAGAGAAGTAAAAAAAAAGAGAGAGAGAAAAAAATTCAAACAAGTAGCATCTTAAATCTTAAATTACTGCTATTTATTCATTTTGCTTTTATAATAAATCTTCAAATATGAATAGGTAACATTCATGTATCTTGTAATTAGGGAAAACATATATTCTGCTTTGCTTGGGACAGCCCTGGTTGACTCGGTTATCCTAGCATATTTATTAATAGTATTTCTTCTTACTCTTAAAATATTTCAACTTGGATTAAAATTTATACAATCACTGTATATCATACCTTGTTTTTCCAAGCCAAATAGCTAGAGCCCTTAATTAAATGAATCTATTTTATTTAATGCCTAAACACCTCGTCCCTAGTAAAAATTATTGTGAAATATTATATTAAGCTAAAGAAACATTCTCAAGATATTTACAGGGAAAAAATGTGTATTGCAAAATAATGAGAATAAGACAGGTGTCAAAATCTCATCAGTAACAGTGAATGCTAGAAAATGTATAAGGTGTTCACAATTGACATAGAGATTTGCTTTAAGCCTAGAATTGTATTTTAATAATCAAGTGTAAGAACAGAATAAAAACATTTTCAGAGGTGTAAGAAGACAAAATTTATCTTGTCTTCTCTACATTACATTTTCAGAGAATTATTTCAGGGTATTCTCAAAAAACTGCATAAACCAAGGATTACATATGAAATTCCAGAAATATGGCTCTACAAAAAGAGAGAAGGTAGACCTCAGATCTCAGCTGGGTGACGGGATGAGAGATCAAGCATCACCGTTTGGAACATAAGTGACAAATTTTACAAAGGCTTCAATATTATATAAGGGACTCAGTAAAATAGAAAGCAAAATTGATGGCTCAGAAAATCACAGGAATATGGTATATTTTAGTCCATAGCAGATTGATCAAGAGCAGAAATAATAATATCTGATTTGAAGTTTTAGTGATGACCAATGGAAGAACTGAAACAATCATAGCTATTTTGAGGAAAAGGAGAGACTAAATATACCAGGTTTTGTAAATGTGGTAAATCTCACCTATCAAAACAGAAAATAATAGGTAAGATTGAAAGTGTATAAATCAATATCTAGAAGTACATGCATAGTAGTCAAAGATATGGAGGTAAAGACTAAAATAAATAAATCTGGTAAAATAGCTGGCTCTGGAAAACGGCATTAAAGGTAATAAAATTGGGAGAAAAATAAATGTTCATTCTAGAATTTTCTAAGCTATGTAATATCCTTTCTTGATTAAAAACATAAAGAAACAAAAACATGTGAGATTAAAGTGACAATTAAATGCCCCATATGAAAACTCATATACAATTTGGTTTTCTGGTTTCTGTAATTTCAAACTGCAATCATATAATCCAGAAATTATATCTAGTCTCAGCAGAGGAAAAACTAGACTAATCTTTATTCACACATGCATTCATTCAGGTGACAAATATATATAGACATTTTCCACATGCTAAGTATTCTACTACATTAGAATGAAAAGGTGAAGCAGACAAATAACAAAAAAAAAGCAAATTTTTTTTTCTAACTTCAAGTATTTTATACTAGCGAAGGTAGCAGATATAAGGATACTAAAGAGCATGATGATTGTTTTTGGTGTATAAATTAGAGGATGCAAAGAACACAGAAAAAACATGCAAAACTAAATTCAAGAACATGTACATTTTTCTATGGACAATTGCATTTACTCAAATATCACAGTGATATTAGAAAAATAATATGTGAATTTCTCTGCCTGTGCTATAACAATGAAAATCCAACATTATGCATATGCATACATGCACTTTTTACTCTATTCAATACTATCTATTCAGGGAGTAAAAACAAATTTTCCCTTTCATTGTAAAATAAACACATATCCTATTTAATTCACCTAGTTTTCAATTAAGAATTCTTTAAATAGTTATTCAGAAACCCAAACTGATGGAACATATTTTAGTATTATAGTATGGTACTTTAGAGAAAATTACTAAAACTAGCATGAGAATGACAAAGGCTTAGATCCACTGAAAGAGGCATTGGTAGCACAGAAAAAAATGGCATGCACATTAAAATAAAAATAAAGAGTAAATGTGACCCAAGGTAACAGAAACCTTGAGAAAGGACCATAAAAAACAAACAAAAACCTTCTGTGGTTTAGGTGGCAAAGAAAGTATTTAGTTGCCAAATATTCAGTTTCAGGAGCTATGCTTGTTATTGAATAACTTTCTAGGTCAGTCACATGGAACTGCTCGGTTGTTCAGATAGACAAACATTCTGGGAAGGGACGGTAGTCATGGTAAGTAGTCACAAGTTGAAAGCCATCTGAGGCAGGCATAGGCATTGGGAACGTTTCTGACAAGGACAAGGAGACAGAATGGTTTGAGTGTTGTCAAGAGAGGATAAATGCAAATGGAATTGTTAGAGACTTAAAAAACCCAGATTTAAGTTACATTCAGCATCAGCTCTTATCTCAGTAGGGAATGAACAAGGCTTCTAGCCAAGGAGGTTTTAAAAGCACAGGAAAATTGAAGAAATATGTTGCAGAACAAAAGAACAAGCCTTGTGACTGGTGAATACTGGCTGGAAGTGACAGAAGCTGGAGGGACTGAATGATGTTGAGTTTTCCATCTGGGTAGTATTAAAATGACGTTAATGAAAAGAGAAGCAGGAAAGGCAAGACATGGACTCTTATAAGGAATCATAATGACATAAATCAAAGAAAAATAGAAAGTAAAGTGAAATGTAATGCTAAGCAACACATCGTTATTAAATCATTTTAAGTTTAAGAAATTGATTAATTGATGCAAGTGATTCAAATATAAGAAATATTTCTAGAACTGTTTCTATTATTACTATTTTCTTAAATGACAGAATTGAGTTTTAAAGATACTCTAAACATGACATTATGAGAATATACTCATATAATAATATATACCTCATAGTTCTCTACCAGTCCTAACATTTTTAAAAGTTTAATCATAAGTATTAATACTTTTTTATTTTTATTTTTATTTTTTATTTTGTAGATGGAATCTCACTCTGTCACCCAGACTGGAGTGCAGTGGCGCAATCTCGGTTTACTAAAACCTCCGCCTCCCAGGTTCGAGTGATTTTCCTGCTTCAGCCTCCCAAGTAGCTGGGATTCCAGGCACCCAACACCATGCTCGGCTAATTTTTGTATTTTTAGTAGAGACAAGGTTTCACCATGTTGGCCAGGCTGGTCTCAAACTCTTGACCTCAGGTAATCCGTCCCCCGCAGCCTCCCAATGTGCTGACATACAGGCGTGAGCCACCGCGCCCGGGCAATATTTTATTAATACTTTGGTATTTTTTCCTTGTATTGTACTTCCAAGTGATGAAACTTACTTTGAAGTTTTCCCAGAAAGGTTTTCTTTCTCTCTGATGACATTAGAATTATTGAAAGATTGAATCTTGACTGTAAAATTAACAGATTGTTAAAAGGCATCTAAATCTTTTCAGATAGAATTAATAATTCATGTTCATTTCCATTCTTTGGTTGTGGAAGTGATTCTGGTTGTTAACAGTTCATTCAAGGAAGAAATAAGAGAAACAAAAGTTACTATAAAATTTTTGCAGCTATGCGAAAGTAAGTTCCTGATTACCTCGACCAATTCTCCACTCCCACCATAATAGCTCACTTGGGCTGATAAAGAAAATAATGTCATTGTTCTTTGTTTGCTTAAATTGCAAAAAGCCGGATTTAATTTTATTGTTTCTCATTATGAAATTATGAGCTTCTCCAAAATGCAGAATATACACACACAATATGTCAACAATAATCTTAAAAAATCTAAGAAAAAATGACCAAATTATTTTTGTCATTTCTATATAAAATATTCACATTTGCTAAATATTATATCTAAATCTTTCAAGGCTAAGCAAAAGTTTCGTGATAAGACTTGTATATTAATTAAAGTAATAGCATTATTGAATTTCACTTACAAAATATTGCCTGTAAAGCAAGATAAATATAAAAGAGATAACTATGAGAAAAATAATTATTATCAAAATGTACCTGCACATTACCATTGTTGGCAGAAGAAAATAATGTTGAGTGAAGTTTTTTCTTTTAGTAATATATAATTAAAATATAAATGTACATAAAATGTATGTGCTCATTAATATGACAGTATATGCTAATCCAAGTTCAAGGGGAAAAACTGATCTGGCCATTTGAGATATGAGTAAGAGAACAGAAAAACATTGCAATTCAACACAAGCGTCATATTGTCCCAATGTAAAATATAGACCTTTTGTATTTAATAATACATTTCTTTTCAGTCTGGGCTCATTTTTTCCTCCTTGATATGTATGAAAAAAATACAGTATTTAATGTTTCTATAATAACTACTATTTTATTGAATTATAAATCAAATAGGCATTTGTAAAATCACCTGCTCACTCAGTTTGATTTTGAAAATGATTGTTTATAAAATAAATATTATATTTATTTTATATATATATGTATATCTGATGAGAGAGATATATATTGCAATACAATAATAGGAGGGGATTCAATACCCTGCTTTCAATATTGGACAAATCATCCGTACAAATTAATAAGGAAGCATTAAATTTGAACACTTTAAACCACATTAACCTAACAGACATATACAGGACATTCCATTCAACAGCAACAGAATACAGCAACATCAAGTGCACATGAAACATTCTCCAGGCCAGGTCACATGTTGGGACACAGAACAAATCTTCACAAATTTAATAGCATTGGAAACATATCAATATATTTTCTGACTGTAATGGTATGAAACTAGATATCAATAATGGGAAATTTTGATAAATTCACAAATACATAAAATTGAACAACATGCTCCTGAAAAACCAATGGACCAGTGTAGAAATTAAAAGGGAAATTTAAAAACATCTCAAGAAAAACAAAAATAGAAACAAAACATACAAACACTTATGTGATATAGCACAAAGCAATTTTAAGATAAAAGTTTATAGCAATAAACACCTACATCAAAAAATAAGAAAAATTTTAAATAAATAATGTTACTCCTCAAAAAACTAGAGAAAGAACAAACTAAGTACGAAGTTAGCAGAAGGCAGAACATAATAGAACATAGAGCACAACAGATAAAATAGAGAAGAACAGAAAAACAATAGAGAAAATCAATGGAACCAAATTTGGTCAGTTGAAATGGTCAACAAAATTGGCAGCCGTTTAGCTAAACTAAAGAAGAAAAATTGATAAGAATCAAATAAATAAAATTGGAAATGAAAAAGGAGGCATTACAATTGATTTTATAGAAATATAAAGGATCATAAAATACTATTATGCCAACAAATTGGATAACCTAGAAGAAATGGATAAATTTTTAGACACATACTACCCAACAAGACTTAATCATAAAAAAATAGAAAATCTTAACAGGACAAAAAATAGTAAGAAGAATTAATCAGTAACAGAAAGTCTCCCATGAAAAAAAAAAATTTAAATAAAAGAGAATCTGATGGCTTGATGGTTTCACTGCTGAATTCTACCAAACATTGAAAGAATTACTAATACCAATGCATCTCAAAATCTTCCAAAAAAAATGAAGAAGGAATACTTCCAAACTCATTTTACAAATCTAGCATTTCCCTGATAGAAAAGCCAGACAAGGACATTACAAGAAAAAAAAAATACAGGCCAACAACCTTGGTGAGCATAGGTGCACAAATCCTCAACAAAACACTAGCAAACCAAATTCAATGATACATTAAAAGTATCATCTACCATGATCAAGTGAGATTTTTCCCTGAGATGCAAGGATGATTCACCATGTGCAAATCAATAAATCTGATATATCACATTGCCAGAATGAAAGACAAAAATTATATGATTATTTCATTAGATGCAGAAAGGCACTTAAAAAATTGAACATCCTTTCATCGTAATAATTTTTAAAAAACCTCTTTACCTACACATAATAAAGACCATATATGAGAAGGCCACAGTTAACAGTATATTCAATGGTAAAAATTTGAAAGCCTTTCCTCAAAGATCTGGAAAAATACAGGAATGCCATCTCTTGACAGTTTTATTCAACATGGTATTGGACATTCTTGCCAGACCAATTAATAAAAATTTAGAAAATAAAAGACATTTAAATGGGAAAACAAGAACCATCACTTTTTTTTTTTTTTTTTTTTTTTTTTTGAGACAGGGTCTCACCGTGTCATCTAGGCTGGAGTGCAGTTGCACCATCAGGACTCACTGCAACTGCAACCTCCCAGGCTCAGGTTATCCTCCTGCCTCAGCTTCCCTAGTAGCTGAGACTAAAGGTGTGCTCCATGATGCCCAGATAATTTTTGTATTTTTTGGTAGACAGGGTTTTGCCATGTTGCCTAGGCTGGTCTCATGTTCCTGGGCTCAAGCCATATATCTGCCTCCAGCCTCCCAAAGTGCTGTAATTACAGGTGTGAGCCACTGCATCTGGCCAAAACGTCACTTCTTACATACAGAAAACCCTAAAGACCCCACATAAAAACTATTAAAACTAGTACATAATTTACCTCACTATAGAGGTAAGTTGAAAAATACAAAAATACTCACCAAAATCAGTAGTTTCTATACACTAACAAGAAACTGTCCGCAAATGAAATCAAGAGAACAATTCCATTTACAGTAGCTACAAAAAGTGAAATACTTAGGAATAAACTTAACTTGGGAAGTAAAATAATTCTACAGTAAAAACTGTAAAAAACTGGTGAAAGAAACTGAAGACACTAATACATGAAAAGATACCCCATGTTTATGGACTGGAAGATGTAATATTCTAATGTTCATACTACACAAAGTCCTCTTCAGATTCAGTGAAAGTTCTATCAAAATTGCAATGTGATTTTTCATCGAAATAAAAAGATTCTAAATGTATATGAAACCACAATGAAACCCAAATAACCGAGGCAATTATGTACAACCAATAACAAAGCTAAGAAATCACACGATCTAATTTTAAACTATAGTAATTATATCAGCATAGTAGTGGCAGAAAAATAAATAACTGAAGACACATAAACTATGGAACAGAATAGAAAACCTGGAAATGAATAAAGAACACATGTATAGTCCATTAATTTTTGACAAAAATCCAAGAATACACAGTACAAAAAGGATAATCTCTTCAATAAATGGTGTTGGGAAAACTGGATACCCACATGCAGAAGAATAAAACTGGACCCTTATCTCACACCACACACAAAAATCAACTCACAATGGATTAAAGACTTAAACATAAGTTCAGAAACTGTAGAACCACTAGAAGAAAACATAACGAAAAAAACTACATGACATTAGTTTGGGCAATATTTTGGGGGGTTTGACCCCAAAAGTATAGGAAATCAAGTCAAGAATCAACAAATGATTACATTGAACTGAAAAGCTTCTGCATGGCAAATAAAACAATTAATAGTGTGAAAAAGACAAATTAGGAATTGGGAGAAAATATTTGCAAGCCATACATCTGGCAACAAGTTAATCCCCAAAATATACAAGGAACTAAAACAATTCAACAGTAAGGAAATAATAAAAAGCATCTCTAAAAAGAAGACATATAGTCAACAGACATGGCAAAATGCCCAACATTGCTAATCATTAGGAAAATGCAAATTAAAATCACAATGACATACCATCTCTTACCTGCAGAATGGCTACTATAAAAAAGATGAAAAATATGTTCTGGCAAGGATGTGGAGAAAAGACAACTCTTTTACACTGTTGGTGGGAATTTAAATTAGTTTAGTCATTAGAAAATTGTATGGAGGTGCCTCAAACATCAAAGACAGTATTATGGATGCCCCCGATAAACCCATCATAAGTTAAAGATATTGTAAGTTAAACATGCATTTAACACACCTAACCTACTTAGCAGCATGGCTCATTCTAGCCTACATTAAATATTCTCAGAACAATTACATTAGCCTACAATTGGACAAAACCATCTAACAGAAAGCCTATTTTATAATAAAGTGTTGAATACCTCCCATAACTTACTGAATACTTGGCTGAAAGTGAAAAACAGAATGGTTGCATAGGGACTACTATGACAGTAAATTTCAAATGTTCTCATCACAAAAAAGATAAGTATTTGAGGTGATGAATATGCTAATTAGCTCAATTTAATTATTCCAGGTTATATTCATAAATCATAATATCACTTTCTACCCCATAAGTATATACAATTATAAATTGCCCATTTATAATAAAAAATGATAAAACAAAATAAAATGGTTGTTTTACATCCTCATACTATACTATTATATTTTATGGAGTACTTTTCTTTTAATTTTTTTTATAGATAAGGTCTCAATCTTACCCAACCTGGAGTGCCAGTAGCATATCATTGGTCACTGCAATACCAAACTTCTGGGCTCAAGTGATTCTCCTGCCTCAGCCTTCCAAGAATCTTTGACTATATGCATGAACCACCATGTCCAGCTAATTTTTTAAGCATTTGTACAGAGATGAGGTCTCACTACATTGCTCAGGCTTGTCTCAAGCTCCTGGCCTCAAGCAATGCTCCTCCCTTGGCCTCCTAAAGGGTTGGGATTACAGGCATGAGCTACCACACCCAGCCTTTTAAAAATATATTTTATATTTTTTCATACATAGCCACAACTAGAGAGAATAGTATTTATTCCCCTTTGCATTTATTTCTAAGTTGCAAAAATTAATGCAATTTAACCAATTCTGTTTTTGTCTATTTTATGCTGGAGAATTTTTAGGCAAATTCAAGAAAACTATTTTATACTTAAATAATTCAGTACGTATCTCTAACAATTAAGATATTTTTTCTTTTTAGTATAGCCAGAATTTCATTATTATCTATTCAAATTTAAAAAATAATTTCTCAATATAATCTAATGTCTAGTCTATGTTCAAAGTGCTCCCCTAGCGAAACAATTTAAAAATAAAATAGAAAATGTAAATTGCGCTAAGGATTTGCATGAGCCATTTGTTGAAACCATAACAGTATTCACTCAAAGAGCTCATGAATGAAGTGGCCACACTGGTAGATATGGATATGATGTATAAGCTCAACAACATGGGTTCCTCTTCACACACAAAAAAAGCCAGATCTGGCCTGTATTCCTGCATACTGCTTAATTTTCCAACAGAAGAAACAAATACTGAATCCATGATAACATCATGCTCTGGCATAGAGCAACCAAGTATATTTGTTAGCATGATAAATAACTAAATCTTTTTATTTACTGGAGCAGTCATTTCTTCTTGATGGATCTCTTGTTAAGCATTCACATAACTTAGAAATAGTGCCAAAGTCTGGGTGCATTCTGAGAGGGCCTTGTACACACCTCCATTTAAGGGCTCCTTGTGACCAATCTTTCAATCTTGTTTCTTCCAAGTTCCTCGACATCCTGCAATCTGATGTTTGTTGGTGACTGAGTATAAAAAAGCTAGAAATATATCTATGTTCATATATCTTTCCAAGCATGGTAAACAACTTTATAGGCATTCAGTTCTGCCTGCCAGGATAATTTTCCTCCCCTAATTGTCTTTAGTGCTTCTCCTAGATAATGATATTCTCTTCTACTTCTGACTAGTAGCAGAATTTTTTTGCATATCTATCCTTACATGAGACATGAATATCTTCTTTTTGGACAAACATCATATAAAGCACTTTCTGAGGCTATAAGAAGAAATTGGTATAATGCAAATATGAGCAGCAAATGCAATGTTCTTGTGCTGTTACTCTACTGTCAGGATCTCCTGTAACTTTATCATGCCACTTTTACATAGTGATAGAATTCTACAGGATACACACAGCTGTATGACTTGAAAGACAAGATATTATTTACATCATTTTTGGCTGGTGAGCTCAAGTTTTCACTCTGTGTACTATAGTCAGATCTTTCTTACTTTCTTATACGACTCAGCAAAGAACTGTTTTTTCAAAGTTTGAATAATTTTTTTTTTTTTTTTTTTTTTTTTTGGCCAAAGAGAATGTTACATTTCAGCAAAACACTCTATTCTGTTTCTTCTATGGGGGCATAGGACAGGCACTATTATGCTTATAACCCTTGCACTGATAGTATGATCTGAGACAGTATTTGCTGAGAACTGAATCTAAATTTCAGGTGATAGTTCAGCTTCTCCTGCAATTGAAAAAGCCAGAATTCTTCCATTCTGGAAACCACTTGAAGCAGGCAGCCAGACAGGTTCCTCAGTAGATGTAGAGGAGCAACATGATCAATATGGTAAATGTCAAATCAAAAATCTAAAAAGTCCCAGCAGGCTGGGCACAGTGGCTCATGCCTATAATCCCAGCACTTTGGGAGGCCAAGACGGCAGATCACCTGAGGTTGGGAGTTCAAGACCAGCCTGACCAATATGGAGAAACCCCGTCTCTACTAAAAATAAAAAAATTAGCTGGGCGTGATGATGCATGTCTCTAATCCCAGCTACTTGGTAGGCTGAGGCAGGAGAATTGCTTGAACCTGGGAGGCGGAGGTTGCGGTGAGCCAAGATCGCGTCATTGCACTCCAGCATAGGGAACAAGAGTGAAATTCTATCTCAGAAAAAAAAAAATGATGTAACTATTTCTTAGTAGCAGCCATCATAACTGGCAGAAATTCATCTTTAACTTTTAACAGAATGGGTTGACTTTGTACCTCCACAAAATTCAATGAGATAACGAAACTCTGAATATTTCTAATGTTTATTTTCTACTTTCTGGCACGTATATTTCTTACCAATGTATGGAGAATACCTCCTTCTTCCTTGATCACTGAAGCTTCTAAGCAAGTTGTCATCAATACTGTGGAACATGATGATTGTGAGATGGTCTAATTTAATAAGAAGTAAATTATCAAAGAGTTATAAATTTGTACTTAACCTGAGACACCATGGTAATCATGTATATCTATTGCCTATTAAAATAAATATAATATACTTGCATCTTATGATTAATTGCTGCCTTTGGCCTATGCCATGTTTGAATGCTATCTGTGGCAATTTGTTACGCTAATAGTTCTCAATGAATCCCATCTCCTATATCCATGTTCTTGTGTTCCCTTCCATGTTGACTCTGGGCTTGGTCATGAGATTTTTCTTGGCCACTGGGATATTAGCATGTATGACAAGCAAATAATTGAAAATCCTTGTATTTACGGTTTAAGTGCTTGCTCTCTTGTTTCTGAAAATTCTTCCGTTATTATGTGAAAAATAGGCTCCTGGAAGATGACGGCATCTGATGAAGTGCTCTGGTGCTTCCAACTATATCATCATTCTGTTAGAAAACCAAACACATGAAGAGCCCAATCAACACCCTGGGAGAACGAGGCATCTCATGTGAACCCCCATCAAAGTGCGAAGCCTCAGAATTATAATTAAGTAAGTGTTGGTTTTAGATCTCTGTGTTTGGAAATAGTTTTCAAGGCAGAAACATATAATCACTACAGAAATTAATGGCGAGATAAAATCTGTTATTGCTATTATTATTTTAGACAAACTATTGTCTATTAGGTCAACTAAAAGTAAGAAAACTGAAAGTTTGGCTGGTTGCGGTGGCTCACACCTGTAATCCCAGCACTTAGAAGCCAAAGTGGGCAGATCACCTGAGGTCAGGAGTTCAAGACCAGTCTGGCCAACATGGTGAAACCCTGTCTCTACTGCTTGTGCATATATATATACACTGATGTAGATTTATGTGTAAGAAAAATTAATGACAGCAATGACACAAGGGACAGGAGGGAGGAATTAGGATTTTTTGTTATTATAGGAGACTCACACTAACTGTGAAACAGTATAATGTTGTTTGGAAGTGGACTTAGATTAGTTGAGTAAGAAAATGAAATCATACAAAATGCTCAATTAAAACTACAAAAGGCAGAAAAAGTGAAAGACAAAAATAGTAACAAAAAACAAGAGCAACAGATAGAAAACAGTAACAAATATGGTTGATATTAATCCAACTGTATCTGTAACCACTTTAAATATCAATGGTCTAAACACACCAATTAAAAGACAAAGATCATCAGAACAGATAAAAAAAAGAAATTAATGGCGAGAATTGGGAACTATAACAAAAATCTAAGACATACGGCATAGTCTGTGGAATTGGGAAGACGATGGACACTGAGAAAAAACAAGAAATAGTTGGTGAAGATAAGAAAAATAAACAATGGATAATGGTTCTTGCGAAACCTATGAGTAAACTGCTGTTAGACACTGGAAAAATGGTGTCTCATATAGTTTAAAAGCAATTATCAAAACATCATTTGCAGTAACTGGGAAGCTGTAAAACATACCTAATGAACACGTGGACCTTGCCTTTTAGGGATAATATTAAAAGGCTCAATCAACTTCTTTTAGTCATGTATGAAAAGATACGAGCAAATACATTAGCTATTCAAAGGGAAAGGATTGGAAGGCACACATCGGTTTCTGGTCCATAGCAATTCTGAAGTCCAACAAGGAGCATGTTGTCAGGTTCTTCTCAAGGGACAGGGATGTTACTTTCTGATTTCTGTGAGTTCCTTCCTAATTCGATTTTTCTCTGTGGCCTTTAGGCAAACACATACAATTAATACAGAAATTAGTGTTTACAACTGGGGATTATAATTAAGGAAATAATTAGAGAAAAAGTAGAGGAGTTAGGAGTTGCTAGCATCTCTAGTACTTTTAGCAAGGAAAAAATTCTCAAAAATTAATAAATAAATAATAACCTCATGGCAAATCAATTGTGTGACCATAAAATCTCTTTATTAAAGACCTCAGAATGATTTTGGGAAGTCTCTGAGACCCTACTAGTTGTACAAAAGGGTCTCTAAACACACTCAAATTAGAGATATTTGTTTCAAAATGAATTAAGAATATGATATTTGGGTCATAAATTGAACTACCATAAGAACTACAGGAAACTAAAAATTTTAAACAGAGTTGTACTGCCAAGAACTTCCAGCATAGACTGAAAAAAGCAGCAATTGTTCAAAATGAAGTGGTCTCTGAAGTCTCAAAAGGAAGAATTTCATTGGGCAGGATGTAGTCTGAGAAAGTGGCTCATTTGCAAATATATGTAATTTCTGAACAGAAAAGAAATGGAATCTCAGAGGGAAGCCCAATAAGTCCAAAAAGTTGAGGCAAGGGCCACAAAGGAAAAACTACTTAGGGAAGCACTTCCAGCAATCAGAAAGAAACATCCCCTGCCCCTTTAGTAGAAGAACCTGACAACATGCTTCTGGTTAGATTTCAGAATTGCTATGGACCAGAAATGAATATGTGCCTTCCAAACTTCCCTGTTGGAATAGGATTATTTACTGATTTTAACTAGCTCCTGTCTCATCACAGCATATAGCGTACGTGTTGAATAATTAATTTATTTTTTTCTTCATAGTTCTTCAAACATTTCTTAAAAACATTAAAATTGCTGATATCTAATATAAAATAATGAAATAAAGGTAATTCAGATTGTAATAGCATCACTTAATTCATTTTCTTAATGGAAAACTCTGAATTGCTTCCAAGTTATACTATAAAGTTAAAAGAATTCAATGTTTTTTATCATCCTCCTTAGACACATATCACACATTGGTAACTTAGTTTCTAATTCTGGCAAAGTTGAACTGTTTTGAAGTTCAGGAATGATTCTGTGTTATCTGGAGGATTTTTTCCAAAAGGTTATTTTATTTTGCAAGTTGAAAAACATTTTGTTCTTAATTTGAGAAGCTCATGTATTTCAATGTCTCTCCTCATTACTGCTGCCTTTTTGGTAATCAGGTCAATAAGCACAAGTATTCCATTCTCCTATTCCCCAGTAACTTTCCTTTTATGTCATGTTAATTAAATAGTTTCAGAGAAATATAAGAATATTCCTTTACAGTTATTTCTTGGGTAGAATTTGAATCTTGGGGTGCTGTTTCTTAAGCTTTTTTTTTTTTAACTAGTATTAGTCTCTTTCCTAATACTAACAATGTAAAATTTACCTCCTTCAGTTGTTTATTACAACTTTTAAGACACGTGGGTGCATTTGTTAACTTAGTGAATAAGCAGTTAATATTTGTCCATTTCATTGTGTATAAACCTTATATCAAAAGAAAAACTATAAACAAATACTAAACTATGTGATGGTATGCGTACTGAAGTATTTAGGAGGAAATCTATTGATGTCTGAAATTTGAAATGTAACAAAAAATAAGGAGTAATGAATGGCTAGGGTGATGGGTAATGGATACATAATAAGAATAAGTGGATACATAATAAGAAAGCATGGTAAAATCTGGCTGGTGAGTATATGGAGTTTTTATTGCATAAATCTTTTCAACTTTTCTCCATGTATAAAAATTTTCACAATAAAATATTGAGGATAAAAGCTCCAAGACAGATTAATTATCCTCCAGAACATATAGAAATGATTACTCTTTTACAGCAGTTTTCTGGTAAGTCTCCTTTTTTTGTTGAAATCTAATACTAACATATACTGTGACTAGTGTCTTGGAAACTCATAAACAACTTAAGTTGCTTCCTAAAATACTTTATTATTTTTCCTGTTTGTGTTTCTTTGGTGTGGCTTGATTTTTGAGTTGTGGTTTGTTCAATAAACTGCAGAACTTTATAATCAGCAGAAGCATTACAATTACATGACTCATTTTGTATTTTCCTGTAGTAACTAGGACTTGGATGATTTTATTTTATGAGGGACTGGAAGTCTCAGGAAATAGGAAGCAATGTGATCAAGATATCTAGTGTGGAGTATCAGAAGACCCTAGACAGAGGCAGAGACAGAGAAGGCAAAGCCCTGGAAACCCCTCTTTGTAGATTGGTAACAGCCATGTCACATCTGTCTTTCCAGCCAAGTGCCACTAAACAGCCTTCATTTCTCCCTCTTGCTTACCAGATGAGAATGTTGGTAAGCAAGTTATGTCCTTGTCATAACTAAGCTCTGATAAGGTTCAGAGTTCATATGGTTAATTAAGACAAGAACAGTACTCAAGTGCATGGATTTCCTTTACAATCTTTACATTATGCTGGTCACATGGATTTGTTAAGCTCCAAATTTATTTAACCTATACCCCTAAAATAAGCTTATGGAAGCTCATTGGTTTGATCAAGATACACATAAATTAAGTAAAGTACTTACTAATGCATGTGTAACATCCACATAGATGTCTAGCTATTGCAAATGCTCAATAAACATTTGTCAAGAAAAAGAAATGAGGACATGTACATTTTAATTGGCTTAATCATCAGTCTTGCCTAGTTGTTAGTATGATGTCAATACCATGTCTCTAGCCTTATGCCGTACTTGCATTTTTGGTGCTTCCTTGTATTACCTTTTGTTTGTCATGAATCATATGGCCTGTCCTGTGTTGATTACTTACTCTAGATCTCAAAATATAATCTTCTGATCCAAGATAGTCTCAAGGAGGGTTCTCTCCTATTATGTGTTGATAAAATAGAAAATAAGAGTTTATTCTTTTCAGATAACAGATTCAATACATATGTCAAAACATTAAGAGAGGAAAGCACAAATAAGTTTTGTTCTGGGCTTTCCACTTTCTTTCCTTCTTAAATAGTTTTAAATCTTTAGTTTCTATAGTTTTATAATTTTCCCCATGCTTTGATATCTAATAAATTATATGAAGTTCTTGACCTAAGACATGGCTATCCAAACTTAAGGTATATGAAATTTATATACTTAATAAAACAACTTAAATCACCAAACCAAAACAAAAAGTCACCCAATACCAACATATAGTTATTTCTTTATTCCATTCCCACTCAGAGAATTACTGTATAATTGTAGAATGTACTTTGAAAGAAGTAACACATGTGATTCATATACAACTTCCTTAGAAGGTAATTTTTTATACTGTCTTAAAAATTACACTTTTAAGATAAAGATATTTAAATTAATTTTCAACATAAATGTTAAAACCATAAATTTGAGAGATAATACACCTATTAATTACAGAGAACATTCTTAAAGAATGCATTTTCTTTTTATAATTGCAACTCTTCTCACTTATTGTATAATGTAGTCAAACATTTGAAAAGTCTGTAACAAGTTATAGATGAAGGCATAAAAAAAAGTATATTATTTCATAGTTTTAATCCCAAGCCAATTACATGTCCATCGGTTAAAACATTTATTGAAATTTCAAAACAATATTTTTAGTATATTCCATGAAATAAAGTGTCTAGTTCCCCAAAGGAATTTTTACTTTATAATATTACAAAACAATAATACTAGATACTTTTATGATTATTACAGAAGAATTGCAAACTGCATACTTTCAAATTTAAAAATACATATTTTGACTACTTTTACAGCCTTATTATGTTTGTTACAGTGAGATTTCTCAACAACCATCTTGTACAAAGATTTTCTCTTACATTATAGTTCTTTTCTTATTGTATTCTAATTAGAGACCCTTAAGTTTTAATATAAATGCTTGCGACTAAATACAAAATGGAGTTACAATATTTAGTGCTCCTGGGAATCCTCATAATATCTGCTCTACTATAGTTATCTCACTGTTTTGACGATCCCACACCACCAAAAATGTATGGTGAGATATCAGCATTTATAGTCATTATTTGTAATAACTGAGGAGATTCTGAATACTTTCTCAAATTTATCTTCACATTATAATTCTAAGTTTTATCTAAAGTATAAAATTATTATTTTTTAGCTTTTCTTTTATATTTTATATTCAATGTTTTATTACATACTTTAGATGGGATATATACATATGTATGTATCTTTTAGATATGTAATGTATCTATCCAATTAAAAGTTTGAGCCAGCAATTAGGGAACTTCATATTTAGTCTTCTCTTGTCATACAGTCTCAAACTATTTCCTTTTGTACTCTTAAAACTTTTAGTTATAGATGGCATCTTTATTATTTATTTCCTAAAGCATCAACATACAGTAATAAGAATTATCAGGTATAAGTGGTTGTTTGTTTTTTCTGGCAGTTGGTAAATAGTTGATAAATGCTTTTGGAACTGATTTATGGAGGGCCCCAAAAACCAGATAGTGACTTTTTTTGATGCTAGATCTTTCTGCAAAAATAAATGCACAAAAAGCTATTTCCAGAATGAAAAGAGTATCAAAATACAATTCCTCAAAAACACATTTTCTAAATTACTAATGTGACGAATTGTGGAGTCCTATTAAAAATGTTCAAGCTCTACTTGCCTCAGCATGGGCAAGGCAAGCCTAGGAGCAAGGGCAGAGGCAGGAGTACACAGAAACAGAGACAAACTGCAAACTCTATTTAAGAAAAACTTCGGGAGGCCGAGGCGGGTGGATCACGAGGTCAGGAGATCGAGACCATCCGGGCTAACACAGTGAAACCCTGTCTCTACTAAAAATACAAAAATAGCTGGGCGTGGTGGCACGTGCCTGTAGTCCCAGCTACTCGGGAGGCTGAGTCAGGAGAATGGCGTGAACCCGGGAGGTGGAGCTTGCAGTGAGCCGAGATCACGCCACTGTACTCCAGCCTAGGCAACAGAGCAAGACTCGATCTCAAAAAAAAAAAAAAAAAGGAAAACTTCACTTGTTTGTATATCAGATGGCTGGGGTAAATAGAATACTAAAGCTTTGTAAAACTCTGATAACTAGCTTTCAACTTCTATTTAAAAGCCTAGAAATTAAATAAAACTGGTTGATTTAATAAGATGTCCAGAGATAGGCAGGGTCTGGTGTTCCATCAGCAGCTCAACAATGGGGGAACTGACATCTTTGTGATTCTCTAGCCCTTCCTTCCCTTTGGTTAAAAGGACTACTCTAGCTTCAGACATCACTTCGGTGTTTATGGCAGACAGAGGAAGAAGAGATGACCTAGCTGCATATATAACTTTAATGAGGAAGCAAAAGTTTTCCCAGAAATCCTGAAGCCAAAGCTGTGTTCCCAAAGCCATTCATAGTTGCAACAGAGGGTGCAAAAGGAGCAGTTAGCTTTTCTAGATTCTTTAGTGGAGGCAGGGAAGGGAGAAGCAGAGTGGGAATGGCTGGCAAATTAGACCACCAACATTACCTTCATAGATAATTAATTCTCTTTCAAAATGCATAGTTCATATGTCGAGAAATGTCTAACATCAATTTTAGGGTTATAATTTGAAATTCAGTTCTGCTTTCAATCATGATATATTTGTAACAGGTGCATTTCAGTTATACTACTTTTCCTGCCTGCCCCTTCCCCCACATTCTAGAATGAAAATAAAATAAAATAAAATTACTCACTCTTTCAAGAAAGAGTGGGAAAACAAAATCAAAAGGTCAACAATGACAAGATATGTTCAACTACTTTTCTGCTCATTGTCCTTCCATATTAAAGAACATTTGGAAAACATCTGCACATTCTCTGGCATTTAAGAACTGATGCAGCTGACCAAAGCCATGTGGTTTCCTCCGGTTCCATTAACACAGAATACTTTTTCTGCAAAAATGGAAAATTTCCTTAGTGTCCATTTCATCATTTGAACCATAAAAAGGAATGTCTTCTTGATGGCGAATTAAGATTCTCTTCCAGATAAATTTTCGGAGTCTTGATCAGAATTCTTTACAGGAACTTTATGAGCCTTCTACACAAACAACGTCAGGTTTCCCAGACATGATACCCCACACAGAGAAAGCTCCTTTGCTCACCCCAAAATATACCTTCGTTTGCATTTGTTTTAGAAATGATGGCTGTAGATCCAGAGTCTCATGAAGATGAGATCGACTGACTTGATTGTACTACCGTTGTGGGAAAGGTGAATAATCTCTGTTGACATAGCCAGAGGCGTGTTCTCTAACCCACTCTGGCATTCAGTATAGAGACATCTCTGTGACAGTTTTTTTGCAGGCATGCAGTCAGATCTGTGTTCACCTGAGCCACTTAATAATAGCGATCTTCTCAAAAAGATTTTACTCTGTGAAATCAAAGACCTTTAGGTCAGTAGTGTCTTTGTGGTATTCTTTCTAATCTCTTGTGAAGGTTTATTGAACGGAACTACATGTAGACCTTCCTCCTTCATGCCTTCCTTTGGCTTTCTATTTAGTCCTGAGACATGGTCCTCTTACTGATGGACCCCAAGTCCCTTGGCTGCACAGAGAGCTCAATTTTTATTGGGAGGGAGCCTCAAAATTCTAGGATACTGTAACCCAAGACTTATAAACTGCTCCTGCAGGGTGGCCTAGGGAAAAAGCGTGATAGCACCCTCTTGGCTTGTGCACGTAAGTGCTTATATATCAACTGTCATTCTTCTTTTGGAATTCTGGAGTGACTCCCAGTTGCCTCCAAAAAATTCTTAATTCATGATTTTAATGCTTCTTCCTAGTCAGCTATGTTAGTCACCCTTACGGTTCAATATCCTTCAGTATTGGGTTTTAAGCAATAAATTATCTTTGTCCTTTATTGTAATCTAAACATCATCAGTAATATTTTTCCTAAGTGTAACATTTTGCTTCAAATCATTTCTTTGCCTTTTTTAAAAATGTTATATGCCATTTCCTACATGTAACCATTCCAGGTACATTCCTGGACAAAAAATTACTTGAAATATTTCTGCCCAATTATTTTTGTGGCCTAAATTGCATTATACTTAAATCTGCAGAGTAAATCATGTATGTTTGTTTTCATTTGTGTGTATTTTGTGTTTGTACGTAGTCTTACTTCTGGATTGCAAGGTTCTCAAGTTGAGAGACACACTATCTCATTCCACAGTAATTACTATGAGAATGAGGACTGAGGAAAATAAGTATTTATCAATCACTAATTTCCTCTTTTATCAAGAATGTTAACAACTTAATTTCTTACTCATACAACACTTTGCATTACACTAGGTTGAGTTTATTTACTTTTGAATCAATAATCAATAATGTAACCCACCAGAGACTGTTCAATCAGCTTTTTTTTCTTTTTTTTTTTTTTTTTTTGGATTTAGACCTTTACCATATAAAATTGCACCAAATTCTCTTTCCGTTTTCTTAGGACTCTGGCATCAATACAGGTAAACCTTTTTATACTACATGTTGAGTTTCCCTATCCTCCCATGGGTGGCAACGGAAAGCTCCCATGAGAATAAATGAAGATGTCTTCACAAGTTCTAGTACTATGTATTACGCTTAAGTTTTTAAGGAGATCTTGTTACAAACTCTAAATACAGGGAACTTATGATTTATTTCTAAAGCCATGACTTAACAAATTCATAAGACAACTCTCACTGGGCTGTATTATATCTACCCAAAGTGAAATGAGAATTATGGGAATGGTTTCCAAAAATATGATGAAAAAAAGAAGAGCTAGGTCATCTTCTAGGTCATGACATTTTCTATTTAAATTCCTCTTCAAATATTGTCTAATGAAAAGATACATAAATTAAAACGTCTCTTTTCCAGGGACACATAAACTACTAATATTGCGTGAGATCCTTTTTTCCTGATGAATGTTTTTATTACTAAGCTCAGCTTAACGGTTTTAGAGAGCTACAAATATTACATGAGTTATATGGCAGCCTGAAACTATGCTAAATTAAATTGTTTACTCGTACTTA
Source organism: Homo sapiens (assembly GCF_000001405.40). Taxonomy (NCBI): domain Eukaryota; kingdom Metazoa; phylum Chordata; class Mammalia; order Primates; family Hominidae; genus Homo; species Homo sapiens. The sequence goes on along the minus strand of NC_000004.12, from coordinate 171,112,359 downwards.
GAAAAGAAAGAATCTGAGCACTTCAGAAAATTTTCAAGATTAAAATAAAACTGGCATGAATTAGAAATATGCAAAAAATCAGCTAAATGTATTGATCACATATAGAAATATGGTGTTACCTAATTCCTAAGTGACAATGGTGGCAAATACCTGACTGCTGTGAGATACTAATGTTTTTGTAAGGTACTCTTTGATGTTTGAATCATATCTAAGATTAATATGCAGTCTGGTTCAAAGTACCCAGTTTTTGTATTGCCACAACCTCTGTATACCTTATATGAGAAGAAGAGATGTAAAGGAATCATTAAAGAGCTGTTGGCAACACAGAAACTAAATTTTATCAGATTTTTTCCTCTTCAAAAGTAAATGTTTAAATAATAAACTTTAATGCCTTTCACTACAAACAACACTTGCCTAGTATTTGTATATTTAGAAATATAAAATGAATGAAATCTGAATTCAAAGTTACAATTTAATCCAATTTCCGTCTCTCACTTTGTGTTATTTGGAACACCAGGGTAGAGATTTAGGTGTGAAAAAGGAGTCCCCTTGGTCTTTCATAGTCCACACCTCTTCTCTCCCTTCTGTCTTTGAAGCCCTGTGAGCTAAGAGATTGAGGTGTTTGAAAAACTGAGACTCTTCCCATATCCAGCCTAATGACCTCAGTGGGTTGCAATATTCCGTTTCACTGAATGTAGTAGGGTTTTATTTGTTCATACCAGGGACCTTTTCTGATTGTTCTACCTTTATCTTACTTTCTAGCCACTCTCTCATCCTTCTCTTACTCAGGGTCAGTAAATGCTAGGTAGATCAGTAGTAGAAAGAGGATAGCTTTTTCATGTAGTTTTAAATTTTTAACCTGAATGGTTGGTACTAGCTAGGATGGTCATGGAGCTACACATGAAAGCTCTTGTCTATCAGCTCACTGTTCTGGTGTTTGTAATATCATCCTCTAACCTTTCTCTCAGTTTCCCTTTGGTGATACTCAGACTCTGCACTTAGTGTCTGCAGGCACATCTGAAAATTTCACATGCAGACCACCTCCAATTATGGAACTCAATTTTCTTTTGTTAGAGACTCTCCTTGGGTGGTCCTAATCATGAAGTCCGCCTCCTTAGGGCTTTTTCCTTTGTTTTTCTCTCTTTAACAACACTTTTACAAGGGTCATGATGGCAACAGTCTGCAAAATTTCTTTCAGATTTCCCTGCTCTGTTGTGCTAATTTGACACTTTCTCCCCTTTTATAATAGACTACTGTGGTCCTCTTTTTCAATTAGAATTTTCTGATTAGTTCTTCATGATTTAAAGCATCTTTATCTCTTCAAGGAATCAGATTCATTTAACCTAGAGTAACCTCAATTTTGTACACAACATAAGTAATGCATTCCTTACTTCTACCTTTTAATACAGTCATGCTTAGATGATGTTTTTCCGGTAACCTTAGGGAAAGTTTAAAGAAGGATTTAGGTAAAACATTGTAAGAGCAGAAAGCTAATTGGAATCTCAATAAAAAAATTAATTGCCATGTCCTACAACAATAAAGAGATCAAGTAAATCTCCAGTGTATTTTGCCAGCAATATATTTGCATTAGAAAAGATCAATAGAAGGTAATATAGCAAATTAATTTAGAGAGGTGAAATTTATTAAACCTTGTATTACCATTAGGGGTAGTGCTACTGATAGAACTAAAATTAGTGTTTCGTTTTTTTTTCATAAAATTAATCTTATTTCTGCTTTGTACTGCATGGTGGAATAGAGTTCCCTGTAATAGTATTAGGTATGCATTAAGGTATAAAAATACTTTATCTGAAACTTTTATGGAACCAGAAGGAGTTCACAGCGTGACTGTTGAAGCTACGTGTGTGTGTTTCTTATTTTCTTATTTCAACACGTTAATTTTACAGACATGTATGATGTATTTTCAACCAGAGACCTGTCACACATTTCTTTCTCTTCCGTCTATTGTTGGGCACAAATATTTGAAAGAATTCACACTCTATTTGAAATAAACTAGGTTGTTTCTTTGTTTGCCAAATAAACTAGGTTGTTTCTTTGTTCATTCCACAGTAAAAGGAGAAAATGAATTGCATACATGCTGCTTAACAGCTTTCTTCATATTCCTTTTCTGGACTCGATCAATATCTTCTCATGACATGTTTTTCCTTAATCAGTTTTTAATATTTTCTCTAATAATTTATACCAAAATAACCTCACAGGTCTTTTGATAATTGTTCACCAGAATAATTACTTTTTTAAAAAAATAAATAACTCTTAATGCTTTGAAATTTTTATATGTGATGATGGGGACATTTAATTGAGTGTGTATATTTTTTAAGGCCAAATTCAAGTATTTTTCTGAAAAAAAAAAAAAAAAAAACAGTTTCCATAGGCATTATATAATTTGAGGGTTTAAATCAAACTCCCTGAATGTTTTCTCATCCTGGGCATCATAGTCTACATGAGCAGTCAGGAAATATCTATGAAGTGTCAGTGTACTAGTTTTCTTGTTGCTGCTGTAGCAAATTTCCACAAATTCAGTGGCTAAAACTAGCACAAGTTTACTCCCCTGCAGTCTTGATAAAGAAAATATCTAAACTGAGTTGAACAGGGCTAAAATCAATATATCATCAGGGCTGCTTCCTTCTGGAGACCCTGAAGGGAGAATCTATTTTTTTGCTTTTTTTTAGCTTCTAGAAGACACTTGCATTTCTTGACTAATGATAACTGCAACCTCTTGCTTCCATCATCATATCTGCTATGGTCTCTTGTGTCCTGCTTCCCTCTTATAGGGACCCTTGTGATTACCTAACACCCACCAGGATCATATGTACTAGAGACTATGGCCTGAAAAGTTTAAACATAATTTAATGGCGCCTTTTTCTCCCTGGAGTGTCTTTGTACCTTTTCCCATCTCATAACCAGGTAAAGTGAGAGAAGAATTAAGGAATCGCAGATACACATTTTTCTCATGCTTCTCTTTTTCTCTTAGCAGTCCTTTTTTTTTTTTTTTTTTTTTTTTTTTGTAATTACTCTGGAAGCAAGAAAGATGACAAAGCACTTACTATATTCCTGAAATTGTGATTAAAGTTTTCAATATAGATTTTGCTTTTGTTTAGTTGAATATCATGTTAAAATCCTTATGCCAAACCAAATAGGTAGCCAAACCCATTTGTACTCTTGAAAGTAGTTTTATAAAAGTCAATATATGTGATCAATTCTCAATATATTTTAGAACTTTTAAGGCACCATGTTTGTAAATCATATTTTAAAAAAATCAGTGGTGGAAAACTTTTGGCTTTGAGGTTTGACTTGATTTTTCAAAACAACCAGAATATTGTTGAATCATGCCGGATTAATCTAATTTTAGTTAATTAAATTTAGTTTTAGGATAGTTAAAATAAATCAAGAGATTAACACTATGAGGCAAATATTCTCATACTCATAAATTTGCTTTGAGATTCAATCCATAAAATGAGTTCAAAAAGATTTTAGATACAAATAAGATACCTGAAGCATAATATTATTTTTAAAATTTTTATTTTGGTTAAAAGCCTATAACAAAATTTATCATCTTAACTATTTTTCAGTGTGTAATTTATTCTGCTTATCCATTCTTCCTTTGATGGACACTTGGATTGCTTCCTTGTTTCAGCTATTGTTAATAGCACTGCAATAAACACAGGTGTACAAATATCTTTTTCAGACCCTGTTATCAATTGCTTTGGGTTTATACCTGGACGTGGAATTGCTGGATCATGTAGTAATTCTATTTTTAATTTTTTGAGGAATTGCCATACAATTCCTCAAAATTCTGTGGCCATACAATTTTACATTCCCACCAACAGTACAAAAGGGTTTCAATATCTCCACGTTCTTGCCAATATGTTATATTTTCTGTTTTGTTTTTTATTTTTAGTTTTATCATAGCAATTCTAATAGGTGTGAAGTGCTATCACAGTGTAGTTTTGATTTGGATTTCCTTAGTAACTTGGTGATGTTCAACATCTTTTCATGCACTTATTGATCACCTGTATATCTTTGGAGAAATGTCAGTTCAAGTCCCTTTCCAATTTTATAATTGATTATTTTTTATTCCAGCATTTTAGGAGTTCTGTTTGTATTCTGAATACTAATATTTATTAGATACATGATTTTAAATTATTTTCTCTTGTTCTGTGGGTTTTCTTTTTATTCTTTTGATAGTGTCTTTTTTTTTTTTTTTTTTTTGAGATGGAGCCTCACTCTATAGCCCAGGTTGGAGTGCAGTGGTGCCATCATGGCTTACTGCAAACTTCAGTGCCCAGGTCCCGATTCAAGCAATTCTTCTGCCTCAGCCTCCTGAGTAGCTGGAATTACAGGCATGAGCCACCATACCCAGCTAACTTTTATAATTATAGTAGAGATGGGGTTTCACCATTTTGGCCAGGCTTGTCTTGAACTCCTGACCTCGTGATCTGCCCCCCTCAGCCTCCCAAAGTGCTGGGATTACAGGTGTGAGCCACAGAGCCAGGCCAATAGTGTCCTTTGATATAATCTTTAAAATAATCATACCATCCAATTTGTCTAGTTTTTCTTTTGTTGCCTTTGTCTTTGTTGTTATAGCCAAGAAATCAACACCAAATTCAGTGTCATGTTGATTTTGTCCTATGTATTTTTCCTGAGTTTTATATTTTAGGTGTTACATTTAAGCATTTGATTTATTTTGAGTTAATTTTTGAATGTGGTGCTGAATGATGGTCTAACATCATTCTTTTGCCTGTGAATATTTATCCCATCACCAATGGTAAAAAAACCTGTCATTTCCACATTGAATGGGCTGGACAACCTTGTTAAAAGTCATTTGACCAAATACACAAGGGCGTATTTGTGAGCTTTCTTTTTTATTTCATTGTTCTATATGTCTGTCTTTATGCGAGTACCACAGTGTTTTGATTACTATACCTTTGTGATAAGTTTTTAAATCAGGAAGTGTCAGTCCTCCAGGTTTGCCTTTCATTTTCAAGATTGTTGTGGCTATTTGAAATTTCTTGAGATTCCTTATAAATCTTAAAATAGGTTATTTCTACAAAATCTTATTGGGATTTTGATATGGATTGTGCTGAGTCTGTAGATTGCTTTGGGTAGTATTAACACTGTAAAAATACTAGTCTTCCAATTTATAAACATGGAATGTGTTTCCATTTATTTATGTTGTCTTTAATTTCTTTCAGTAATGTTTGTAATTTTAATTGTATAAGACTCACTTTCTTGGTTAAGTTAATTTCTAAGTATTTTATTATTTATGATGCTATCATAAATTGAATTGTTTTGTAATTTTGTTTTCCAATTGTTCACTGTTGGTATATACAATTAAAATTAATTTTTCAAGTTGACTTTATCTCCTGTTAATTCCATCATTTAAATTTTTAGTTCTAACAGGCATTTCTTTGTGGTATCCTTAGGGGTTTCTACATGTAAGTTTATGTCGTATATGAACAGAGATAATTTTACTTCTTCCTTTCCAAGTTGAATCCCTTCTATTTTTATTTTTTGCTTAATTTCTTTAGCTACTCTTCCCACTACTATGATGCATAAAATTGACAAAAGTGAACATCCTTGTCTTTTCACTGTTCTTATAGGATATTTTTCAGTAATGGGTTTTTTATATGTGGGTTTTATTCTGTGAAAGTACCATCCCTCTATTCTTAATTTGTTGATAATTCTTATCATGAAAGTGTCTTGATTTTGTCAAATAATTTTGCAGCATTAAATGAGATGATTGTGTTTGTTTGTTTTCTTCCTTCATTATATTAACGTGGAATATTACATTGATTTTTGTAGGTTGGACCATGCTTGCATTTCAGGAATAAATCCTACTTGTTTCTGACATATAATCTTTTAATATGCTGCTGAATTTGATTTGCTAGTAATTTGTGGAAAATTTTTACATCACTGTTAATAAGACATATTGATCTATAGTTTTCTGGTAGTGCTTTTGTCTAGCTTTGATATCAGGGTATGGCAGGCCTCATATAATGAGTTAGAAAGCACAGGCATACCTTGGTGATATTGAGGGTTTGGTTCCAGACTACCAGAATACAACAAATATTTCAATGAAGAAAGTTATATAATTTTTTTGTTTTCCCACCACACATAAAACCTATGTTGGCCAGGCATGGTGGCTCACACCTGTAATCCCAGCAGTTTGGGAGGCTGAGGCAGGCAGATCATGATGTCAGGAGATTGAGACCATCCTGGCCAACATGGTGAAACTCCGTCTTTACTAAAAATACAAAAATTAGCTGGGTGTGGTGGCACGTGCTTGTAATCACAGCTACTCAAGAGGCTGAGGCAGGAGAATTGCATGGACCAGGTAGTCAGAAGTTGCAGTGAGCCAAGATCGTGCCACTGCACTCTAGCCTAGCAACAGAGCGAGACTCTGTCTCAAAAAAACAAAACAAAACAAAGCAAAACAAAAAAACTATGTTTACACTATACTGTAGTGTACGAAAGCATTATGTGTAAAGAAACATGATATATACTTTAATTTAAAAATACTTTATTGCTATAACATGGAAAGAAAAACTTCAGTGAGTCACTATCTTTTTACTAGTAAGGGTCTTGAAATTCATGCCTGCTGACTGAGCACAGTGGTGGTTTCTGAAAGTTAAGGTGGCTGTGTGTTAGTCCATTTTCAAACTGCTGTAAAGAAATACCCGGGACTGGGCAATTTATAATAAAGGAAAGAGGTTTCACTGACTCACATTTTTGCATGGCTGGGGAGGCCTCAGGAAACCTACAATCATGGCAGAAGCGGAAGCAGGCACCTTCTTCACAAGGCAGCTGGAGAGAGTATAAGCATGTGAAGGAGGAACTGTCAAACACTTATAAAACCATCAGATCACATGAGAACTCACTATCGTAAGAACAGCATGGGGGAAACTGCCCCCATAATCCAATCACCTCCCACTAGGTCCCTCCCTGGACTCACGAGGAATCACAAGGATTACAATTCCAGATGAGATTTGGGTGAAGACACAGCCAAACTATAGCAGGCCGTGTCAATTTACTAAAATAAGACAACAAAATTTGCTACATTGGTTGACTCTTCCTTTCATGAGAGATTCCTATAAATCATAAATGTTCTAAATGGAATTTAGGATGGTGAATTTTTTCCACAAGCTTTTCAATTTACTTTATCCATATCCATCAGAGGAATCACTATCTATGAAAGATATAGAGCCTTATGAAATGCATGTCTCAAATAATGAGACTTGAAATTCAAAGTTACTCTTTGATCCATGGGCTGTCTAATGAATGCTGTGTTAGCAGGGATAAAAAGATTAATCTCCTTTAACATCTCCATCAGAGCTCTTGGGTGATCGGGGACATTGTCAATGAGCAGTAATATTTTGAAAGGAATCTTGTTGTCTGAGCAGTAAGTCTCAACAATGGATTTGAAATATTTAATAAACCATGCTGTAACCAATATGCTGTCATACAAACTTTGCTCTTCCATTTATAGCACAGGCAGAGTAGATTAAGCATAATTCTTCAGGGCTCCAGAATTTTCAGAATTGTAAATGAGCATTGGCTTCAACTTAATGTCACTAGCTGCTTTATCACCTAACAAAAAAGTCAGCCTGTCATTTGAAGCTCTGAACCCAAGCAGTTACTTCTCTCCAGCTATGAAAATCATAGAAGGCATTTTCTTCATATATATGTCTGTTTTCTTCCAATATAAGGCTGTTTCATTTACATTGAAAACCTGTTTTTCAGTGTACCACCTTCATTAGTTATCTATATCTCAAGATAACTTGCTGCAGCTTCTCCTTCAGCATTTGCTGCTTCACTCTACACTATTAAGTTATGGAAAAGGCTTCTTTCCTTAAACCACATGAATAAACCTCTACTAGCTTCCCACTTTTCTTTTACACCTTCCTCAACTCTATTATTCAGCTTTAACAGAATGGAAGAGCAAGAGCTTTGCTCTCAATTAGGCTTTCATTGAAGAGAATGTTATGGCTGGGTTGATCACTGAAACTTTCTTCCTATCAGCAATAAGGCTATTGTATTTTCTTATTATTCACATGTTCACTAAAGAAGAACTTTTAGAGGGCCCAGCACGGTGGCTCCCAGCACTTTTGGAGGCCGAGGCGGGTAGCTCACGAGGTCAGGAGATCGAGACCATCCTGACTAACACAGTGAAACCCCATCCCTACTAAAAATACAAAAAATTAGCCGGGTGTGGTGGTGGGCACCTGTACTCCCAGCTACTTGGGAGGCTGAGGCAGGAGAATGGCGTGAACCTGGGAGGCGGAGCTTTCAGTGAGCCCAGATCAAGCCACTGTTCTCCAGCCTGGGCAGCAGAGTGAGACTCTGTGAGAATCCATCTCAAAAAAAAAAAAAAAAAAGGCACTTTTAATTTCCTTCAAGAACTTTCTCTTTGCAATCGCTTCTTTTTTTTTTTTTTTCCATCTCATCCAGCTAAAGTTCTGTCAATGTTTTTGAACTTTTCAAAGAACTAACTTGGTTTTATTGTTTTGTCTATTGTTTTTGTTTTTATTTAGCTCTGCTCCTTTATTTTTTTTGGTTTGTTTGTTTGCTAGTTTTGGTTTTAGTTTGTTCTTCCTTTCTAATTCTTAAGTAATAAATATAGGTTGTTAATTTGACAACTTTTGTGTTTTTACATTGTGTTACATTGTGACAGAATGTAAATGTGTATTTTACAATGTGTTATAATGTAAGCATGTATAGCTATAAATTTTCCTCTTATCACTCATCTTACTATGTCCTACAAGTTTTTATGATAATACTTTTATTTGTCTTTAAGTATTTTAAATGTCAGCTGTGATTTCTTATTTGATCCACTTATTCTTTATGAATGTTATTTAATTTTCACCAATTTGTGAATTTCACAGTTTTACTTCTTTTATTAATTCCTAACTTCATCCTGTCATAGCTGCATAAGAAAATATGTATGATATCTCTATCTGAAAACTAACATAATTTCTATTCCATAAAATGTCCCATTCACACTTGGAAGGAATGTGTATGCAGGTGTTGTTCAGTGGAGTGTTTTTATATGTGTTAGATCTAGTTAATTTATTGCATTGTTTGGTTAAGTCCTCTATTTTCTTCTTTATCTCCTCTCTGGATGTACTATCCATTATTGAGAATGGGGTATTGATGTCTCCAATTATGACAGCAGGACTATTTATCTCTTCAATACTGTTAGTTTTGCTAATATATTTTGATGGTTTGATATTAGCTGTTTAAATATATAATTATTATGGCTTCTTGCTGTGTTAGAACTTACAACAATATAGACTGTTCTTCTTTGTCTCTTATAACTTTTTAAATTTAAAGTCCATTTTGTTTGATATAGCTTAGTCGTCTCTGCTGTCTTTTGATTACTTCTGGCATATAATAAATTTTTCCATCCTCTCGCATTCAATCTGTTGTCCTTGAATCTAAAGGGTGTCTCTTGCTGACAGCATATAGTTGAATTCTGTCCTTTTATCTGTTCTTCCAATCTGTCTTTTGATTGGAGAGTTTATTTATATTGAAGGTAATTACTAATAAAGAACTTAATCCTAACCTTTTGCTATTTGTTTTCTGTTTGTCTTGTAGTTTTCTTGTCCCTCACTTCCTGTATTATTGTCTTCTTTTGTGGTTAGTTGATTTTTATAGTACAATGTTTAAATTCCTTTCTCATTAAATTTGTGTATTTTCTATAGCTATTATATTTCTGATTATCTTGGAGATTACATTTAAAATTCTAAACATATATATTAGTCTAATTTGAATAATTTCAGCTTAACTTTAATAATAACAACAACAGAAATCTGCTTTTTTACCACTCTATCCCAAGTCCTTTTGGTTCTTAATGTATAAAATTAGATTTTTGCATGTTTATGCCTCAAAACATTTATTAATAATTATTTTAAAGGCACTATTCTCTTAAATTAAGTATAAAAGTTTTCAAGCTAATTTTGTAATATTGGCTTTCATAATTTACCATGTATTTACCTTTATTAAAAACTTTATTTATTCATGAGGCTTTTACTTACTGTATAGTTTTTTACCCTGAAGACTTTCTTGAGCATTTCTTGCAGGACTCTGATCATTTCTTGCAGGGCAGGTATGGTGGCAACAAACTCCCTCAGCTTTGTTTATCTGGGAATGTATTAATTTCTTCCTTACTTTTGAAGGACAGTTTTGCCAGATATAGGAATTTGGTTCACAATGTTTCTTTTTTCTCTTTTGTTGTTGTTGTTTACATTTTTAAATATATTGGCCCACTGCCTTCTGATGTCCATAGTTTTGGATGAAAAATCAGCTGATAATCTTTTGAGAATTCCTTGTGTGTGATGAGTTGTTTCTCTGTCATTGCCTTTAAGACTTTTTCCTTGTTTTTGCCTTTTGAAAGTATGAATACAATGTGTCTTGAGTGCTAGTTTCTTTGAATTAATCTTATTTGGAGTTTAATGGTCTTCTTGGATGCTTATATAAGTTTCCAGACATTATTTTTTCAATTATTCCCATCTCCTTTTTTTCTCTCTCTCCTCCTGAGACACCCAGTATGTGTATGTTTCTACACTTGATGGTGTCACACATGTCCCTTAGACTCTGTTAACTTTTTATCAGTGATTTTTTCCAATTTCTTAGACTTAATATTTTCATTGTCTTATCTTCAAGTTACCTAATTCTTTCTTATGTCTGCTCAAATCTGCCTTTGAATTCTTCTAGTAAATTTTTCATTTTAGTTATTATATTTTTCAGCTCTGGAATATTTTTAGTTTCTTTTAAAATTTTCATTCTCTTTAGTGACCTTTCCATTTTGTTTGTACATGATTTTCTTGTTTTTCTCCATGTCTTCCTTTAGTTCTTTGAGAATCTTTAAGATAGTTGTTTCAAGATATTTGTCAATTAGATCTGCCATCAGGTCTTCTTGAGAACAGCTTTTTTGTTCACTTTTTATTTGAATGGGGTATACTTTTTTGTTTATTTGCATGTCTTGTGATTTTTTTGTTAAAAATTGAATGAATTTAATTATGTGGTAACTATAGAAATCAGTAGCTTTCCCTTCAGTAGTGCTTGCTGGGTTTTTGTTTTGTTTTGCTATTGTGTTTATTTATTGTTTTTGCTTTTTTGACAGTTGTTGCCTATCTCTATGTTAAGGATCAGCCTGAGGTGTAAACTCAAGGTCTTTTTACATCTTTTCTGGGTTTTTTCCCTTTCTGTGGGCAGGCATGGTCACTTTCTAAGTTTCTCCACATATGCAGATGCTTTTGAGCATCCTAGCCCTAAATGCCTGTTTCCCAAAAGGGGAAAAAATGAAAAATAAAGGTTGGATAAAAATTATGAGCTGACCCTTTAAATCCCTGAAAAGTTATTTCAGCCAGATGGGGAGAGGTTTGCAACTGTGGGAGATGGTTCAAAAACAATGGCTACCCATCTCTTTGTAAACACTTCTATGATTGAAAATAGCAATCAGCAGTCAGGGCACAGATCCCTGGTATTTGCAGGACAGGGTCTTTTTGCCCTGGCATCTGCAGGCTGTGTGCAAGCTCTTCCAGGAACATGTGCGCAGCTGCCTGCCAGGGGTTTAGGGTTGGGTAAGTGTAGCTGCTACTATGCTCAGAGCTGAAATTGACCAAAATCAATTACCATTTATCTTTCAAGTATTTCTCCTGGAAATTGCAAGCCTTTATTAGATGCTAGGGTTTCAAAATAGTTACATGAGACAGATTTTTGCCAGTGGAATTGTTGACTAGGTAGAAAGACAGATTCCTAGTGTTTGTTACTCTACCATCTTTCCAGAATCCCCATAATATGCCTATTTTAAGTATTTTTCTATGCTCTGAAAATCCACTGGAGAAAACACATCTTGAAAAGTTAAAGTGACTGGGCATTCTTCTAATATAAATATTATGTATAATAAGCCCACATAGAAACACAAACTGTATTGCCTACATAAGTTAATAGTATATTACTTTGAATGACTATTTTTATCTATAAGAATTTGTCAAATATCTTGGAATAATAAAATGTAATCTTGTCTAAGTTGCAAATGATTAAACATTCTTGTATTTCTATAGGAAAGAAGGATTAAATAAATGTTAGTGAATTCAGATAAATCATCTTTAGAAATATCTATATAATAGTGAGTAATTATTATCTAATCTCTTGGCCTATTAGAAGACATACAGATACATATAATGTTTTATGTATTATATTAATATGTATTTTGTAGTACATGTTAATGGGCAATAGTAACCTAAGATGACAACCTTTTAAAAAACATTAGATTAATTTAACAACTTCACTATGTGTTTTAAAATAAAGTGAGATATTTCAATGAAAATATTTGTAATAGAAATGAATTTGTCATATGAAAAACCTTCCATGTTATGTTAAAAATAAGCTACCATACATCTTTCTTTGGGTATATTTGGTAAGGATACTTCATAAGCAAATGAAGTTATAATGGTGTTGTAAATTGCCCTCAGTTCAAATTTTCACTCTCAAATGGAAAGATAAAGTGACAAGGAAGCAGATTTACCTTTGCTTGTTTGCTCTCTAAGCTTTCTGCCTCTGTAGTCTGCACATGTGCAGGTGTAAGGTGGAGTAATAAATCCTCTAACATCAATTTAGAAAACATCAAGTCTAGTTTTAGTCTGTATGTGCACTGAGAGCTGGAGTTTCAGGAGAATTACTTTCTGGCTTGAGTGCAATTGTAATTTAATAAACAGTATATTCATGCCACAAAAATTTAAATTTAGTTTTAAATACAATTGTACTAAGCTTACTAGACATTAATTGCATTTCTAATAGAAATAAAAAATCACTAATCAGCCATAAGTTTATCTTCCTTGGCTGAGTGACATAAAAAACCAAATAGATATAATCCCTGAATAAATTTTTTATGTGAAAAAGTTATGTTCAAAATTTTAAAAACACCAAAATTGACTTTTGTCTTGAAGTATTCTCTTATCTTGATTAAATGTATTAGAAAATGTCATCTTCTATTAAGATTTAATTTTCTAACGAAAAATGAAGAGTTTGGACTATATGATCTTTTGGTATATTCCCAGTTTGAAAAAAATTAAGAATAAAATGAATAAGATGCCTAATTACATAAGTGTTATATGATACATATGTTTGACAATATATTTAAATATATGATAATTTTCTCTATAATTAATTGTTGTTCTCAAAGGCTAAACAGTAAGACGATTCTTATCACTATACCAAGAGTGATACCTGGTATTTGGGAATGTGATTAAGATGTAAAATCTTTTTTTAACACAATAAATTTTTCATGCTAAATGAATACCAATCTACAGATAATTATTTTGTGCCTGCTCAGCTCACTTAGCTCTTTCCACAGGCAGGTTAAAATCTGACAGAGAGTAAAAGTATTTTATAAAACTAAGCACAATGAGGTACTATTTTGCTTTTGTTACATTAGTATCTGATATCAAATTAGGAGAGTGTAATTAAGGAGAAAGAAAATGAAAAGATGCATTAAACTCAAATTTTCAAAAAACAAAAGTAATATACCTGAATACATGGTTTCATTGATTCATTCATTCATGAAATACATATTAAGTATCCATTTTATTCCTAACTCAAAAGAAAACAAATAAAAATGGATTCTTGTCTAAAGTATTTAATAAATTTTTGAAAACATAAAAAGCAGAGATAAGAATTCAGCTGTATGATATTAAACTAGAGAGTGAAGAGATTTATAAAATGTGAAACATTGTCTCTCTTCTAATTAATTTTTGTTTGATTTTATAAAATATTCTTTTATTCCATAAAAATATTTTATTTATGTTAAACTTTAATGGGTTTATTAGTGTTATTTTAAATACATTAATAAACTTTTAAATTATTATTTCTAATTATAAAAGTAGAAAATATCAATAGACATAATCCATATAAATAAACACTCTACGGTGACCTCAATAAGTGTTAAGAATTTAAGGATTTCTAGACTCAAAAGTTTGAGAACCCCTGTTTAGATCAATTATTTCTCTTCAAGCAATGAGATATAAAATCTATCTGGTTAAATAATATTCTTTCTTGTGTATGTTTTGTTTTCTCATTTGCTTTCTAGATCATGCTTGTACTTTTTTTAGATACCACATACTTTATCTTCTGTTGCTAATTGTACATGCTCTTTAAAAATCATGAGTAATACTTTTACAAGTACTGAGAACACTACAAAATAAATGAATTTTCTTGGAAAACACACCAGTGATTAAAACAAACATCATTCAAACTAAAAGTTAATTTTCCTAAATAGCTAAAAATTGCTTATTCTTTTTTTGAGATATTCTTAAAGTACAGAAAAGACTTTACATTATGGAAATCACATAGAGGTGACAGAAATCATTCTCTATTGTTTCTTACCAGGAATATTTGCAAAGTAATCACATGATCAAAAGAGGTTCTCAGAACATCTGTGAAAGACTTCCTTTCAGCTGGAGTTATATCTTTCAAAAGCAAGAATTAGTAATTGTTTTCATGTTATAAAATTTATTAGTTTTAAAAAGATCTTAATAATAGCTTTAAAAATACAAAAGGTAATCTTTGCCGTTAGTGGTTTTTGGCAAATATATGTATGTTAAGTTTCATTTCAAAATATTGTTTTATTCAAAAATGTGATAGGATAAGTAGAGCTTCACTCTTTTAGTCCATTTATTAAATCATCTGGCCAAAAGTTGGTACTGGCAGCTTCCTGGCTACAAAAATATTGAACAATAATGGAGTAAATAAAAAATAAATGCATAACAACATCTAAGCAATATAACCCAGTTTTAAAACTTAGAATTCCAGTGGAAAGTCAGGCTATAGCTGATTGCCCCAAAGACAAGGGGAAGCTATCTGCAATATGTTCTAAAACCATTTATTTGTTATTCTATTAATTAAATCTGTAACTTGCACTAGATAATCAAATTACGTATATTTTATCATGGGGAAATTAACAAATGCTTCTTTAGTTATCTTAGAATAATGAACTGAAATCTGGTTGCTTCAGGACCATGTGATCTAGACAGAATAATTGTGAAGAAAACAAGGACGAACATACTTTAGCATACAGAGTGCAAATTATCAAATATTATATTAGTAAACACACATCTCTCTTTTTCTATAATTTGTAAAAATTTGTCTTTGTATACACTTGTACAACAACAGTACATTTCAATAGAACAATTATTCAATCTCTATTCTAAGGACATACCAATATTAAAACACATTTAAGTACCATTACTTCAGAAAATACATTGCTCTTACTCTAAAATAGCCTCCAAAATATATCTGCTGCTGGGTAAATTATTATGTGATTATACTTCTCTTCAGACATGATTAAGCTATAAAATATATCACCAGAATAATCTTCCTCTCTCAATTTTATCCAAAAGCCTCTTAATATGACTGTATAATCCATGGTAATTTTTGAATCATGTTGTGAATCCTACTGCAGTCCTCATATGCACTGTTCTCAATTTAATAATTGTTAAGCTTGACAGCCAGAACTGCATGTAAATAAGTCAGTTCTAAGAATGAGCATTTTAATTATTGGTTTTATTCATACACATCCATGAAGTTAATAAAGTACTCTACTTGTCATCAAGTCTGTTAACAAGAGAGAGAAACTCAATGAGAGAGATATTTCGTTTCACAATTAAGAGCTCACTTCCCTGTGTACCACAGATACATTTTTATACATCTCAATTAATGTTTTTCAGAGATGAGAATTAAATAAGTAAGCTAGTATCCCAATTAAGAATGTGATTTTGCAGATTTAATACTACTTATGTTTTAATTTGTGTTTAATTGACAGCCACTAAAATAATGCAATGCATTTCTTATCATCAAGGAAGGAGAAAATGTTCCTTTTTCTCTGTAACTCTGCAGTAGTAATTTTGAATTCTAAACACTTAAGAGGAAAAATCTTTAAAGGCACCCTCATCAATTGAACTATTAATAGTTAACAGCTGCCTGTTCTGAAACCAGCTTCCAGAGGATTAACTAATACATAATTAATATATATCTCAATTTTCCCTACTTCTGTATTTCACCTGTCTTAAAAAGCGCTTATTCTGATTCTTTTTAACGTGTTTGTTTATTTGTTTCTCTTTGCTTATGATATCAGAAGTCTTAGGTTGAGACATAGTACTATTTCATAATACTTGGGTGATACTGTATAATTTACTAAAACATTTCGAGAGTCAGTTTTCTCACTTTCAAAGTGCAGATAATTATAATACCCACTTCATAAGGTTACTTTTGAATTAAATAATGTAATGAACATTAAACACTTTGCGTCTTGTTTGGTACATAGTAGGTGCTCAGCTATGATGACTTTCCCTTTTTCAGTTTCTCTCATTTCACTGACTTGAACTCCACCATGCTGCTGAAGTCTCTCTTTTGTGGGTTCTCAAAAAATGACAGTTGCACGAGTTTGCTATACGTTACTTCACAGCCCAAGTATTTACATCTTTGTTAATGAAATCTTTGGAAGAGAATCAGGTACAATTTGTCCTATATTACACAAAACACACACCGCAAAATTCTACCTGTATCTGAATCATTTCAGCCGTCTTTACATTCTGCTGTAGGTGTCTCCGGTAGCAGGCTGTGTGCTAAGTGTTACACGGGTTAAACTTAAGTTTCTCAGAACTGCTCCTGAAAACGATAGACATTGTATAAAACATGCATTAATGTTATTGCTGTTTCATTGCATTTTGCCTTAACAATCTCTTTCTTTCTCTTTTTCTTTTTCTTTTTTTTTTTTTTTGGTATCGGGGCCCAGGGTCTCACTTTGTCACCCAGGATGGAGTGCAATAGTGCAATCTCGGCTCATGGCAACCTCCGCCTCCCGGGTTCAAGTGATTCTCCTGCCTTAGCCTCCTGAGTAGCAGGGATTACAGGCACGCATGACCGTGCCCAGCTAGTTTTTGTATTTTCAGTACAGAAAAGTTTTCACCATATTGGTTATCAATCTTTTAATAGTCCCTAGTAGTCCTTAAATCTTCCCAATGCTGACACTTTTCTTTCATTTTCTCTTAACCATCTAAACCAAACTGTGACTTATTTTACTAAAATAAAAGCTCTCCCTGCATCCCAGCTTCTGATTTCATTGAAAACATTATAGCTAAAAGACAATTTTTTTTTAAATTTCCTCCCTCATCATCCACCACAGCTCCATTTGCAACTAGTCTTCCTTTCTTTCCTTTTGTTCCCATGAAATAATTTTATCTCCTGTTTAAGTCCAATCACTTTGGTAACATGTTTTATCAGTGGTCTTCAAAAGATAGTTCTGTGCATCCCATAAAATAATTTTGGAAAACATTATATACCCTCATACATTTCCAAGTTTATATCAAAATATTTTAACGTATGTTTAAATGCTTGAAATAAACAATTTCCAGTCTAGTACAAATATTGACAATTAAAATACATGTTACATTAGTCTTTTAATCATATTAAATGAGGAATACAATTAAGCCCATATATTAATAGAAAGTTGACAGTTTCCTTTTTATCATAATGAATTTGAATTTTCTTTTTTTCCACAGAAGTTTACATTATAGTAATATATTTTATTCTTAAATTATCTTGTTAACTGACAAGTGCACATTCACATATACAACATAAATTTTTTATTTAATACAATTTTTAAGTTATTTTTTGAATTTAAGTATTTACTATAAGTCTCTAGGTATGAATTTTTCTTCCAGATTAAGTTATTATCACTATTTTTATTACTGCAATCAATTGAACTGACAAATTAAAATTTAATATAAAGATAGTATTTGTAGGAAATTTTGATTGAAAATTAATTTTAATTTAAATTAAATTTAAATTGGAAGAATGGAGCTCTGAAATAAATATATCAATTTAAGTGCTATTAAATTCTATTACTATTAATTTAAATACTATCATTCTCTTACTATTACTCATTCTATTAGTATTAATATTAAATAATAATCATTATATTACTATCTTTATATGCTATTACAAATTCTGAGAAACTCTTTTAAGTGTTATACTAACAATAACTATAGGATATATTATTACATTTATTCTAAATGATACATCTGCTGATAATCTTATTTTGTAATACTATTAATATAATTTTTGAAAAAATTGGAAAATCTCTGTTTGAAGGGACCAATCAGAAATTTTACAAAAACAAAAACAAAATTATTGTAATTGTAATGGACTATTTTTATTTGGTTGTTTTTAACTTCTCACATATTGCTTTGTAATAAAAATTAGTTTTAAAAGTATATATTTAATACATGCACACTATGTAATATATATCATATATAATTCTGTGTAATTTTTTCTATTACACAGAATGGAAAAATATTCTATTTCTAAATAAAAAAATTCTATTTTTCTATTACTATAGTGTTCTAATTGTCTACATGTCCAGCAAAACTTTTCAAAAGCATACATATGT
Organism: Homo sapiens; assembly: GCF_000001405.40. Taxonomy (NCBI): domain Eukaryota; kingdom Metazoa; phylum Chordata; class Mammalia; order Primates; family Hominidae; genus Homo; species Homo sapiens. Next base: position 171,093,893 of record NC_000004.12, on the reverse strand, counting down.
GGAGGAAATTGTTTTCTCACAGCCTTTAAGTTGCTCCATTATTTAAAATGAATAAAATAGAAATGTCCATGTTATGAGAAATTTGGAAGAAACATTCTATTATGCTTTCTGTTTGGCTCACTGGCTCTTCTGTATGGAGTCACTTGCCTGCTTACTGAAGACTATACAATTCTGTAATCTTTTGTTTCTCATTTCTTCATTGGCTTAATTTGAAGTATATAATGGCCCCATTCACATATAAGGGTTGTAACCTTTTTTCCCCCTCCTGAAGTTTGCACACTGTGAAATATGGTACGTGTTATGAGTAACATGCAGCTGGCTAGGTAAATGCCTTCTCTTTCGAACACACCTATGTTACGACTTACGAATCTCAAAGTCTTCATTTGAAGTGAATTAAAAGAGAAATGAAAATATGATGAGCTACCCTACCTTCAAAAACAATAAAATTTAAATGCTATCCTTTAATTGGTCAATAACACTGCTAGTGACATGCTGCAAAGTTGTGTGGCATAATACTCAGTGAACCATGGAATTACATGCATTTAATTTTTAGACTTATGTCAAAGCAAAGACACAAAAAGAAAACAGTGATAAAGTAAAGAGAGGTGGGGTAAATTTTACAATAATAGACCCATTTTACAATTTTAAGTTGAATGAAATAGTTCTGTCATTTTGAAAGTAACCATTTATTTCAAAATATATTATTATTTTAAGTTTTAAACATACTGGGGAGGCCCCGATTTAAAAATGTGTTTACCAACATCATGCTTTTGCTGAATTTCTCTTTCTGCTTCTTTAAATCCCTTTGCAATTATTTTCCTTAATTTTATTTTGGGTTGCTGGTTTTGAAATTATACGAGGACAGGAGCCAGAGAGTAATTTGCTGAAAGTTGCACTGTGGCAGCAGGTGAGCAGGACAGCACGTGATGCCTGCCCACCTTTGTGTAAATGATGATACCTTCCTTGAAAGGCAACATAGAATTTTGGAGAAGAGAAGAGTTAAGTAGAATGAAGCATATCGAGCCATGACATGCTGATCAGAGATGGGCCAAGCCCTTTCAATATTATTGAAAAATTACATTTATTTTCATCCTTCTATGTTGGCTTTCCTCCGAAGCTACCTATTATTTTAAAGATAAACATAAGGGCTTTTTAGCACTCTTTTAATGTTTATCACCTTATGACTTCAAACATGAAGTCTTTTAACATTTCTTACTTGCCCATTTTTTTTCAGTAAGCTCAAGCTGAGTCTGATCTCTCTAATCTTGACTTCCTTCTTTGTTTTTCATAATATTGTTTCTGACACATTTTCTGAATAATTTTCGTGTGTGTGTGTGTGTGTATCCACTTTTAAGATATTCCATGTTAATACTTTATTAATGGGAACTAAAAGACTCCATTTCATCCCCAAATGATGTAATATATATAACAATAACAACACAACACAGGTAGATGAATCATCCCACTTAAACAAGGCTGTGATTAACCCAAATGTTATAACTATGTCAGATTACCTTTTGTTTATGCCTTTTCCAACCGATATACAATCTCTCAATTAGAAACTCTGAAATGTGCCTATTGCCTGTTGTGTTTTGAATGTTTATGCTTCGGAGCACAGCTTAATCTCTCTGCAGCCTTAATTTCTGAGTATGAAAGTATTTCAATGAAAGACAGTTATTAAGAAACTGCCCTGAGCAGAAAATGAAACCATTAATACTTATAAAAGTGTGATAGACTATTTAACCTATTTTGGAACCAATGTCGGAAAACAGTCATTGACACGAAATTTAGAACTATGACATATATAAAGCCACATTAGCATAAATATTCTGAGAATGAAAAAAACATGTCGGTTTGTCCACAACTAAGAAACCAAAGTACAAGTGTCCTTTGTGTCCTTTATCATCAGCAATCATGTAATTTTTCCTTAAATTTTGAAATAGACTTCACTGCTTAGTGAAAGTTTACATGGCCAAAGATAATTATGACCACAGTATAGAAAAAAAAATTAACTTAGAAATCTTCACTGAAAAAGAAAGAAGGATTTATGTAGAAATCTGAAGCCACTGTAAACCTTTGTGATAAGCAGAAGCTTGGAAATCCAGAAAAGGGGTAGAATTCAACTGCAGATACATTTGGTATAGAGAGGTGTTCTTGGTGAATCTATATGGGGCATGGTGTTGAGCTAAAGGTATGTGGGAGCTCAGGTTATTGCAGGAGGAGGCCGTCCAGGCAGCATTCAATCAACAAGTATGACTTTAGCCCTTAGTTTTTTTTTTTTTGAGATGGAGTCTCGCTCTGTCGGCCCAGGCTGTAGTGCAGTGGCGCAATCTTGGCTCACTCACTGCAAGCTCCGCCTCCCAGGTTCATGCCATTCTCCTGCCTCAGCCTCCCGAGTAGCTGGGACTACAGGGGCCCACCACCACACCTGGCTAATTTTTTTGTATTTTTAGTAGAGACGGGGTTTCACCATGTTAGCCAGGATGGTCTCGATCTCCTGACCTCGTGATCCGCCCACCTTGGCCTCCCAAAGTGTTGGGATTACAGGTGTGAGCCACCGCGCCCTGTCGCACTTTATTCAACAAATCTTGAACAAAAATTTATTCACAGTATTTATTCAACAAATCTTGAACAAAAATTATACAGCAGTCTGTATACTAGACACTAGAAATAAAACAGTAACAAAACAGATATAATGCCTATTCTTAAGGAGCTTGCACTAGGGGGAGGTGAACGTTGTATACATAATTAAATCATTTCAGATAATGGTAAATCCTTCACAAGTTTAAAATAGAGTATTGAAAAAAACAGAGTGATGAGAATAGGGCTATTGGTGACGTACCTTACACTTGGTAATTTAAAAGGTATGTTATGTTGCTGGCAAGACATAAATGGTCCTCTCAAACAGGGCAATTAAAAAAAGTTCAATGGAGAGACTGTTCATAAAGAGAGATGTAGGCAGGACTAGAAAAAAACCAACAAGATGGGGTAAATTCCTTGGAACTAACAACTGAGGAGCCATTACCACCTTTAAGCCTAAAGAAACCCTGGAAGGAACAGGCAGAGGACCCTAAATAAATTAGCTATAGGAGATGTGTGACAGAGAGGAGCTGCAGGACGTTGCAGGAGAGACAACTTTAGGATAAGCAGGAGGGGGCTGGGAGAGGAGTAACCCACAATCAGCCTTTTCCACTCTCCAGAATCTCACTGACTACAGGTCAGAGGTGAAGGATTCAATTGAAGCCCTCCACAAAAGTTAGCGTCTTAGGAACATAGCAAGGTAAAGAATAATATAGGATGGCACATAGGAAATTATCAACATAGAAGGCCTCTTCAAAGAGGTGACATTTAATCTAAAACTGAATGACTATCAGCAAATGTGCTTTTGAAGATCTGGGATTTGGAAGTTGCTGTAATTGGTAATCCAAAAACTACATGCAGTACTTCTCATTCTTGCTTTTACTATTATAAAAGCTAAAACGTCTAACCTTCTTTTCATGTAGAAATGTCAACAGGGCATATTTCTGGTCTATGTGATGAAGAAATAAATATGAAAATAGGGCTTTCCTAACAGAATATATAAACAAATTCTTGTAGGAAGAAGACTTTGAGGACTTCCTTCTTATTCCTCCCTTTGTATGGATATGATGCCTGGAGGTAGACCACATGGCTTTCTTCATGAGGACAAAAGACCTACACAAAACATGGTTGTGCAGAAAGTTAGAAGGATCCTGATTCATTTACATTATGATTGAGCTACCAGAAAATTTCTAGACACTCTACCCTTAAATTTTTGTTGTGCAAGACAAATAAATCTGTTTTGTAAAAACCACCATGGTAGAATTTTTGGTTTTTCATTGTTGAACATAATTATAACAAGTATAATTGAGGTATGGGGAAAATAGCATAAAGTAGCTATAAAGAAAATAGATAAAGTAGCAGTTAATACAGAGACCTCACACCAGGAACAAATTAGGTAAGTTCAAGGCTGTGTCATTGGAGCCCAGTGGGTAAGATGTGAGTCAGGACCTATTATATCTAGAACCTTAGAGTCTGTCCATCATAATTTGGATTATATCATAAATCTAATAGGGAAGTAAAGAAGTTGTATCAGCGAAGTACATAATGTGATATATTTTACTATAATTCTTCTCTGTCTGTGATATAAATAATGTATTATAGGAAAAAGGAGAATTAGGAAGACCAATAGGGAGATTATCAGCACATGTGGCAGAAATTGCTCTTTATCAATATCCATCTTCTTCCCTTCTCCTGGCGTACATGTACACTTCATTATCCATATTTCCTTGCAGTTGGATCTGGTCATCTGATTGTGTTCCAGGTAATAAAAAGTGAGAAGTATTGTGCGTCCTGTGAATACCGAATCTATTACATCCACAGTCCGTCTCTCCCACTACTTATTTTACTCCATGATTGTTCCTCCTCTCTGGCTACCTGGGAGGGTAATGCCCAAGGAGACATTGGAAGTTATATATTGAAGATGATGGAGCTGCTGTCAGCCTGGGTTAAATGATGGAGAGTAGTGGTACTTTCCTCATCTTCTTCCCGAAGAAACAAGAAAGAAATATAAGTTTATTTTTATTACATTTTGGGTCCATTTTTTAAGATACTTTACTATGCTATCAACTAGATACAATTAGATATTATGGGAGAAGCTGGTTTCTGAAGCAAGGTGTCGAATAGTGTTTTATATTGATTGAGTTTAAACAACTTGAGGATTAGCCTTCTGTAATTATTTGTCAAGTTCAGATTTTCAGGGACTTTTTTTTCAATTGAATAAAGATTTGAAAGTACTGATTAGAAGATGCAAATAGAGAGTTGACTGGGGAAAAGTGTAAGTAAGAGAGAATGTCTCAAGAGGCATTTTCTGATATTGAGCACTAGAGATTAGGAGTTTGTAAATGGGAACAAGATGCTTATGCAAATTTCACTAAGTTTGCTGAGGAGCCTATCAAGCTAACTAATTCTGTCAGTCCAACTGGGGTTTTGCTTTCTCTTGTGGCTAATTAATTCTAATATGACCATATTATTTATCTTTCAAACTGGTTCAATTTTGGGAGTGATTGGAGGTGAAATTAACTAATCCATTGGGAAAATATACATAAATGGGGACAATCTTGGCCAAACAGGAATAAATGATGAACAGATGTCCATGGCAGTTAATGCAGAACTGGTACAGGTAGGGCTTTTCCTCAGCATCCCCAATTCCAGATGGCTAACTTCCTGAATCAGAGGCTGTCAACAACAAAGCACTTAACTCTCATGTTGCTTATTCAATTTTTATAGGTTATGTCTTTAGGTATGATGTACATACATTGTATAAGTTTAATTAATTTTGACAAATGCAAGCATTTCTATGAAAACATACAACAGTTGACCACCCCAGAGAATTGCCTCATTCCTCTTTTTATCAGTCTGCCCCCCCAAGTATTGTCTGTTCTGGTTTCTATCACTATAAATTAGTTTGGTCATGGTATGGCTTCGTATAAATGGCTTAGAAGAGTTTGTGCTTATTTTGTGTTTGATCTCTCACACAGCATCATGTCTGAAATTCATGTGTCAGTAGTTTGTGCCTTTTTATTGCTGATTGGCTCTATCCAATGTTATTATTAATGCTATTATAGTATGTTTTATTCTTTCAAATTGATTTATCATACCTGTATAGAGTAGCTGTAAAAATATGAGAAAAAAACTTTAGAGTTACAGAGAAAACCAGATGCCAAAGTCTTTTTAATAATTATCTTTCTGCTTAATTATCTCTATAAATTATCCTCTATGAGTAATTCTCAGATTCTGTATCACTGAGTAGAGGAGATTTACTAAGGATAAACTTACAGAGGGCCTAACAGTTTGTTATGGAGTCAATGGAGAGACTCCATAAAGAGAGATATGGGTAGGAGTAGAAAAAAGCCCAACAGGATGAGGTAAACTTCTTGGAGCTAACAACTGAGGAGCCATTACCACCTTATGCTTAAAGAAACCCTGGAAGGAACAAGCAGAGAACCCCAAATAAATTAGCTGCAGGAGATGTGTGACATCTTTTATTTTAGTGATTGTTATATGCTTTCTCAAGTCTGTTTATAATCCATTTTTCAGGAAAATCTTTAGAGAAAAGTAGGAGAGGTCCATATTACAATATATTTACATTGATTTGGTGAGAGAAGTAAGGATCATCTTGGTAGTTATAAAACTGATCTTTGTTAACCAAGAAAAAAGTGGTATAATATCAATTTAGAAATATAGGTAAAATATTATGGATTACAGAGATGCAATAGTTATAAAATCATACACATTAAGACTGTAAAACAATTATCAATGCTAGAGAAAGATACACCTCTCTATATAACTACATGCCTTATATTGTCAGAAGTTGACCTAGAAAACATTAAACTACTTTCTTTATTCTAAAGTATATTAGCGATATTTACCTGGTAGAAAAATGTTAAATAACAGAATGTATGGTAAGTATGCTAATGCCTTAGCTGAAATAGGAATAAGCCAAAGAAGATGAATTATTGTACAGGACATACAATCAAATGTCTGTTGTTCAACTGAATTTTTTCTATTTATTTATTTATTTATTTATTTATTTATTTATTTATTTAATTTTTAGAGTCAAGGTCTCCCTCTGTCTCTCAGCCTGGAGTGCAGTGGTGCGATTATGGATCACTTACTCCATGGTCCACCTCCTTAGCTCAAGGGATTCTCCTGCCTCAGCTTCTCCAGTAGCTGGGATTATAGGTATGCATCACCATGCCTGGATAAGTTTTTAAATTTTTTTAGAGATAGGGTCTCACTATGTTATCCAGGCTGGTCTTGAACTCCTGTCTTCAAACAATCCTTCTTCTCAGTCTCCCAAGTAGCTGAGATTGCGGGCATGAGCCACTAACATGGTTCTGAAAAAAATTAGACTACTCCTTTAGACGATGATAAACAGTATAGATAAATAAGTTACATATATACACAACATTTGGGCAAATTATTTAACTGTTTGCCTCCAATAGTTCTCTTTTTAAAATAGGTAAGAAATAGCCCTACGTTATAGGGTTATTATGCTGATTCAAGAAGTGAATATGGCCAGGTGCCAGTGGCTCACATCTGTAATCCCAGCATTTTAGGAGGCTGAGGTGGGAGGGTTACTTGATGTCAGAAGTTTGAGACCAGCCTGGGAAACATCGTGAGACCCCATCTCTACAAAAAAGGACATTTAAAAATTAGCCAGGTGTAGTTGTTCATATCTGTGGTCTCAGCTACTCAGGAGGCTGAGGTGGTACAATCACTGGAGCCCAGGAAGTTGAGGCTGTAGTGAGCCATGATTGTGCCACTACACTCAAAAGCAACCCCAAATATATGGACGATAACTTAGAAAAATGCCTGTTACATAGCAACTCTTTAACAAAGGTGAGTTGTTGCTGATGTTGTTGGAAACTGTAAATGATTGCCAGGTCCCTTTGGTAAAAAGCGCTGTTGCTAACAAACATCTTCACTATTAAACACTGTGGTGAGAGAATGCTTGTCTCTTACTTTAGTACAAAGTGGAGAAGAATCTGTAGAAATTATGAGAGTGGCATGTGAAGGATTTTCTTTTCTTTTTTTTTTTTTTTTGAGACGGTGTCACTCTCTGTCAGCCAGGCTGGAGTGCAGCATGATCTCAGGCTCACTGCAACCTCCGCCTCCTGGGTTCAAGCAATTCTCCTTCCCTCAGCCTCCCGAGTAGCTGGGATTACAGGCGCCTGCCACCATGCCCAGCTACTTTTTATATTTTTTAGTAGAGATGGGATTTCGCCATGTTGGCCAGGCTGGTCTTGAACTCCTGACCTCAGATGATCTGCCACCTCAGCCTCCCAAAGTGCTGAGATTACAGGCCTGAGCCACTGTGCCCAACCATGTGAAGGATTTTCTTGTATCCTGTATGATATGAGAATGAACATTTCCCAGAAGCAAGAGATATTTAAATACTACTGTTCTTGAGTTTCAGCTATAATGTTTATATATTGCCCTTAAATAATAAAAATTGTCTTTCACGATTTGAAAGAGAGAGGACTTTCTAAAAACATAACTGGCATTTTGTTTTTAAAATATAAATCACCAGTAGAGGTAGTTGCATTGAAATTTCTAGAACCTCAAAGATAATTTATTGCTGTTTCATTTTAAAAGTTCTTGATGGAAACACCCTTCATGTCATATAAAATGGACATCATTCTAATCACCAACTCCCCCAACTTCTTGACACACACACACATTCCCAGTTCCAGGATTCTAAAGCAAATAACTCATTGTGGCTAGCAGTTCCTCCAATTATCTGTAAAACCCAAGTCTACACTTCTTCCACAAATCTTTCACTTTAGAAAATGCCACATTGCTATCTTCTTCTTTTAAACATTGGTCCCTTTGGGGTCATGTTTTTTCTTTAATTATATGATGACTGAGCTTATGTAATCTTTATACATGTTTCAGAATTATGAAGGAAAAAATGTTTTAAAATTTGAACAAGTATTTCGAAACCTTGTGTTTTGCCAACAAAATCAATTTGAAGTTAATTTTTATTTATGATAAAATTTAAATATAGAAATATTATATTTCTTGATAGAAATATAAAAAAATATAGATAAAGAAATAATATAAATGAGGAAAAATATATTTTATAAATTTATGCAATAGAAAAATCATAAATAAAGCCAAATTTTGATTTTATCAAGTTGAATATTATTAATAGATCTCCAGCAATACTTTGAAACCAGCCAAATTGTCCCATAAAACTAATATTTATGATTTTTTTGAATAAACATAGAAATTTACTCTACCTGGACTTAAAACTCGAATCTTACGTTTTTCTTATCTGAGTTTCTTTTTCAGGAAACCAAACCTCAGGCAAGGACCTGAAACACAGTAGATAACCACATCCAGACAATCAGACCCCAGACCTCTCATCCATCATGACTGCTTTGTTATCCCTTCCTAATTCCTGTTTTCCTGCTGCATTCCTTCCCACAGGTAGCTATATTTCTTCCCTGTTCTATAAACCAACAATTTTATTCAATTGGGAGAGATGGATTTGAGGTTTGGTTTCCATCTATTTAGCTGACATCACCTGAATAAAAAGCCTTCTTCTCTGTCAATACTCATTGTCTCACTGATTGGCTTTCTGTGCAGTGAGCAATGGAACCTAGTCCAAATCCTTGGAGTTACAGTAACAACTTATTATGGATTAAAAAAAGAGTATAAATGACCATTATATGAAATAAAAGAGGCATAACTAAAATTTAAAAAGATGTTATGGATATTATGAAGATAGGAGATTATATCACCTGCAAATGTCTGCCAGTAATTTTAAGTACTACATAACAGTAACAAGTTTCTTGAAACAAGCAAGTTATCAAAATTGTCAAAAGAAGAAATAGAAAGTTGGAGTATTTATTTAAAAATTGTAAGTAGTTCAAAGCAACAAGAGAAATGTCAAAAACATACTCTCACATTTACGAATGTTTCATTTACAGCAAAGTTGACATTGGTAATGCATTGGAGATAGATGACAATTTTTAATAAATGTTACTGGCTAATTTATATATCCACATAAGAAAAAATAAATCATTAACCATACATAATAATATCAGTACTTCAGGTAAATATCATAGTAGCCAGCAATAAATAATTTTAAAAAATTGTTAGGTATTTGAAGCAGCCAGAAAATATGACCAATAACTAGGAAAATATTCAGTTACTATAATCATACATAAAATAAAAGAGATGATAGATATAGAACACAGTTATTAAAGTACCTATTTAAAGTATTTTCAAGTAGTTAAACATCAATGTAAAGAGATGGAAATCAAAAATTAAAAAAAAACAAATTAAGGAAAATGTACTAGGAGAAATACAATGGCTAAAATGAAAAATTCTGTGAGTAGAATTAATGGTAAATTAGACAGCAAAAAAGATAAATGAACTGGAATACATAGAAATCAACAGAAACAGCAAGAAATTAAAGGAGAAAGAGACAGAAAATATAGAAAGAAGTCTGTCTCAGGAAGTTAATAGGGACTATAATGTTTGGATTAATGTCAAGTGGTCTAACATAGGTATAATTGAAGTCTAAGTAGGGGAAGAGAAAAGGGAGAAGCAGAACAAAAATCTATAAAGAAATAAGGGCTGAAAATTATCTAACTGTGACAAAAACTCTAAATGTGCACATCCAAAAAGCTCAAGTAAGTGCAAGTGGCATAAACTCCAAGAAAACTACACCAAATAGTGGTATAATCTAATTGATTAAAATTAGTGTTAAAGAGAAAATCATAACAGCCACTGGAGACAAAGATAAATCAAGTAAGTTTAGAGGGAAAACTACAGGAATGATAGCCAACCTCATCAGAAACTAGTCAGACCAGGAAATAATTAAAAGTTATTTTTAAAATGCTGAATAAAAAGCATTTATAAAAGAACCCTTAAAACCCAGAATTCTGAACAGAGTAAAAATATGTTTAAAAAATACATACAAACAGAAGTTGAGATAATTTGTCAACAGGAGACCTACATTACAACATGGAAATGTGGGGCTACACAAAAGAATTAAGATTGTGCCAAATGGTAAATATGAGGGTATCTACAAAGAAGAGTTTTATCATTTTTATATCTCTATGAAAAATAATTGATTTTTGAGATCCACATAGGATGAGAATGTCAAAACAAACTCACAGAACCAGAGATCTTACCAAGTATCATGTTTTACTAAATTATTTTAAACATAAAACCAACAACAACAACAAAAATGGTTCAGATAAAAAGAGAGATCTGGGACATCAGGGAACCCTTCCTCCATCCAAGATATGCCCCTTTGTCCTAGAATAGAAGAGATCTCTAGCTAAGGCTCATGAGGCTCCTCACAAAGTGGGGATATTTATACAATGAAACAGCCCAGAGGGTTGTATAAACTATGTGACATTTGCAGGGATTATTTCTGATATACACTAGGTTCTATAGGTTGGTGCAAAAGTAATTGTGGGTTTTGTCATTACTTTTAAAGGCAAAAACTGCAATTACGTTTGCACCAACCTAATATTTACGATGGAACATTCAACTAAGGCTATCTCAGCGATCAAAATTCTTCTTAACAATGTATTTAATCTATCTGATGTCTAGTTGGCAAAGATGCTTCTCTGGGTATTTACTGTCCCTTCTTCCTCCTAGAAACTTTTCTCAGGTAAAAGGAGACAATGGATCACCATCCAGCTACTTTAACTCATTCCTTTCAACTTTTGGAAACAAAATTAATAACTGAAGTAGTCTGTTCTTGCATTGCTATGAAGAAATACATGAAGTTGTGTAATTTATAAAGAAAAGAGGTTTAATTGGTTCACAGTTCCACAAGCTGTATAGGAAGCATAGTGGCTTTTGCTTCTTGGGAGGCCTCAGGCAACTTAGCATTATGCTGGAAGGTGAAGGGGAGGCAGACATATCTTACATGGCCAGAGAAGGAGCAAGGGAGAGAGAGAGAAGGTGCCACACACTTTTAAACAACCAGATCTTGTGAGAAATTTATCACAAGAACAGCACCAAAGGGATACTGCTAAACCATTTATGAAGGATCGACCTCCATGATCCAATGACCTCCCACCAGGCCCCATCTTCAACATTGGGGATGACAATTTAACATGAGATTCGGGTGAGGAAATAGATTCAAACCATATCAACGATGATTTATTTTTGCTTTTGTAACCTGTGTAGAAGTACAATATCTGTCAAATACAGCAAAATATTGGGTCGTGGGGAAATGGTATATTATTATAAAATTCTTATATTATACCTAAAGTTATATACTCTTATTTGAAATGTGACTGTGATAATTTAAAGATGCATATTTAAAACTCAAGCAGCCACTAAAACAATAAAATAATTGCACCTAAAAATAGTAAAGGTGCAAGAGAATCTAAATGCATACACTAATCCAAAATAAGGCAGGAAATGGGGAGGAAAGGAATAAAGAAACCATTTTAAAAAACAGAGAATAAATGTCAACATGACAAATAAAACTTAAAGAGATGTAAATGTACATGATAAAATAATTTTATTAAAAGGAGATTTTCAAGTGGGATAAAAAACCAGGATCCAATTATATGTTGTCTACAAGAAACATAATTAAATATAGAGATACACTGGCTGATATACTGTGCTATGAACATTCTTATCACAATAAATATTAACTGGGAAAAAGTAGACTTAAAAACAAGAAATATTGTTAGAAAATAGAAGCTTATTTCAAAGTGAAAAAAAGAGTCACTTTTATCAAGAAGACAATTCTGTATGCAGCCATTATCAGCACTTTGAAATACACAAACCAAAAACTGAAAGAATTGGAAATTTAAAAGTAAGAATTCTCAATTATAATTGGAAATCTAGCACTCCTCACATTAGCTGAACAATTAGCTTCCATAATGGCTAAAAATCAAAACAAAAAAATACGTTGCAAGTGCACTACTAAACAGTGTCAAGAGTAGAGTGAATAACTAAAATGTGATATTTTAATAAAATACTGTATGGCAAGAAAATGAATTTCTATAGTTATACACAAAAATATGTATGAATCTCACAGAAATTATGTTGCATTAAAGAAGCCAAATGTAAAAAAGTGCATACTAAATTTACCATTTATACAAAGTTAAAAAAAAAAACAGACAAAATAACCTAGGTTGTTAATACTGAAGATAGCGATTTCCTGTGGTGGTTTAGTGACTGAGAGCAAAATGGGTCTTCTCAGATGCTATTAATGTTTAATTTCTCGATATGGGTGCTAAGTAGGTATATTCACCTTGAGAAAATGTTTTGATAAATATATTTATGATTTCTCTGTGCATGTTAAACTGTAACAAACTTATATTAAAAAAGAAAAGAAAAAAAGAAAACCAGAAAACTGGTATGTGACATGTAAAAAATGCTTATTAACAGAGACATTGATGTGTGTTTATGTGTGTATAGCTATTTATATATAGAGTGTGTGTGTATAGCTATGGATATGAATAGATATAAACCTGGTTGAGGGCTACAGCTATGCCTTTATATGATTGTGAGACTTTAGTGCAATCACTTAATTTCTCTTGGTTTTATATTTCCTTCTGTCAATGACTAAGTCTGGCTGGATAACATAGAAGATGCTATTTCATTTAAGTGTTGCGTATTACAATATATGAGGTAATCATGACATAAATATAACAGACTACTAACATGATATTGATCCAGGAAATATATAGGACAATTGAATTGGATGCCCATTTGTTTAAGTAAAAATTAGAAGTAAAGGAAAAACAAAATGCCAGAACTGCCTGCCTTTCATTTTCATGTATCCACTTATGTGTAATTTAAAATTTTTAACACATTTCTTTTTCAAGATTAAAAAATGTGTTTGCAGACAGCTTGGTAAATGTATCCGGCTTGGAGGTTTAAAACCACATATGTTATAAAATATGTATAAAATTATCCTTCTGTTTTTTAAACAGATATCATACAAGTGCCAGGAACAGACGTTATGTTTTCTTTATGATTTTAATTTGCATTTTTTCACATAAATGATATAATATTCTTAATACGCCTTTCTTAAACTGGTCATCTAGCAAAGCATTGAACAACTCAATTCTGTGGTATATAAGCAAAATAATGTTTATTTTAATATTGAAAATTAAAGCATCTGATATTTACATTGTGATATTTCTCAATCACCGTCAGGATCTGATGCTGGAAAATCTATAATTTTACTTGGAATTTGAACCACGTAGAATACATAGAATTAAGCATTATCTTTCACAAAAATGTTGAACATTTTGCATGTTTACTTTAAATATATATAACTTTTACTCCATGCATGAAGAAGAATTACACAATTCCTTTCTATTGAATTGAATTTCAATATGCCCAGGTAGAATATCTTCTATGCCCTGTCCTTCTTCATTTTTTGAAGACATTATTTGTTAGAGGGTTTTTTTTTTCTGTTTTGTTTGTTTGTTTGTTTTAAGAAACAGGACCTCGCTCAGTTGTCCACTGCAGCTTCTAGCTCCTGGGCTCAAGTGATTGTCCTGCCTCAGCCTCCCAAGTAGCTGGGATTGCAGGCATGTGCTACCATAATCTGGCTAATGTTTAATTTTTTTTTAGAGATAGCATCTTGCTATGTTGCCTAGGCTGATCTCAAACTCCCGGTCTCAAGCAATCCTCCCACCTCAGTCTCCTAAAGTGCTGGGATTATAGACATGAGCCACTGCACCCAGTCTTGTTTTTTTGTTTTTTGTTTTCCTTTAAATCAGAATGTATGATAAGAAAATATTTCCCAAATTGGTTATAAACACCTCATCTTCTTAACTCTTAAAAAACTTGCATTTATACACTCTTATATATGCATACACACATATGCACTATGTATATATACACACATAATATGTACATGTACAAAAATTATATGCATATGTATGTTTAAAACTGTATATGTAATGCAAATACAGCATGCATAACTATACATTATCATAAGCTGCAAAATTAAGCAAAACTACTCCCTACTCCATCAAAGTAACAGTTTTTTAGGATTACTTCACATACCTGTTTATATGTTTTTGAGTATGTACAGATGAATGTCTCTTATTTATATTACATTAAGTAAAGAGCTAACCAGACGCCTAGGAACAATCAGTAAGTCTCTTTGGTACTTTTCCTCAAATGTTCTTCCAAGCATTACCTGTAGAACTAATGATTCCCTTCCTTTCGCCGGAATGTTGGGCAAAGAGCATGAATTTTCCAGTCACTTTTGAATAACAAAAAGTCTTCTAGTAACTTCCAGTCCTCAAAACATTTTCACTGCAGTGTCATTTTATTCTACTTTAAAACTTTTCTTTTCCCCAGTTTGGGCTTGCTCCAGGAGGGTGGTTAGTGGTGGAAACCCCACTGGGCCTGGGTGGAGGAGAGAGGGTTGTCATTCTCGTTGTCTTTTGTTTTACACTTTCTCCTTCTCCCTTTTCTGCCAGCTTATTATGTGTGATTTCTGAATTCCACAGGGTCAAAACAGTATAGGCAGGGGGAAAACCTTAGGAGGCTGGAAAGGTCTTACTACACTGAAATGCTCATAAACTAGCATACCTGTTCTCTGAGCTTCTCAGATGAGTGTTTTTGTTCCACAAGGCCTCCTCATCACTAGACTTTTCTTGCCTGAGTTTTTCTCATGGCAGATGCAGGCATTTCTCTAGCTAATTGCCAACAGTCCATGGCTATCTGCCTGTAAAACTCTAGTCTCTTTTAGCTGAGGCCGCCTTCCCTTTCCAGGTCAAACTCCCAAGCCAATTCCAAGATAGCCCCTTGCCAATACTCTTGGGGCAGAGGTGATGTGTCTTGGATCCATTGACTTTCAGGACCCTCTACTCTTCTGCTCTTTACTCAGTAGCTTCAGGCCACGTCCTCAAGGCTAAACTCTGTATCAGGTGTAAGTAAATCACCTGATTGATTTACAGTCAATGTCAATTCATTTTAATATCTGGATAGTAACACATAAAGTGGAATGCATGATATTATTATTTCCTATTTGCTGTTAATCACAATTAATTTTCTTTCTCATAATGACATTTGATGCATTTTTAATTCTTAGAAATACTAGCAAATTGTCTTCTGAGAATTTACACTCCTGCCAACTAACAGTAGGCAAGAGTATGTATTTTTCATCACCATAAGTTACACTGGCAGAGCAGACACTATCATTTATCTTATTTTTCAAGATATTCTTTCATTTTTTGTTAATTTATAGTATCCCAGTGTGCCCAGGTCAAGGTGAGGAGGCATGACTGTTCTAAGCTGGTAAATGCAATTTAATTATCTTCTGCCAGTTTTGGAGTGTGTGACTAAGTTAGCCAAAAGGAGATAAATTAGTGAAAAGGAAAGCCCAATGAAAGATTCACCTCTCTTCACCATATATGAAAATGTAATAATTAGATCTGAGGCAATCATATTAGAATCCTGCTAATTTAGTTCAGCAAGATCTCCCCACCATTGATAACTAATCAATATCTAATCAAGTTCCTCTTAGTAATTTTCCCTCCACTGACCCCCTCACTCTGCTTGTTGGCTATAGATATCCTCAGCTGTCTTTGCTGTGTTTGGAGATGAGCTCAGTTCTATACAGAAATTGCATACGCCAATTGTGATAGCTTACCTAAAATCTGTCTTGCCATTTTTAACAAGCATCTGATGCAATTGTTTTTTTTTTTTTAACACTGGTTTAAGCTACCAAGGTAGTAGAAAGCATGAAATGCTATCTCCCTCACTATTTATATTTTAAGAGATGAAGCCCAGATGTGGAGACATCTCTGGTTCATAGAAGCAGAAGGCACCTAGAGTTTATTTGGGACTTAGAAAGGCATGTTTACATTTCAAAAGATTAGGTGAGAACCCAGGATTCTTTCTAACTTATATCAAAGGAGCAGAATTTATTTCACCCTTCTCTCAAGAGGGGTTTGGAGAGACAGCTGCTTTTCTCTTGTACATAAACAGAGAATTGATACTCCTGAAAATACTGGAGGTTATAATTCTTGCCCTTTAGGTCATATCTTACTAAAATCAAGACCAAGATCAACCAGTCCTTTGGTAATCTAGAAACCAATTTATTTTCTCTCAATAATTTGACCCAAAATTATTTGGTAAGTTAGAGGTAGGCCATGTTCAAAAAAATAATAAAGGGAAAAGCAAAAAACAGAAAAGAAGGAAAGTAGAAAAAGAGAGAGAGAATCTGGTATGCAAAGAGAAGCAAAGAAAAGAGAAGCTAGGAGACACCAGAAGACAGAAATATTAACCTTAATTCTTGCCTTTCCATTTATAATCACACTTAAGTTTGACCTGTTTTTGAATACCAACCCTTTATGTCTGATTTGCCTATTTGTTTTTTGTAATCATTACTGCCTCCCACTCCACATTAAAATTAAGTTACTTTGAGTAGATTTATGTCTCTTACAGCACTTGACCCTTGAGTAAAATATTTTGTTCACTTAGGTCTAAAATTTAAATCATATATCAATTTTAGAAAATGTCAAATTAAGTGGTGGAATTTTTGTGACTATCATTTTAAATTTTCTCATTTCTATATAAGATATTGCTAGTATATCTGCTATATTTGCCCAAAGTTACCTACTGATACCATCAGTGAGTACATTTTTGAGAAAAAAATTCTGACAACTCTCCTCTATATTAGGTTTTTCACCTGCATTTCATTTTAGAAAATTGCACTTTGAGCTTATAAGATGGTATGTAGAAGACATTCCTTTGTTAAAAAACGTATTTCTTTTAGCAAAGCTATCACTCTTTATGCTATAGCGTTAAAGTTTTTGCTTTTCAGATAATGGATCCACAGAAATTTATATATTTAATACTGAGTCCATTATTATGAATCAGTGTTTCCTAAATGTTTGAATAGCAGAATCACAAGTAGACCTTTTAAAATACATATTATCGAGCTTAATTCCAGTCCAACTAAAGAAGTTACCGCAGGTCTAAGTCTGATTCTATTTTATTTAAATTACTACAAAATATTCTAATGATGTCATGTTAGGGAGCCAATGTTATACTTCTCGAAATAAGCTGTAGAGTATTATCACCTGGAAGCATTAAAACAACAAACAAATAAAAGCTGATGTCCAAACCTACCCTTAAGTATTGTGAATTAACTGGTCTGGAGTGAAGCATGAGCTCTGGTATTTTTTCAAAACTCCCCAGGTGATTCTAATGTGCAGCCAGATTTAAGAACCTTTACTCAGGTATGCTGCAGAGGCTATCATGCTTAGAATAAGCTTGTATTTGAACTGTCCCTGGAGAATTTAGTGATATTGTTCTCATCCAAGCTCTATCTCTGTTGTAATTGCTTCACCATTCAGAAACTACCTGCATGAGAAAATATCTCAATCGAAATCTCACAGCACCCAGTGACAGCATTGCTCCATGTTACATCTGCAAAAGGGACAAAAGGAAATGAACCTTTTTAACAAGCATGAAGGTTTGATGTGCACCTTGGAAAATGTGCTTATTTGCTCATCAATTTAATTCATCCCACAATTATTTATTGAGCATCTATTATGTAGCAGTTGCTATAGTAAATATTGGGGGTACGAATTTAAATCAGGGTAGAAAAAGCATCATTAAACAATGATAATAAAAGCTATAAATGAAGAAGGGCAGGTTGACAAGAGAATCTATATTGAGGTTAAATAGCCTAAATCAGAGGGTCAAGGTAGACTTTCTTAAGTGACATATAAGGATTTGAAGAATAAGTTTTTGTGTTATACATATAAAGTACTTTATTGATGGCCCAGAGGCAAGAAGAAGAAAATGTCTTTAAGATTGAGTTGAAACAAGTATAACCGGCAACAGTTAGCAAGGAGAGAAACCTATAATTAGGCAGGAGAGATAGGAAGAATCAAGTTGCAGAGCTATGTTTATTCTGAGTTAATTTTTATTCAGTTGCGTAGTTTAAAGCAACTAAGCACCTATGGTAGCTTGAACCACAATGGTAGCAGTTAACAAGTTTGAGATATAGTTGCTAGAACTGGCAGGAGCAGATGATTTGATTGCATATAAAGAAAGAAAGAGATCCAAGTTTTATCTGAGAAGTCCTGGATGCTGCATGCGACTGATGGGGCATCAGTCTGATTAATAGAGAAAGTGAAGGTTTGGAAGTATCATGAGTTAAGTTTGTATATAAATACATGTGAGAAATTCAAAGAGAGGTGTTGTTTAGGCAATTGGATATGTTACCTTAGAGATCAGAAGACCTGCAGCAGTCTAGACACATTTAAGACAGTGCCTTTGAATGTCTAGAAATGGATGCCCTATCAAAGGTAGAAGACATTTTATAAGAGAGACAAATTCCTGAGAATCTTCAAAGTTAAAAGATCAAGAAGGAGGCCGGGCGCATTGGCTCATGCCTGCAATCCCAGCACTTTGGGAGGCCAAGGTGGGCAGATCACGAGGTCAGGAGTTCAAGACCAGCATGACCAACATGATGAAACCCTGTCTCTAGTAAAAATACAAAAATTAGCCAGGTGTGGTGGCGTGCACCTGTAATCCCAGCTACTCGGGATGCTGAGACAGGAGAATCACTTGAACTAGGGAGGCAGAGCTTGCAGTGAGCCGAGTGGAGAGGTAAAAGGAAAATATGGAATTATGGCATTATAGTGATATAGTTCGGCTCTCTGTCCCCACCCAAATTTCATCTTGAATTTTAATCCTTATATGTTGAGGGAGGGACCTTGTAGGAGATGACTGGATCATGGAGGCAGTTTCCTCTATTCTGTTCTCGTGATAGTGATTGAGTTCTCACAAGATATGATGGTTTTAAAAGTGGCACTTCCTCCTTCACTCTTGCTCTCCTGCTGCTATGGAAGACATGCCTGCTTCCACTTCACTGCATGCCATGATTGTAAGGTTCCTGAGGCCTCCTCAGCCATGTGGAACTGTTAATCTATTGAATCTCCTTTCTTTATAAATTACCAAGTCTCAGGTAGTATCTTTATAGCAGTGTGAGGACAGACTGATACATATGGCATGCAAGGGGAGAGTGTATTCTAAATAGGAAGGAGTGGTAGAGTCAGGAAATCATTATGAACAGTTTACTTTTTTGAGCTATGCATTTGAATTTGATAACAGCCAGTGAAGGAACCATTTGACAGCCACATTCCAGTATTAAAAAAACACCTTTTATGTCATTTTCTAAATATCCCAAATAATTTCATTCCCTTTTATAATGAGCAATAAGAAAGGCACTTTTGAAACACTGGCTAAACATAGTATCCCATTTGGTACAATTGGGGATTTTTACACTCTTCCCTGGTGCTGTTATTTGGGAAATTATCAATCACTAAAATAGAGGTCTTAGAAAGAGGCCTCTGCACATCTTTGTCTTTCTAGGCCTAGGAATACCCAAGCAAATTCTACTTTGCAAAAACTATTCTTTTGGTCAGTACACTGTATTTTATAGATGGTGCTGCCCTAGGCCTTATATATAAATGTTACTGAGATCAATAGAAAAAATGTATTAAGGAGTAGTATGACAGGTAAAACAAGGTGAAATTTCTTGATAATGAAACGAATTTAAATGTTGATGAATAAAATGGAAAATGATCAATTCTAGGCTATATTGATTGGTGGATAAGGCTCACAAAAAGAGGCAAATTTTAAGATAAAACCTTAAAAATTATAAATGTGTTTTATTTAGTTTTTGAAAATATTTTAAACTAAAAATGAGTATAAATGAGAGGTGAAGCCAGCTGGGCTTCTGGGTTGGGTGGGGACTTGGAGAACTTTTCTGCCTAGCTAAAGGACTGTAAACGCACCAATCAGCACTCTGTGTCTAGCTAAAGGTTTATAAATGCACCAATCAGCACTCTGTTAAAATGCACCAATCAGCGCTCTGTGCTAGCTAAAGGTTTGTAAATGCACCAATCAGCACTCTGTAAAATCGGACCAATCAGTGCTCTGTAAAATGGACCAATCAGCAGGATGTGGGCAGGGCCAAATAAGGGAATAAAAGCTGGCCATCCAAGCCCGCAGGGGCAACCTGCTTGGGTCCCCGTTCCACGCTATGGAAGCTTTGTTCTTTCGCTTCTCACAATAAATCTTGCTGCTGCTCACTCTTTGGGTCAGCACTACCTTTATAAGCTGTAACTCTCACTGCGAGGGTCTGCAGCTTTACTCCTGAAGTCAGCAAGGCCACAAACCCACCGGGAGGAACAAACAACTCCAGATGCGCCACCTTTAAGAGCTGTAACACTCACTGTGAAGGTCTGTGGCTTCACTCCTGAAGTCAGCAAGACCACGAACCCACCAGAAAGAAGAAACCCTGGACACGTCTGAACATCTGAAGGAAGAAACTCCGGACACACCATCTTTAAGAACTGTAACACTCACTGCAAAGGTCTGCAGCTTCATTCCTGAAGTCAGCGAGACCAAGAACCCACCAGAAGGAAAAAACTCCAGACACATGTGAACATCTGAAGAAACAAACTCTGAACACACCATCTTTAAGAACTGTAACACTCACCACAAGGGTCTGTGGCTTCATTCTTGAAGTCAGCAAGACCAAGAACCCATCAGAAGGAACCAATTCCAGACACATAAATAAACCATGTTGAAAAATTAACTTTATAATTACTAATGAATTTACAGTTTCACTAAATTATGTCACTAGGCGTTCTAAAATTCTAATAAGCATCAAGATTTTAAGATAAAATGTCAGTTAAGTTATAGTACCCAAGATAATCTTGTTAATATAGTTTCAAGTATTCTTTCTTTTATAGTTCTCCTTATTTAAAAAAAAATAATTTCTAATTTTTGTGGCTACACAATGAAGTGGCTAAATTGTCTGGGGTAAATACCCAGGGTTCATCATCTCATGCCAAGAAAATTTAGGACACAGATACACAAGAGGAGTTTAGGAGTGGAGGCTTAAGAGGCAAAAGAAAGAGAAAGAAAAATAGCTCTTTCTCCAGTGAGAGAGAGGGGACTTCTGAGAGGAAAAGGCCGGCTGGTGGCAGTTGCACTGGATTTTATAGTCCTACTTGAGGAGGTGGTGTTTGATTTACATAGGGCTTACAGATTGGTTTGATCAGGTGTGACATTTACATAGCATGTGGGAAAGGTTGGTCACCCCACCATAATCTTATTATGCAAATAATAAGATTATTATTATTGGCCAGTTCCATCTTGTCTGCTCTTTACTGTACTCATGGCTGGCAGAGAAGGGAAGATGAAGCTACCATTTTGAACATGTCTAGTCCCAGGTATTTCTTTCCTGTCAGCATTCACTCATGCAAGCTCCCAGCTTGCTTGTCTATGTCTGCAGCTCAACTTCACGGGTTGCTCTATGTCAGAAAATGATTGGTGGATGCTTTCCATTAAAAAGAAAAACCTTACTGAGGACTTTCATACCCTCACTATCTGCCTAAGTAATTTATTCTTAACTCCTGTATCAATAGTAGGTATATATATTTATAGAGTACATGAGATTTTTTGACACAGTCATTCAATGCCTAATAATTACATCATGGAGAACTAGGTGTGCATCACCTCAAGCGTTTAGGCTTTGTGTTACAATCAAATTATGCCCTTTTAGTTGTTTTTAGATGTACAATTAAATTATTATTGACTAGAGTCATCCTGTTGAGCTACTAAATATTAGATCTTATTCATTCTATCCATAGTTTAACAAAACAGGTATCTTTAAATATTTTTTGTTTTTCTCCTTATTGATTGATATGGTTTGGATTTGTGTTGCCACCCAAATCTCATGTCAAATTTGAGGAGGGGCCTTGTTGGAGGTGATTGGATCATGGGGGCAGATTTTCCCCTTGCTGTTCTCATGATAGTGAGTGAGTTCTCATAATATCTGAAGGTTTAAAAGTGTGTGCTGCTTCCACCTTCACTGTCTCTCTCTCCTGCCACCATGTGAAGAAGGTTCTTGCTTCACCTTCCCCTTCTGCCATGGTTGTAAGTTTCCTGAGGCCTCCCAGTCATGCTTCCTATTGAGCCTGTGGAACTGTAAATCATTTAAATGTCTTGTTAAATAAATTACCCAGTCTCAGCTAGTTCTTTATAGCAGTGTAGAAACAGACCAATAAAGAAAATTGGTACCTGGAGTGGGGTACTGCTGTGAAGATATGTGGAAACAACTTTGGAACTGGGTAACACGGAGAAGTTGGAACCATTTGGAGGGCTCAGAAGAAAATAGAAAGATGACGGAAAGTTTGGAATTTCATAGAGACTTGTTGAATGGCTTTTACCAACATTCTGGTAGTGATAGGGACAGAGATGGCCATGCTGAGCTCTCAGATGGAGATGAGGAACTTATTGGGAACTGGATTAAACATCAGTCTTCATATGCTTTAGCAAAGAGACTGGTGGCATTGTGCCTCTGCTCTAGAAATCTGAGGAACTTTGAACTTGAGAGAGACAACTTAAGGTATCTGGCAGAAGAAATTTCTAAGCAGCAAAGCATTCAAGAACTGACCTGGCTGCTCCTAAGAGCATACAGCTATGTATGTTCACAAAGAGATGATCTGAAACCAAAACTTATATTTAAAAGGGAAGAAGAGCATTAAAGTTTTGAAAATGTGCAGGCTGACCATGTGGTAGAAAAGAAAAACCCATTTTTTGTGGATAAATTTAAGCCAACTGGAAAAATTTGCACAAGTAAAAACAGCTTAATGTTAATACCCAAGAAAATGAGGAAGATGTCTACAGGGCATGTCAGAGACCTTTGCAGCAGCCCCTCCCATCACAGGACTGGATACCCAAGATGGAAAACTGATTTTGTGACACAGACTCAGGGCTCCACTGCTCTGTACAGTCTTGGGACAAGACATCCTGTGTCCCAGCCTTCCCAGCCCCAGCTGTAGCTAAAAGGGGCCAATGTACAAATGGGCCATTGCTTCAGAGGGTGTAAGCCCCAAACTTTGGCAGAGTCTATGTGGTATTGGGCCTGTGGATATGCAGAATGCAAGAATTGAGGCTTGGAAGCCTCTCCTTAGGTTTCAGAGGATTAATAGAAATGCCTGGATTTCCAGGCAGAAGTCTGCTGCAGGGGCAGAACACTCATAAAGAGCTTCTCTATTGGGGCAGGGCAGAGGAGAAAAGTGGGTTTGGAGCCAGCACCTACACAGAGTCCCCACTGGAACACAGCCCTATTGGAGCTGTGAGAAGAGGACCATTATCCTCCAGACCTCAGAATGGTAGATTCATTGATAGGTTGCACTGTGAACCTTGAAAAGCCAAAAGGCACTCAATATCACCCCATGAAAGCAACTGCAGAGGCTATTCCCTGCAGAGCCACCGGGGTGGAGCTACTCAAGCCTTAGGAGCCCACCCTTTGCATCAGTGTTGCCTTGATGTGAGACATGGAGTCAAAGGAGCTTATTTTGGTGCTTTAAGATTTAATGACTGCCTTGTTGGGCTTCACACATTCTTGGTGCTTGTAGCCCTGTTTTTGATGTTGTTGTTGTTTTGCCAATTTCTCCCATTTGAAATGGGATCATTTACCCAATGCCTGTACATCCAGTGTATGTTGGAAGTAACTAACTTGTTTTTGCTTTTATAAGCTCATAGGCAGAAGACTTTCCTTGTCTCACATGAGACTTTGTACTTGATCTTTTGAGGTAATGATGAAATTAGTTAAGACTTTGGGGGATTTGAGGGAAGACATGATTGTGTTTTGCAGTGTGAGAAGGACATGAGATTTGGGAGCAGCCTAGGGCAGAATAATATGGTTTGGCTCTGTGTCCCCACCCAAATCTCATGTTGAATTTTAATTCCTAATTTTGGGGAAGGGACCTGGTGGGGAGTGGGGATCATGGGGGCAGATTTTCCCTTTGCTGTTCTTGTGATAGTGAGTTCTCATGAGATATGGTTGTTAAAAATGTGTAGCACTTCTCTCCTTGCTCTCTCACTCTCTTGCTGCCATGTGAAGACATGCTTGCTTCCCTTTTACTCTTCTGCCGTGATTGTAAATTTCCTGAGGCCTGCAAGTCATGCTTACTGTGCAGCCTGTGTAACTATGAGACAATTAAACCTCCTTTCTTTATAAATTACCCAGTCTTAGGTAGTTCTTTATAGTAATGTAAGAACTAACTAATATAGGAATAAAATCAAAGTAAGAGCAAGAAGAGTTTGAAAAACAGAAGAAAATATTTATTTATTGAATAAAAGACCTATGACAGTATAATCAATTTAATGTTCCTATTTTTTAATCAAAATATCAGTTGTTGAAAAACAGCCTGCTGCATGGTAAAAGTGATGCCACCTTTATGCAAAGCCTCCATGATGACTGATGTTTGAGTCCTGCCTACCAACATGTTCCATAGCATGGTCTTAAAGCAATGCCTATAATATAAATAACTCCTTGTATAGATTCTTATCTAATCTCCCAATGTAACAGTTCAATGGGTGCTTCTTGCCTGCTGCACAGCAAATCTCAATACACTATGACAGGCAAATCTCAATACACTATGACAGGCAAATCTCAATGCACTATGACAGTGGGTGTTGCAGCAGAGAATGAGCTTAATAATCAAAAGGCAGCCAGGCAAGAAGGACACAAGCTATTTCTCAAATCCATCTCCCTGAGACTTTGCAGACTTGGATTTTTAAGGATGATTTGGTGGGCAGGGCCTACAGAATTGTTTCTACTGATTGACTGTGTTAGAAATGAAATCACGGTTTTGAAATGCCGAAACTCTCTTGGTGTGCTGAGTCAGTTTCTGGGTGAGGTCACTGGTCCAGCTGGCATCAGTTGGTCCACCAGAATGCAAACTCAGAAAAATATCTCAAACTCCAGTCTTAGGTTTTACAGTAGTCATGTTATCTATAGGGTCAATTAGGAAAGTTACAAATTTTATGACCACCAGGTAGTGACTATGTGTTAGTCCATTCTAATATTGCTATAAAGAAATATGTGAGATTGGATAATTTATAAAGAAAAGAGGTTTTTTAATTGGCTCATGGTTCTACAGGCTGTTCAGGAAGCATGATGCTGGAATCTGCTTGGCTCCTGGGAAAGCCTCAGGAAACTTACAATCGTGGCTGAAGGTGAAGGGGGATCTTGCACTTCACATCCCGGAGTAGGTGCAAAAGAGAGGGTTGGGGGAAGAGCTACACACTTTTAAACAGTCAGATCTTATGAGAATTCACTTACTAACACAAGAACAGCATCAAGAAGATGATGCTAAATCATTCATGAAAAACTGCCCTCATGGTCTAATCACCTCCTACCAGGCCCCACCTCCAACACTGGGGATAACAATTGAACATGAGATTTGGGCAGGGACATATGTCCAAATCATACCAGACTTCTAAGTTATAAGCATTTACAAAAAGGCAAGTTAGAAAACAATGACTAGTTATTATTTAACTATGTCTAAGTCTTGGCAGAATTCAAGTCTCTAGTATAATTCTAACCTTGTGGCCTTTCATTAGTTTTACAGAAGTGGTTTTCGTCCCTGAACAAGGAAGGTGTTAGTTTTAGGAAGGAACAATCATCATTCTTGCTTTAAAGTTCAACTATAAATTCCTCCCACAGTTAGCTTGGCCTACATGCAGGAATAAGCAGAGGCTTATGAGATTACAAGTAAGATGAGGTCAGTTATATCAGCTTTCTCTCAATGTTATACTTTTGCAAGTGTGGTTTCACCCAGTGGTCAAGAGTTTCAGCAAAAAAGTCTGAGATGTGACCAACCACATATGTCTTTACCCTAAATGCTTGCTAAATGAAGGACATTTTCTGGAGAGTGAGTGTGGAGATACACCATCTTGTGGCCTTTCAAGACATTGATTCTGTTCTTACATCTCTATTAAATCTTTCCTTCTGATAAACTGGATCTGTCAGCCTCTTTCTTCAGCCTTTCAGCTCCCTCGGACCTTGAGGGTAGGTTTGAATATATCTGCTCACCATGGAGCATCAGTGTTATTGAAAAATATCAGTGCTTCATACAATTTCTCTAAAATATCTTCAAGATGGATACTACATCAGTTACCAACAATTACAAATAATCTAATTATTGCTCTGATTTCATTCTGAGTTAAAAGTTAATGATTTATAAAATATTATTATATGGACTTAGATGACCATGAAGAATTACCTTATATTTAGACAATATTTATGTCTTATATTACATTGAATTTTACAAAAGAAATTATTTGAAAATCTGCATCAAATTTTCCTTGTGCCAAGAATGATTTGTGGCAGATTGGTTTTCTCTTTCTCCATTTTCTACATACAAAACTAGATGGATATTCCCTGCCTTCCTTTCCATTAGATTTGACATGTGACTTAGTTGGGATGTTCGTCCTAGTCCCAGGTTTGGCCAATCAAATTCTTCCATGTAAAAGCCTCCTCATGCTTTATTCCACAGCTGACTTTGTATAGGTGAGCTTAGCAAACTTGAGCACCATATCTTGGAAACAACAATTCTACAAGATGAAAAGAGGAGTCTGGATCTACAAAATGTTTCTTAGAGAAGATATGTCTGCAATCTGAATCTCTCATTAGATTTTTCTATTAAAAGTAAATACACATTTATTTGGTTAAGCTATTGAAATTTTTGGCTTCATTTATAATAATATCTATTATTATCTATCTGTGACACATTATCTATCTGTGTCTCTATCTATGTATGTATATTTTTTCTTATTTCAGTATCTTTTGGGGTACAAGTGTTTTTTTGTTACATGGATGAATTATATAGTGGTGAATTCTGAGATTTTAGTGTACATTGAAACTAATGTGTAATTTTTTTTATCCCTAGCCCCTCTCGCACCCTCCCCTTCTGAGACTTTAAGGTCCATTATATTACTCTGTATGCCTTTGTGTACTCATAGCTTAGCTGCCACTTATAAGTGAAAACATGCAGTTTTTGGTTTTCCACTCCTGTGTTACTTCACTTAGAATAATGGCCTCCAGCTCCATCCAAGTTGCTGCAAAAGATATTATTTTGTTCCTTTTAATGGCTGAGTAGTATATAAATATATATATAACTTATATATAAATATATATAACATATATAAATATATATAACATATATAAATATATATAACTTATATATAAATATATAACATATATAAATATATATAATATATATAAATATATATAACATGTATAAATATATATAACTTATATATAAATATATATAACATATAAATATATTAAATATATATTTTATATATTATATATAAAATATATATTTATTTAATATATATTAAATATATAATATATAAAATATATATATTTAAGTTTTTATTTTATTGTGGTAAGAAAATGATATGAGACTTTTCTATTAATAAATTTTTAAGTACACTATAGAGTGTTTTTAACTATAGGCACAACATTATACTGAAGATCTCTAGAATTTATTCATTTTAATTAACTGAAATTTTACGCCTGTTGATTAGCAACTGCCCATTTCTCCTTCCCACCAGTCCCTGGCAACAACCATTCCACTATATGATTCTGTGGGTTTGACTATTTTAGACACCTCATATAAGTGGAACAATGCAGTAATTGTCCTTCTGTGACTGGTTTATTTCACTTAGCATAATGTCCTCCGGGATCATCCACGTTGTCACATATGGCAGGATTTCCTTCTTTTCTAAGGCTGAATGATACTCTGTTGCAGGTACATACTGCATTTCCTTCATCTACTCATCTGTCAATGAATCTTTAGGCTATTTCCGCATCTTGACTACTGTGACTAATGCTGTAATGAGCATGGAGGTACAAATATCGCCTTGAGTCCCTGATTCCAGTTATTTGGACAAATATCAGAAGTGGGACTACTGGTTGATATGCAAATTCTATTTTTGTAATTGTTCCAGCTGTACCATTTTCCATTCCCATCAACAGTGTACAAAGTTTCCAATTTCTCTACATCCTCCCCAACACTTGTTATTACTATTTTGTCTATTTTTTTGTAATAGCAATCCTAACAGATGTGAGGTGATACCCCATTGTGGTTTTGATTTGCATTTCCATGATAATTAATAACATTGAGCATCTTTTCATACACCTTTTGGTCATTTGTATGACTTCTTTGAAAAGTGTCAAGTATTTAGCCCAATTTTTAATCAGGTATTCGTTTTTGTTTGTTTGATTTTTACTCCTGGCTTGTAGGAGTTCCTTATCTGTTTTAGAATTAACCCCTTATCAGATATATGTTTTGCAAATATTTTCCCCCATTCTGTAGTTGACTGTTTACTCTGTTGTTTTCTTTGTACAAAAGCTTTTTAGTTTGAGGTAGTCTCATTTCTCCATTTTTGCTTTTGTTTTCTGTGCTTTTGATGTCATATCCACAAAATCATAGCTCTGTCCTATGTCATGAAGCTTTTTCCCTGTGTGTTTCTTCTAGAGGTTTTACAGTTTCAGGTCTTACATTAAAGTCTTTTTATTTATTTAGTTAACTTTTTTCTATGATGTAGAATAAGGGTCAAATTCTAATTTTTGCATGTGGATACCCAGTTTTCCCACTATTTGTTCAAGAGATTGCTTTACCTCACTGTGTATTCTTGGCACCCTTTTTGAAGATTAGTTTGAACATATATGCAAGGGTTTATTTCTGGGCTCTCTATTCTGTTAAGCCTTTGAATCCTGAGCATAGGCTGTCTTTCCATTTGTTTATTTCTTCTTTCATTAATATTTTGTAGTTTTCAGTGTATAAATCTTTTATCTCTTTAGCTTATTTCTAAGTATTTTATTATTTTTGGTCCTATTGGTAATGGTATTTTCTTAATTTCTTTTTCACATAGTTTGTTGTTAGTGTATAGAAATACAATTGATTTTCATATGTGAAGTTTTGTACCCTGCAAATTTACTGAGTTTTTGTATTAGTTCTAACAGCTTTTAAAAAAATGAAGTTTTTAAGGTTTTCAATATATAAGGTGAACTTAACAGCACATTAAAATTATCCTACACCATAATCAATTGGTGTCTATCCCTAGGATGCAATGATGGTTCAAAATATAAAAATAAATTAATGTGATAAACTACATTAACTGAATAAGAGGTAAAATTTCATGATCTTCTCAATAGATACATAAAAAGTGTTTTATCAAGTTCAGCATCCTGTGTTCATAAAACTCTTAAGAAACCAGAAATAGAAGATAATTACCTCAGTATGATATAAAGACTGAAATTGAAAAGCCCCCTTAGCTAATGTCATATTCAGTGTTGAAAATAAAAGCTTTCCATCTAAGACCAGGAACAAGTCGAAGTTTCCTTCTTTCACCACTTCTATTTAATATAGTACTAGAAGTCGTAACCAGAGAAATTGGGCAAGAAAAAGAAAAAAAAGTCATACAAACCAGAAAGAAAGATGCAAAATATGCTTGTTTGTGATCAGCATTACCTTAAGAAATATAATAGAAAAAGTTCCTAAGGATCTCAGTTCTTTCATTTGTAGAATACTAGGTAGGGTTAATTAATCCATAAATTTCTTCCCAAGTGCAATCATTTTTTAAATTTCCTTCTACAAATACTATAATCCAATGTTTTAAAACTTTTTTGTATGTCTTTGTCTTTTTAAAATTTATTGTGGTTTTCTTGAATTCTAGAGCAGAATTCAATATGACCAAGAGCAAATAAATGTCTTAAAGATGTAGAAAATATCACTTTGTATGACTTTGCTTATACAATTAATTTCAAACCAGGTTTATTTTAAACCTGGAAAATGATCTTAAAATGTAAATAGTTTGTTTATGATTTTGTTATTAACTACCCAACTCTGGTTACTGATCAATTCTCTAATTTTCTAAAATTATAATGATGGTGAATTTGATTTCTTAGTGTTACAGCTATACATCTCATACACCGGCATTATATAAAAAGTAAATAGTACCATTCATAAACATCATTATGAATAACATTTGTATTGATTTATGATTAGTATTAGTTTAAAAAATGCAATTACTAGTCCTCCTGTCTAGCCTGTAAACTTAGTAAAAACACTGAAGTACAAGTATTTGTATCACCAGCAAGTAGCATAGTAAAATTGTTGAATGATTAAAAGGCTTCCATCATCTAGTGATTTTGGAGAAAATTATAAAATAAATTTTATATAAAAAATTATCAAG
Source organism: Homo sapiens (assembly GCF_000001405.40). Taxonomy (NCBI): domain Eukaryota; kingdom Metazoa; phylum Chordata; class Mammalia; order Primates; family Hominidae; genus Homo; species Homo sapiens. The sequence goes on along the minus strand of NC_000004.12, from coordinate 171,063,260 downwards.
AAGCGATTTTAGAATATTTTAATCTTTATAATTTGCAATGACTGCAGTAAAAGTGTTCTAAAGTATTAATATTAGACTTTAATAAGCTGATGTTCCCAATACATTAATATTTCTGGAAAGGCAGATTTTATTCATAGCTTGCTACTTCTATATTTTGATAATTGTACTGCATAGGTCTTCCCTTCCCTGTGGTTTCTGTGAATTTGCTTCACAATTTATTTACCTGTACAAAAGTCCATGCCCAGAAACAAAGTCACATACATAATAATGAAACTCAGGTGATCCTTGGGTAGCCAAGGAAGTCTGAAGTGGAGCCCGAGGGAGAGAGAGAGAGAAATTGATTTTCTATGTGGGGTGGTTCCCACATAGATAACTTTTATAAATATATTATGGTGTTTATATTATCCAATTTTGTTATGTTGGGCTTTAGACTTTCATTTGCTGCTTATTCATTAATTCTGTTACGCTTTAATGACATTGAATGCACTCAGTCAGGGCCAGTCCAGCTTCCTGCAATGGCAGCCATGAAAAATGCATTAACAAATATATTGATATGTCTGTATGCACTATCTTTAAGATTCATTATGATGTCTTGTTGTTAGCATACAGGGAAACCCTTTAACTGTATTATGTTAGTAACCTCGTGTTAGCACACAGTAAGATAGCTCTATAAAGATTTACCAGCTCATTTAACTAAAGCCAAGGGCTATAATCTAGGAATCCCCAATAGACCTAAGTATAGGAAGACCTGAAGTACCTGAAGCCTGACAATCTTCTGCATTCTGAGTGCAAAGGACTGATGTATATTAGTGATAAAAATGTCAGGAAAATGGACAAATAAAAAGCAAAGGAAAGCAACAAACCACAGGAGCACAAAAGAAATGAGAGTCCAAAATCATAGAAAAATAGTTCTGAGACATCAGTTATCAACAAGAACCATGAGGGAAGAAAACAGAAAGGGTCAAAGCCAGGCTAAAGAAGATAAATGTCTCCACAGTACTGAGAAGCTAACAATTCTCCACTCTCCATCCATCCCAAATTCTTTACGGAATAGTCCTAATAGTACATTAGTGGCAGATGGGCCATTCATTCTGCTTTCTGCTGGGACATTTAAGAAGACAACCTAGACTATACAATAGTAACAAATAAAAATATTTAATCATTTGAATATTCTTAGATCCCTGTCATCCGGGAGTTCTCTATATGGCCTCAATAGCTGTAGAAGTTATTACTACATTCTGGAAAGACATGTGATACTATCACTAAATATTAGGGCCTAGCAGAAATTTGCCATGAGCAAAAGCAATTTTGTCTCGAATTCAGCTCCATATATTAAATATTTTGCAGAGAGCTGTATTATTACACAAATGTGAAGAAGATAACAATAAGCAAAATTCTAATTTCTTACAAATAATTTTCTTATTCAAAGAAGTCACATTTCAGATTAACTCCTTAGACTAGATAACATTCACCACTATGCCCTATAGCATCAACATCCACTATCTTATCTATCTTATCATGAGCACAATAATCTGATTTTCAAAATCATGATCTTGTGGATTGTATTTTAAGTTGATTTTCCTTGTATTTTATTAAGAGAAGAAACTTCAGAATTTGCTATATTTAATAACCTTTATTGCAGTAAAATGTTAGACTTCAGTTAACAGGAAAACCTAATTATCTGGGAAAGGTCATTCTTCAGTGATATTAACAGACCATAGTAATACCGACCATTTCCTGAAAGAGGTAAGCATTTTTTTTCCTTGACTTTTCATATTCACATTGAAGGAAATAAAAAACTAAGCTTTGGAATTAGAATTTCCTCTGAAACGTAGGTCTTATATAACTAGGCTTAATAGATCTATACAGTAGAACTGAACCTTGAAACACCGCATTTGCAGTTTTCTCCTTAAGCTTACTAGCGTAATCATTATTCGTAGAGGAGAGATGTACTCCTAATTTGACACGTGCTTTTTTTCTTCAAATTCTTTCAAAACCCTGCAGTTTCAGGAAGTTTTGCCAGTAATATTTACATTGGAGTTTTCTCTCTAAGTAAGCTACAATTCCTTCTGTTTTATGGTGTTATGTTGAATGAAATTGTAACTTTCCATGTATAACCTAAATATTTATTATTAAAAATAATTAATAGGCAGTTGGAGAAGTAATCACAACCCAGGTGTATGCTTTTATTCTTTCTATGTAAAAATATTTTACAAACATAAGTTGGCAGAAACATAGACATAAAGCATATTTTGTGACATAGAAGTAATTTTAAAACAGTCAAGAAAAGCATGAGACAGATGAATTGAGTTTTGGAAAATTTATGCAGTTGAAAGTGAGATTATGATGTTGTCTAAGAGCTGATAGTCAACTTCTCCATGAAGTGAAATACCTGGATTTGTTTCAAAGTATATTAATGTATTACTATGAAAAAAAGTACTAACAATTTTATAGTATATAACAGCAAAAAGGTAGTTCATGTTGATTGTAGGAATTAATTTTTATTTTAAAAGGAAATCTATAATAAGCCCCATCCCAATCTTCTTGTTTTCAAGCATAGATACAGAAAACACTGATCTGACATAGGAAAAACAAAAGCTACTAATAGCCCAAGGAAATAAATAAATGACAGTAATAAATAAATTAATTAAATAAAAATCCCTTGTAGAAGCAGAAGTATTTTCTTTTCATAGCTTTCAATAGTTTTTGAAGAGTTACCAGGTTCTGCGAGTTAAATAGTTCAACCAAGCAATAAAACTGAGATAAAATCCAGGTATTATTACTCTCCAGGTATTATTACATTGGATAAATATCCAATGTCCCACCATTTTTGAGAACTGATACGGCCCCTTTGAAGACTTAATTAAAAATCAAATAGCATAGCCTAACACAAAGAACATATCCAGCAATACCCCAGAGTCTCAAAAACTGTGCTTTCATGTTTTAGCTGTAAATTATTTAAATCGGGTTCATCCAACAATATTGCTGCCTTTATTTTTCCTTGCAGTCTTCCCTGCCATCTCAGAAAAATTTTTAGTCCTGTTTCTTTCCCAGAGGAGCGTATAATGAACGACTGCCAGACACTGAGCAGTAATTACCCAGCTGGTTTGTTTATTTCTAATGCACATTTTTAAATAGAAAATTCTATTATATTGTGAGGGCTGCCATAACAGAGTACCACAAAAAGAGGTTGTGTCTGAAATAATTTTGCCTTCATATTTGAAAGGATTTTTTAATGGTATGGAATTTTAGGTTGACAGTTTTTATTTCATTACTTTAGAGAAGTTTCTCTACTGTCATTTGCCTTGATATGAAGTCAGCAGTTTTAATTTTCTTTGTTCCCTATACTTAATGTGCATTTTTCTATGACCTCGTTTATGATTTGTCATTGATTTCTGAGCAACCTATTATGCTGTGCCTTTGTATCATTTTCTTCTGTATATTGTTTTCGGTTTCATTGAAATTCTTGTGTCTGTGAGGCTATAGCTGTCATCAAATGTGATATATTTTTAGCAATAAATTTTCAAAATTTATTTTAATGTACCTATTTCTCTTTTTTGCTTTGGGGACTCCAATTATTTATATTTTAGGCCCCTTGAGGCTGTCTCACTGCTCACTTATGCTTTATTTTTTATTTTGTTATTTCATATTTTGTTTCATTTTGGGTAGTTTCTACTTCCATTTCTTAGGATTTTGGATGCCTTTATAACCTATGCATTATCTGCCATGAATCTCATCTGGTATATTTTCTCAGCATTGTAGTTTTAAGGTCTGAAAATTTGATTTGGCTTTTTAGAAAAATATACTTCGACTTTTGTGCAAACTATATCCTCTAGATTCATGAACATGATAAAAACAGTTATAATAACTGTTTTATTGTCCTCAGCTACTAATTAGTGCTTTCATATTTACTACGTGGGCCACAACAGTCCTCAGTCTGAAAATACTTTTGGTACCATTACTTAGTCAATGATTCTCTGTTTTCTCTACTCTATGCCCCTCGAACTACCTGTGTTTCCATTCTAGGTGATAGAAGTGTTATCAAGCCAACGGGGCTCACTGCCCCATGTGCTAGAAGACAATACTATGACATCAGGTTTTTGAGGAAAGGGAAGCTTTATTTTGCAAGTTGACTCACAAGAAGACAGGCATGTCAAACTCAAGTTTTTCTCCCCATGCTGGCTTCAAAGCAGTATTTGTATACAAAAAGTTTCAGGAGGTGGATTCTGAGATGATCAAATAATTGGTGGAAGGAAAGAGAAGGTCTAGAAAGTCCCTGGGCATACAGTTAACTTCATTCTATCGCATGGATCACATGTACAAAGTTGGAGGGAGCTGTTATGAAACATGCACTGAAAATTCAGGTTGCAATGTCAGCAAGCTCTTTCTGTGCAGACTCTAGTTGGCCATATTGAGTCCAACCAATTTCAGTCAGTGTTCTTTAGTTAATAAGCAAAGGGAGTTTCAGTGTTTCAGCAAGTTTTTGTTGTTGTTGTTGTTGTTTTGTTGTTGTTGTTGTTGTTTCCTCTTCTTCTTTTTTTAATCTGCCAACCTGCAAACTCAATAACTTCTTTTAGCCATTGGTTTCTTTAACTAAATCTTTGGGTCATGGTTTAAATCCCCCCTGTTCTATGTGCATTCTTCAGTCATGAGGGATTAGGGGCAACATCCATTCTAGCTTTTTCCTACTGACTAGGGGTGCAGGTTTGGGCCTAAAGGATGAAATCATTTTGCATTAAGTTGAAGATATTCTCTAATATCTGGTACAATATTAACATTTAGCATTATTAATACATTGGTTTCTCTTTTAACAGTTTAAAGGTTTAACATCAGAGGCAGCATTTGATAACCAAATGTCCAAAAATGAGCATTAGTAATAGGTAAAGTCTTAATTTTCATATGGCTTGGGGGCATACATTGAATTCTATGTGGGATTCAGAAAAATATATCTGAGAACTAGTTGGCACCTGGTTCTTCCCTGGGAATTTGTTGTGATTAATTAGCTTGTTGTCTTCTTATTTCATGTGTGTTTCAACTTCAGAAGATGTATTGATGTAAACACAACATGATATGTTAGCTACCATAGAAACTCTTTCCTGTTCCACCAATACTTAGTCTAGGGGTATTCTGTTATCCATTACTACTGTGGCTAAAGAGTTTAAAGATTTTTATTGGGCAGCTATGGCTTTAGCTGCTTCATTTGAGAAGTTACATAGGGTGATTGACAGATTTATAATCGTTGTTCATGAGAGGATACTCTCCATCATGGCAAGAGAATATTGCTAAACATAGGCCAAAATCTGTCTTCTTGGTTTGCAGGTAGGGTTTGTCTATTCCTGGAAAATAGTTTTAAGAAACTGGTCCAATATTGAGAAGCAGTGAAGCTATAAATAGAAAGAAGAATAGTCAGATAACCTAATAAACAATTAACTCTCTTGCATCAGCTGTCAACACATGCATAAAACCAGGGGTGGTCAATATGTTGACAAATAAATGCATATTCAGGAGGTTCACATAGTGTCCCTGATAAACATGGAAAAGTCTTCGGTTTACTCATAACAAAGACAGGTTAAAGAACATGTCATTGGTATTGGGTAGGATATAATCAGTTTGATTTTAAAAATAAGAAACAAATAGTAGGTACCGAACTTAACAAGATGGAAGAGAAACTCCAACATATATTGAATTATAATTCCTAGTTTAAGTAGTACTTCAAAAATAGATCCTATTCCTGATGGAAATCATAACAAGAAGTTTTTAAAATATATTATATGCAGGTTCATTAGGGACACTTATTGAAGCCAGGAAAAATTCAGGATTCAGTCTTGATTATAACAAATGATAAAAACTTAAAAACAATGGTCAGTGTTGGAATCCAATAACAGGTGTGTTATAGTTTGCTGTTGAAATATAATTTATCTTTCTCAAGCTTCTCATTTTTATCAGAGACAAATCATAGGACTGACTTGTTTGCAAAATAAGTTTTAGTCTTATATCTACCTGGCATGATTATTTGCATAAAGTGCAGCAATAATTGGCCTTATAAGCTTCTTTTTTAAAATTAGCTTTGTTGGAACCTATTTATAAGAAATTTTAGATTTTTAAAAGCCTTGAGTCTAGTAAAGCCATGGTTAATCCATCAGATTGTGGCTGTAAAATCTGTATGAATGAGTGTATTTCTCTCTTCTCAAGGTTCCAAAATATCTTGAGGTTCCCAGGCCTGTCAGAAAGTGATATTCTTTAATTATCAGAAGGACAGAAACCCTGTAAGGAAACATTGTAGACAAGGTACCAGTCCAGTCTTTCTAAGTTTTTCATTGGCTCTATGAAGTCAGCACCAATTTCTCAAAGCAGCCTGATCATATCTGAAAATATGCCATTCTAATCAAAGCCTTGGTAAAATAACCAGTGTCTCCAGTTGTATCCTGTTACAAAAGGAAACAGATTCTTATTGAACTTATGCAAATAATTGTATTGCCATTAATTAAGAATACTCACAAATGGCTTCCAAATTCTGGAGAAATCAGGTAGAGAGAAATATAAATACCTCAAATTTTTGTCCACAAAAATATATTCTATCTAATGTGTTGTCAATTAAAAATAAAGAAAAAAGGTTATCTTGACTCTGGAAAACAAAATATAAAGAGAATCAGCCATTTCAAATGAAAATGTCATGAATAAAATCTTCGTATTCTATCAGTTCAATCCTGTGTAATTAACTCTTGTTCTGCTTGATGTTAGATTAGCAGTTCTTATTTTAGCTTTTTACTTAGAGTCTTGAAAGTTTTTTCTACTCTGATGGTATGATGTCCAAAGTAATCTTGTGTTTAAGAGTACTTGTCAGAGTCCTTTCCATGAAAAGTAATTTAGATCACAGTTTATTGTAAATGCTTTTAGAGAAGAAGTTTAAACAATAACTCACCAGATGCCCCTCGTACCCACCGGTCTTGGGTATCACGTCAGGACCAGGCTGTGGTGGCCTTGTGTGCTGGCCATGGGAGAGTGGCTGGGGCTGAGAGCCAACGTGCCCTTGACATGGTCACTGAGTGGCAGCTCCTACCCTCCAGGAATTGTGGGTGACAGAAACTTGTAATAACCATGGTTAAAATTGGTTGAAAATTTTCAATTGGCAATAAAATTTAGCTATTTCTATTATATGTAGCACAGTAAGATAAAAACCAGAATCATCACATTAGAACCACCAGACTTCCATACATTTGACATAATCTTTAAAATATTTATATTAATATCTATATAAATATAACTTTAGAAAAGGTTTAATATAGTCAAAATTATGACTGATAGGATATTATATTTTTATAAATGTATATAATTTTTATAGAATTTATATGAATAACATACCTATAAATGTAACCAAAAGAAGATCCAGTATGATTTATCCTTTGATGATATTTCCAATATAATTTTAGGTCCTACCAAAGATATCAAAAGGTTCAAAACATTTAATCAAAACAGAATCACAGGTCATTTTTATGTAATGGTTACTAATTTAACTAGCATGATAATCAGAAGACCTCAAAAGCAATACAGAAAGTTACAAGGTTGTGAAAACCTTAACCCTTTTAAAGCTCAGTTTTCTTAAGTAATAAAAATAACCAATGAAGACAATGTATAAATTGCCATAATAAAGCATAAAATCTTTGTTTTAGGCCAGTCATCAAAAAGGTAAAGAAAAACCTTCTGCGGTACGATTGCTTCCCCTTATGGAAGGCCCATTTAAATAACCCAGAGTTAAAACTGATGAAAAGTGTACCTGAATTTAAGTAGACATAAGAAGAATGTATCTAAGGTTATAGAGAAATTTTAGCATTAAAACTAGTACCTTTAGCAGAAAGCAGGAGGAATACCTGATTCTTAGTGACAGCATGGGAAATTTCTTGGTTACCTGAAAGTATTTAGACATATCAAAAATATATTACAAAATAATGCTACATTTGAGGAAAGCATTGCTTTTTTTAGGCTTTCAAAATAAGCTTTTTAGCATTATGTCATAAAAACAGAATTAGAACCAGGGGAAAATATTACAGGTACTGACTGAAAATGTTCAAAGAGAGAGTTATCATTCCAGCCAAGCAAAAAGACGTACTTTTCAAGGGAAAAGGAACAGAAGGCAATGATGTGATCTGCAAATCATAGGTAACAAAATACCAGAAAAGTCGAACTTCTGTGGCAGAAATCTGAGAAGCTTTATAAAGACACAGATTTCAGAATTAAAAGTCAATATTTCTTGCAATATCACTGAGAACAAATCAACACTTTGATAAAACCTTGTTATTTTAACCAAAATTTTTAGTTTTGTATTAGGGCACTTTTAATGATACAGCTAATTTTAAAAACCTTATATACAAATCTATCCAATTGCAATCAGTTTTGACCTCAGGATAAAATTTCCATAAACCTTTCATAACTTAGTTTTTTTATTTTCCTCAACTTTTTATATACATTTAGGTTTATCTGTCATTTAAAAAATTTTCTTTAATTTAAAATAACCCTTAAACACCTCTAAACTAGACAAAAATCAAATTTTCTTAAGCAAAAATCATATTTCTATTTTCCTTATACATTGCAAATATGTAATTGTTTCTTTTATTCAGTAGTTTTAGTTACATATATCAATCACTGTATTAACGCTTAGTAATCCTTATTTTAGTGAAAAATCTAGGAAGCAAGAAATCTTGAATTGTCTGTCATATTTTACAGTATTTTACACATGAGAACCACTTTATAATTTTAGGAACATCTTTCCCTATAACATAAATCTTCTTAATTTGGAATGACGCAGATATTTAAAGTATATCTCTTATTTAATTTGACATAACTCTAAGATTTCAAAAATACATTAAAATTTTATTTAATAACATTTATTTTATTTATATTTATTTAGTTTATTTTTAATAATTCATATAGATTATGAAAACTAAAATATTAGACAAAGCTTGTTATATTTTAAGTTATTTCCTTGTTAACCATTTTATAGCCTGTAAATATTAGGTGTTCACCCAAGCAAGAACTTTAAATTACATGGACATTTTGCCAATAGCACAGAAGATTTTATTAGTTTTGTTAAATCAGTAATATTAAATCACTCTTGTTTATAAAAAAATTATATAAATAAAAATCATTATGTTTTCACCGGGTTTATAGCTTTATAACTTTCACGCCAAATTCTGACATCTTAAAATGTCTAACAAATGTAAACATAAAACCAGTAAACACAGACAAACACGAATGCAGACCAGACAATTCTGAAAATATTTATATTTTTATCAATAATTTTAAAATTATTTTTACTTACCAGATGATATGGTTTGGCTGTGTCCCCACCCAAATCTCATCTTGAATTGTAGTTTCCAAAATACCCATTTGTCATGGGAGGAACCCGTTGGGAGGTAATTTGATGATGGGGGCAGCTACCTCCATGCTTTTTCATGATAGTGAGTGAGTTCTCATGAGATCTGATGGTTTTATAAGGGGCTTCCCGCACCCCCTTCACCTTGTACCTCTCCTTGCTGCTGTTATGTGAAGAAGGATGTGTTTGCTTCCCCTTCTGCCATGATTGTAAATTTCCTGAGGCCTCCCCAGCCCTGCAGAACTGTGAGTCAATTAAACCTCTTTCCTTTATAAATTACCCAGTCGCGGGTATTTCTTCACAGCAGCATGAGAATAGACGGATACATGGGAGAATACTGAAGTCACATGAACCTGAAAAGCATCTGGGCTAATTTGCTTAATTTATGAGTACTCCTTTATTTATAAGCTAATTTGGCACCATGAAGATGCAACATGCAACATAATACATGTGTATATATAAACAAGATGGTTGAATCCTGCTTACTTTCCTGACAAAATTGAAACTTTTTCACATGTCTAAACTTTATTTACCCAATGGGTAAAGCAGTTTGTATAGCAGCTTGATTTTAAAAGAACTTTTACCTTTTTTTTTTCCTTTTGCCAAGCATCTTAGAATTACTAATATCATAAAAAGTCAGTTTTATCTCAACACTAGTAGAAAAGTCAGCAGATTCAAAATGGGAAGAAAAAATATAGATATGTGAAATAATTTAGACTCTTTTGTTGTAGGGTCTTTCTTTCTTTCCTTCTTTCTTTCTTTCTTTCTTTCTCTTTATTTCCTTCTTTCCTTTTTTTCATAATAACTATTTGGGCTCTGAATTTTCCTTAATGTAATTTGGCCATACGGTTTAAAATGCGCCCTAGAACAGGGCATAATAATTAGCCAGTTGGAGTCCCAGCAAACCTGGACTGCCTTAATGTTTGAAATTCCCATTCTGGTCATTTCTATGTTGTCCCCTTTAGTAAAGCCCTCCCATCTAGGGAGATGCTTGCCAGAGTGCGGACCAAAGTTTGATTGTCTGGTTCCCTGTTGTTTTAGTTTTAGATAATTTTTTTCTCACTGTAAAAGAGCTCAGCAAAGCAGGTACAGTAAAGCAGCAGAACCTTTTATTTTTGTTAGCTTTTATTTTAACCTTTTATTTTAGGTTCAGAGGGTACATATGCACATTTGTTATACAGGTAAATTGCATGTCCCAGGGATTTTGTGTATAGATTATTTTACCACCTAGGTAATAAGCATAGTACCCAATAGGTAGATTTTTTGATCCTCACCTTCCTCCCACCCTCCAGTCTCAAGTAAGCCCCTTTTTCTATTGTTCATTTCCAGAATGGCTATTATTAAAAAGTCAAAAAATAACAGATGCTGGTGACATTATGGAGAAAAGGTAACACACATACACTGCTGGTGGGAATGTAAATTAGTTCAGCCATTGCACAAAGCAGTCTGGTGATTTCTCAAATAACTCAGAACAGAATTACCATTCAACCCAGCAATCCCATTATTGGGTATATAATCAAAGGATTATATACCTTCTACCATAAAGACACATGCACATATATGTTCATGGTAGTAGTATCCACAAGAGCAAAGACTTGGAATCAATCTAAATGCCCCTCAATGGTAGACTGGATTTGAAAAACTGTGGTACATAAACACAATGGAATACTATGCAGCCAATAAAAAGAATGAAATCATCTCCTTTGCAGCAACATAGATGGAGCTGGAGGCCACTATGTTAAACAAACTAATGCATGAGCAGAAAACCAAATACTGCATGTTCTCACTTATAAGTGAGAGCTAAACTTTAAGTTCATATGAGCAAAACCTCTTAAATCCAGATTTTTAAAATCATAAACTTTATTCCTACACTGAATCTTGGCTCCCCAGAAAGATAGAAACACCACAGGACCAGAGCAAAGATGGGAGGAGGAGGAAGAGACAGGGAAGGAGAGGCAGGGACACAAGAAAAATGAGTTGAGTTTGTAAATTTTCCACATGCACCATTTTCTTTAGGTTTTTGTAGTTCATGGAGTCTCTTTCTTCCAATTGAGCATGTAGACAAATTCGTTTAGAGATATCATATCTTGTCCTGCATTGTTTTCTAAGTTTTGGCAGACTGTTGTTTCATAAATTTTGTTCAGTTCTTTTTTATAAGCTGGAGGATAAATAAATATGGTACCTGCTTTTCCATATTACCTAGAAACAAAAGTATCCCATTCCACATTGAAATTGCAGGCTGCTATCCTCTTTTGTTATATCCTGAGCACCTAAAGTAATAACCAAAATATAAAAAGCTATCTGAAGTGCTTATTAAAACAATAAACCAATAAACAGAGAATAGATTTGTCATATAAAAACATTGAGACCATATTTTCTTCAAGGCTGTGTAAATGTAAATCTGCCCTTTTGCTGAAACCCTCGATCTCCAAAGATGGTCACATCTTTACACACAGACAGACACAAACAATTAGAACTTCTTTCATGTTTACACACATCGCTCTTTCCATTTACTGAGAAAATTATTTGAGATTGAAAACCACATTAATCTCTCTTTGGTTATTAAAACAATCTACCATAGACTGGATTTGGCCTCTACTGTTTGGTGCTTTATTTTATATAAAACATCTCATTACAGAATCAAATACTTATTTTAGCTCTTATTCTATTTGAGCACTCTTGAGAATTTGATAGTGTGAATTACCACCTTCTTCATGAAAATTTGCTTCCCTGTCTCTAATTTCTTGCTACTGTCCTTTCTCAGATGCTGACCCCCGACTCATTGGAATTGATTCTGTATCCCATATGCTGAAGAGGGATAATTTTACTTCTCAGTTTTCTTTAGTGCTCTCTTACTAATATCTACATTTTGTTGATGTCGTCCTCAGCTCTTTTATTTTTATCCCCTGCTTTCCCTTTGCCTATAATTAGTCTTCTGAGGTAAGCCCATATTAGAGACAGGGGAACACGATACAAGTAATTTGGTTGCCATAAAATGAAATATTGTTGGCTCCAGAAAAGACATATATATTTAGCATACTTTGTCACATTACTGCCCTTTGGATTCAGTGTTTTTATAGTAATGATTGCACATAATTCCTGGTTTAAAAATCATTGTCTTTCATAGAGAAAAAATATAATAAATGCTTAATATTTTATTATATTATTATACATTATGTAATATATGACTTGATTAGATTACTTGCTGATTCCTCTCTTACTATATATTTTTCTCCTAGTGGAGAATACTTTTTCTTATTAACTTGTGAACTTCTTTTTTAAAAAACACCTTATTGAGATGTGACTGACATAAAAAAGCTGCACATATTTGATATAACAACCTGATGAATTCAGACATAAGTATACACCCATGAAATCAACACAATCAATACCATACACATATCCATCACCTCTTAAAGGTTCCTCTCAGCCTCTCTGCTTGCTATTATTATTCTTAAAAATATTTCCGTGCATGATATTTTGTAAGCCTCAGTAAACTATATACTTATTTTAGCTGCCTGGCCCTCTTTTTGCATGGCTGCTCAATTCTTGTTTGTTTGTTCATGGTGGTGAGATTCTTTTTAATCTCCTGTAAACATTTAGAAAAAAAGCTTATTGGAGAATTTGATGCAGTAACTATATTGATTTCCTCTTCTCATTGGTACCAATTAGGATTGCATTGACTTTAGGATTGAACATATTTTGAGATCTTCCTAGCTCTACTAAATTGTTATATTTATTTGTTTATTTAGTAATCTCTGATCATGTAAATTTTCTGAATGTTAGTACATGTCCAGAACATAATCATTGCTGCGTATCTTTTCTTATCTCTAGAGCAAAAGGCCCTTTACCATGTTTCTCTTCTCAAGGACATGCATTTTAAATAATGTATTTTCAGCTGATATACAGTGTTATCTTCCTATCCTCCTATTCTACTGATCACAATGTATACTTTCTTTGTGTATTTCTAATGACCTTTCTACTAAAACACTGATGAGAGATCTATCATGTTCAGTTGTCACCTTTATTGCTTAACTTACCCATATGTGTGCATTACAGGAAGACAGTAAGGGACTTTAAACTCTTCCTACTTAAATTATTTTAAAAACTACCAGAATCTTTCCTCAATTATTTAATTTCATCCGAGAGTTTGTATTAGTCAGAATTATATTTGCTTTCAAGGATTAGAAAAATATAGAATAACAACAGTGGTTTAACAAGGTATAAATGTAATTCTGTCTGTCCTCAAGGAGTCATAACATAGGCAGATAAGGGATGCAGATATCTTGCTATTTTTCTAAGCTTGGTATAACACCTGGTGGTTTCATATAGCTATTTAAGTCACAGACACATCTCTTTATAGACAGCCAACATGAAGGAAGATAGATGAAGAAAATTATCTCCTTTTTAACATGTTTTTAATTAAGATGATGCAAATATAGAAAGTTGCATGAAATATGTAAACCAGTAATGAAATGCCACAAGGCATTTAAAATATTACCCATTTAAAGATATAATTTTGCCACATACCACAAAAGCCCTCCATTTACTACCTCAAAATCACAATCCTTTTCTTCCTTTCCAAGGGTGATCACAACTGACTTCTATTGTAAAACATCTTTATTTTTCCTTATAGGTTTTTCACTTAAATGCATACTGCTAAACTCCTTGTAATTTACTTTTGCCTGTTACATGTAATATCAGTTTCTTTTAATCTATAAAATCCCTCTCTCTTTCTCATTTTTATTTTTTTGGCTTGCAATGTACGTATTGAAGAACCTAGATGGTGTCTTGTGAGTTTTTCACAGTCATAGTCTTACTGACTTAATTTCCTTGTATAGTTTAACACGTTCATTTGTCCTCTGAGTTATATGTAAATTTTTAGTTGAATCTAGAGACTAAGTCTCATTCAAGAATGATGATTTGCCAAGGTTGACAAGGTGAGGATGCGTTCTTTAGGAAGCACACCAGGGTTTGTTGTCTATGTTTGTGACGTTAACAGCTGTTGATGCTTGATGTATAGCTCCATTAATTTAATAGAAATTGTAAAATGATGACACAATTTCACTATTTTTGCTTAATTTATTTTCTGGAATACTTCTGTAAAGAGAAACTGTATCTTATCTACTATCTGGTTATCCAGACGTAAATTTGAACAGGAAACGCAAGAGAAATGCTAAATAGTCTTATTTTATTTACTAGTTAAAAAAATGGCTACTAGCATAATATAACGTGACCAAGTCAGTATAACTTCTGGGGGTGCGTGAGAACCAATATTAACGAATGAATTAAAGTAGTTTTTAAAATAATTTAAGTAGGAAGAGTTTAAAGTCCCTTACTGTCTTCCTGTAATGCACATTATTTGACATTTTTGTATCTAATTTAGGTATTAGATTTTGATGTTTATATTTTATGTTCTTTGGCCAGTGTGAAACTCATAGTTGATTCCAAAATTTGGATGACTTTCCCCGAGTGTTACATGAGAGCTACCTTTCTATGTACAATCCCAAAATAACTCAAGTAATCTTATACATTCCTTGATCTTTCCTATAATCAGCCATTTTCTCAAGAAACCCTGATTCTCTTTAGTAGAAAGTGGGATTTCAAATCAGTATCAGGCTTCATTTGATCAATTTCTATTGAATTGTTATAATTTCTAAGCATTTAGTGTCAAATCTTAGTTCAAACTTTGTGCCTCTTTAAAATTCATTGCTACAGAGTGTTTCTTCAATTTCTACAATCTTGAATCTGAATCTTTTTTATACCAAACGGAGTGTTGTTTTTTAAGAACATTGTGAAGAGAATTAGAGTACAACATAAATAATCATATTTTAATTTATACTACATGGAAACATTATCAGATAACAATACCTTCAACACCAATAATTTGATTGCTGACAAAAGCTCTTGCTAGTCTCACTTCAGTTTTTCACATTGCACTTTACCTATATTGACAGAGCAGCTAACTATTACAAACTATACATTCTTCCTTATACATCTCATTCACTGTTAGTTGTATGTGTAAATTTATACATTCGACGTTTACTAACAGTCTTTATGTTAATGTCTTTCCAGTTATTTTGATTATCTGATGTCCGGTATGAAAACATTTAGATTACTAAAGACAAGTTACCAGACACAATATTTCCTTATTGCCTGCATAGCGATGAAATTGTATACTTTAGTCATTATACTTGAAAGTCAGTGAGACTGTTTTAAATCCTTACCTTTGATTACCTTATATATATGTGTATATAACTATATACATGTATAGAAATTTCTCTGTCATCTCTTTGTCACTTTTGAATCTGCTATATAAAAGTTTAACAATTACAACAAAATGATGGAGAAATTAATTTATGTATTAAAATAGACGATGAATTTATTTTCTTCCTTTTTTAATCCTGGATTTTTTATAGTGTTTTGTTTTGTTTTGTTCATATGTTCCTTTAAGTTTTATCTTTAGCTCTGAAATATTTTTCTTTCCTTTCTGTTTCCTGTTATTCAATACCACATTTTAATTGTTTCTTTTGTGCTCATTTTGTGATATTTTCTTAACATGTTAAACTTTATTTTGAAATATTAGATCATGATTTTTATCTGTTTATGGTTACATCTTTCCGGAAAGATTTTGTTGTCTATAGAATTGCTATTATTATAATATGATTTTCTCTTGGAGAACTTTATACAAGACTTGAACTTGATATTTTTGTTTCTTTGCTGTTTTTGAACAGCAAAGCTTTTCTGCATGAGGGCTGCATTAGGTTAGTTTTTGTTTTGTTTTGTTGGAAACTGAAGGGCTTCTGCTGTTTTTGTAAAGTTCAAAAATATGGTGGTGACTTCTGCTTACATGTTTAATATGAAAATTGCTTGGACTCCATTCCTCCATACACTCCAGATTTTGTTACAAGAAAAATTTGAACAAACTAAAAATCCGTGACTTTTCTTAGACCCATCAGAGAATTGAGTTCACAAGGTAAACTGCCAATCTAAAATCTGGAGAGACAGGTACCTCCTAAAATCTGCTTACCCAGGGCAGAAGCCACTACAGCCATAAAAATACAAGAAGATTTAAATAAGATTTGAATACCAATTTTTTTGATGAATGTATCCAAGATGACTGAGAACTAGCATGAGAGTGAGAAGCTCCTGGGAGCTGCAGAAACTCCTAGGAGCTATGGGTGTGGGGGCAACTTTTCATGAGTCTTCTCTCCCAGAAACACCTCAGTTCTTATGATGAGGAGCCAAGAAACACACTCTCCTGCCTCTGGTTTAGGGAGAGAAAGAGTCACCATCGTGATGAGCCTCTATATAATCCTCTATAAAAATATCCTATGCTGGAGGATAAAGGACTTTGCCAGAGCCTTATCTGTTGATAGGGGAAATCCTCCTCATCCCAGCTCTCTTCAGCCTTCCTGACTCATCTGAAAGAAAAATTACCAACAAAAATAACAAAATAGTTATCGGGTGTCAAAGCTTCAAAACATAGAGAAAGGCTGTTTCAACCAGCATAGACAGTAGCAGGTAAGAAAAAAAAAAAATCAACAACAACAACAACAAAGAACCAGCTATACCACTGGAGAAATACTTGTCAAGGTAACATCCCTGAGACATAGGCTCCGCTATACAACTGAGATTTAATGGAAAGATTACAGAATTCTCCTCTTCTCTCACAATTTACTACCACAACAACCAGGCTACACGGTACCTCTCTCTAAGGAGGAGTAAGAAGGGAAGCCCAAAGTCAAGAGGGGAGACAAAACCAAGAACACTACAGGAATTTAAAGCCTCTAGCACCTAAATGTAGCTACAACATACATTAAGCACAGTCCAACTCCCAGATTAACAAAAATCCTCAGACTAAAGGTCTGTTTACCACAGTTTCTTTTACCCAATACAGCATATCTGGCATTCAACAAAAAATGTCAAGGTATGACCGCAGGTAAGAAAAAAACAATCTGAAGAGAAAAGCAAGCATCAGAAGTAGACTCAGATATGAAACAGATACTGAAATTATCTAATACAGAATGTAAAATAACTGTGATTAATCCTAGGGACTCTAACGGAATAAGTAGATACACACAAGAACAAATGGGTAATGTAAGCAGACAGTTTAAAATCAAAGAAAGAACCAAAAGAAAATACTAGAAATCAAAACAGTAAAGGCAATAAATAATGCCATTGAAAGGCACATCAGAAAATTTGACACAATGGGCACAAATACTCAGTGAGCTTGAAGATGGGTCAACAGAAACTTTCCAAATTTAAATGCAAAAATAAAAATAATAATAAAAGGAAAGCAAGAACAGGACATAAGGTATAACATAAGTGCAATTGAAACACCAAAAAGACAAAAAATACAGATTAACAGCACTCAGAGAACACCAAGTAATACCAAAAGCCAAAAACAAACAAAACAAAAATCTAAACATATTCAAAATATAAAAACACAAAGAGAAAAAGAAAATCTTGAAACTGAGTAGAGAGAGATAGAGGAAGCACCTTACCTAGAGTGGAACAAAGATAATTACAGAAAACTTCAGTCAGAAACTGTGCAAGCAAGAAGAAAGGGAAATTAAATACGTGAAGTGTTGGGAAAACAAACTATCAACCTAGAATTTTATATCCCCAGTTAAATTATCGTTCAAAATGAAGAGAAACAAAATACGACATCTCATTCTCAGATAGTCCATGGCTCTGTTTCTTTCTCCCAGTTGTATCTGCACCTTTTATTTCTTTGTCTCTCTTGCCCTCATCCTGCTTAGGTTAAATTCTACTCCCAGAAGTTGTTTTCATCACGAGGATTACTCTGGAATTGAGCTTTTGTTGATTTTAAGAATTCTTTTAGTCATAAAACTACAGATTTAGTTTTAGATTGGTCAAGAGCTTTAACCTCTTTAGATATTACTATTATCTATTGACATCGCCTACTGCCGAATAATTGCCTGTTTCGGCTGCTATCCTCAATTTTCCTTGCTGAGTTTTTGATTGAACCCTTGTTTGCTTTTCTCAGTTCTCAAACTGGACGGACTCCATATTCCTTACTTCAGAGTCTTCCTGCACAAATGCTATGCCTTGAAATCCTGAGGTAACTGGCACCGTAAAAGTCTTGTAAGCATGGGTGGTTCGTGATCATGACTTCCTGTTTGAGGAAACTTTACCTCATAATTTTTTTCTTTTATTGGATACATACTTTCGTTATCCAATTTGTGTTCTTCTGCTTTTACACTTGCATTTCAACACATTCAAAAGCTATGCCTCAAATATAAACTTTCCACAATCCCTTTTATATTTTCTCTCTTTAAAGACACTTCCTAAAAGCAGCATGGGACACTTACACATTCCCGTTTGAATACAACTTAGTCATACTGCAAACCCAGCTTCACACGAGCTTTAAACGTTTCGTTTTTATTCTTGCCTGCCATGTGCACTGCTTAAAACCATCCGTTCATTTCGTGTCCGGAATTGGTGGGTGCTTGGTCTCACTGACTTCAAGAATGAAGCCACAGACCCTCACAGTAAGTGTTACAGTTCTTAAAGGCGGTCTGTTTGGAGTTTGTTCTTTCTGCTGTTCAGATGTGTGCAGAATTTCTTCTTTCTAGTGGGTTCGCAGTCTCCCTGGCTCAAGAGTGAAGCTGCAAACCTTGGCAGTGAGTGTTACAGCTCATAAAAGCAATGTGAACCCAGAGTGAGCACCAGCAAGATTTATTGCAAAGAGCAAAGAAACAATGCTGGGACACCAGACGGTTGCTACTGCTGGCTCAGGCAGCCTGCTTTTATTCTCTTATCTGGCCCCACCCCATCCTGCTGATTCGTCCATTTTACAGAGAGCCGATTGGTCTGTTTTACAGAGAGCTGATTGGCCTGTTTTGACAGGGTGCTGATTGGTGCATTTACAATCCCTGAGCTAGACACAAAAGTTCTCCAAGTCCCCATTAGATCAGCTAGATACAGAGTGTCGATTGGTGTATCTACAAACCCTGAGCTAGAGAGAGTGCTGATTGGTGCATTTACAAACCTTGAACTAGAATACAGAGTGCTGATTGGTGCATTCACAATCCCTTAATTAGACATAAAGAGTCTCTAAGTCCCCACCAGGTTAGTTAGACACAGAGTGCTGATTGGTGCATTTACAAACCTTGAGCTACATACAGAGTGCCGATTGGTGCATTCACAATCCCTTAGCTAGACATAAAGATTCTCCAAATCCCCACTACACTCAGGAGCCCAGCTGGCTTCACCCAGTGGATCCCGCACGCACCTGGGGCCTCAAGTGGAGCTGCCTGCCAGCCACAGGCCGTGCGCGCGGCCTCAAGTGGAGCTGCCTGCCAGGCCCCCGCCATGCGCCGGCACTCCTCAGCCCTTGGGCAGTCGATGGGACCGAGCGCCATGGAGCAGGGGGCGGCGCTCGTCCGGGAGGCTCGGGATGCGCAGGAGCCCTGGGTGGCGTGGGAGGGTCAGGCATGGCTGGCTGCGGGTCCCGAGTCCATCCCCGCAGGGAGGCAGCTGAGGCCCGGCGAGAATTCCAGCACAGCGCCAGTCGGCTGGCATTGCTGGGGGACCCGGTGCACCCTCCGCAGCTGCTGGCCCGGGTGGTAAGCCCCTCACTGCCCGGGGCCAGCCGGTGCTGCGAGTGCCGGGCGGCCAAGCCCACGCCCACTCGGAACTCTAGCTGGGCCGACAGCACCGCGCGCAGCCCCGGTTCCCGCCCGCGCCTCTCCCTCCACACTTCCCAGCAAGCTGAGGGAGCCAGCTCCGGCCTCAACCAGCACAGAGAGGGGCCCCCACAGCGCAGTGGTGGGCTAAAGGGTTCCCCGAACATGGCCAGAGCGGACGCCGAGGCCGAGGAGGCGCCAAGAGCGAGCGAGCGAGGGCTGCAAGGGCTGCCCAGCACACTGTCACCTCTCAGTTTCATAAGGTACTTTAAAACCATGGGCTACTTTCGTCAAAGAATGTAAGTTGAGGAAGGCAGCTAGCGGGACAGAAATCTGTACAGCTTTGTTCTGGAAGAATGATTCGAAGGGAACACACAGTCCCTCATTCTGTTGCTCGGTAAAGGCATATAGGAAAGAGGCAAATTCACCAGGCTGACAATATCAAACCGACTGTTTCAAATCTTTGTTTATTTTATAATTTGCTAAACTATGCTTGCGGGTCTTTCCCCATTTATTTTGTTTTTTTTCTGATTTCCCCACAATTTTTATGAAGTTCTTATTTAAAATCCTTCTGACAATTTTGAAGTTTCCTGAAAATGCTTATCATTTTCATGAAATGCCATCTTATTTCTATGAAGAAAGAAAATCTCATAATTATACAAAATATTTATATAAATACACATTTAAAAACTTGAACCTTTTAATATTTATATCTTAATATATTTACATTCTACATTTTTCTGTGGTAATATAGATCAACTAAAATAAGAGATTAAAATGTGATAGCTCAATTTCTCTAGCTTCCCTCCCAGTTCTTTATTAAAGCTATGTTTGATATTTCTTATATGTTATTTATTTCCATCATTTGGTAATTGGTTGATGTTTAGTTTTACTCATTTGTAAAAATACTTGAAGGTAGTTTTTTATTGTATAAATAGGCTCAATTTGAAAGTTTACAATGGGTTGGATAATTTGGGGGATGCTGTTCACTTTGACTACACCACGCTTTAGAATAAAACACTCCACCAAATTAGACATTTTGTAATCTCACTAGTAGCTAACTTCTGTTGAAATAAAACAAGTCAGCATGATGAAGTGGAAATAATTTTAAATGAGAAGAGATGCCTATTGGGTTGTAGACCAAGATATTCCAGTATCTTGCACTAAAGTTCATGTACAGGTCATGTACAGGCACTTATTTCCACTAAATGTTTCTGCAAGTTTTAATATTTCAGGAGAAGATCTATGTAAGTTATTTTTCTGTAACTTAAGATTTCTGATGTAGTTCTTGGCTTCCAAAGCTTTCAACTGAAAGAACATTGCTACTATTAGAGGGAACACATTTTATCTCTGCCTGGTTGACCTTACATGTTATGGAAGCTCAGCAGGTACAGTATTTCTAGCATCTCATGGCGTCTTCACTTTCTCAACACAGAGGAAATTGACTTCTCTGATAAGTAAACTTAAGGCGGAAAAAGCCTTAGTGGGTTCAGTTTCCTCTATTTCTTTTCTTCATAAAACATTCCTCCTTCAGAGGTAGGCTTTCCCAACTGTGGTTGGCCAACCGTGGGCCAGATTCCCTGAAGGGCCAGCACTTTCTCCCTCCTTTGGAAGCAGGCTGATCAGGAAAAGGCGTGGAATCTCCACTGCTTTCCTCCAAGCAGTAAATTTTACAGCAGCATGCTCTGACCCTTAGAGCAAAGTAGGAAGGCTGTAGTTTTTATTGGGATTAACATCAAAATCCCCAACATCTAGATGATTAGCCTTCAAACTATGAGAAATAAACAAATAGTAAAAACTGGGGAAATCAATAGAGCCTGGGTTAAAAAAAATCTTGCACAGAGTAAAGACTTTAAATGTTTTAGTCCTTTGCCACATATCGGGTGATGCAAATTGTATGGGGTAATGCCGATTGATGTTTAACTTTCAAGGCTTCATCCCTTGACAAATACGTAGGTTAAAAGGTCGCAGTAAGGAGGGGTATCAAGGACAAGATTCAAATGGAGGAAACAGAGAGACTTATTGTGTCCGGAAGTTTTGGACTTTATCAGGGTGAATATTTGTTACTATTGCTGTTCTTCTCAGCTAGGTCTGCCAGAAAAGTCTTTAAGTAGATAAATCATATATCTAACTATCATAACTACTACAGAGCACAGATATGTGAGGTATAAGGTGCTAACTTGAAATATGGGGTGGCACTCCACATTGTAGTATTATTAGGGTGTCCCTAATTATGTGCTTTTTTTTTTGAAATGTTGATTTCAGTAGCCATCAGAGCATACTGGGGAATAGTGGAGGGAATAACACAACCTTGAATCCATGTGGTTCGTCAACATGACTCGAGTAACTACCCACCCACCACTTCCCTCTCCCGTGCATGATGTTTCTGTTAGGTACTTACATATAAGAGAGAAACATCATAGCAGATCTCGTACTGAATTTAGTGCTCTGTGCAAGAGAGAATGATCTTCAAAAGTGAAATGGTGATTAAAATTTTTACCATACTAAGAAAAACTGTTCTAGAATTTTTCCTTACATGCCTGTGTATTTACTGTAATAAATATAAAGTTGTAATTCTACATAACTAGTATTAAGTGTTGACACTCCAGTGAAGCTAAGCACAGAAGATTTTCTATTAGCACTTAGTAACCTTTGAGTTTTTGTAATAGTCTTTGGTAACATTATGA
This sequence comes from Homo sapiens, assembly GCF_000001405.40. Lineage (NCBI taxonomy): Eukaryota > Metazoa > Chordata > Mammalia > Primates > Hominidae > Homo > Homo sapiens. Next base: position 171,040,548 of record NC_000004.12, on the reverse strand, counting down.
TGTTCTTGAAATAGAACTTTACTGGATAGAAATTCTAAGGGTTGAGATGTACCTATTTTTTAAAGTTGGCTATTGCGGGTTTTCAGTGCTTTGATATTGCATATGTTTTGATGTTTATTTGGAGCCTTTAGAGTAGAGATCCAGCCATTCGAAATTTGACATTTAGTTCATGCAAAGCTAGCTATCTGGAAAGAACAGTGACACCCATAGAAGTCCTAGTTCATTGCAATCCAGGCTCAAATTGGGATTGAAACTCAGAACTTTTACAAATGAAACTGAGGAATAAGGAGATAGTAGCAAGAGAGGTCAATGTTTGTAACTCATAAAGGAGAAGTTTTGATTTAAGAATTTACTTTCTTTGATACTGAGATTTTAACTTGCAAAGATTTGCTTCTGAAGCTTTGATTTCACCTTAGGATTTTGTGGCATCTTTTAGCTGTTGTTATTATGTTACTAATGTGTCATTATGCAATTTTCCTAGATTTTTTTTGTTTAACAATTATATGATGTTAAAAAAGTTATAATATCATTTAATATTATTGTTTAACCTTCAATAAGCAGATTGCATTATGTGGCAGAACATGAGTTGAAAAATACAAAAGAAAATGATGTTTCAGGTTTGAAATGAAATACTTTTTGATTAATAGAATAAATATTCTATTCAGATGCACTTGAGAGTTTTTTTCCAGGCAAATTCTAATTGAATTGACAGAATCCCACTAAAATACAGAAGAACTTACTGGTTTTGGCAGTGTGGATTAAGGAATGTGAGAGCAGAACAAATTGCCTCCTATGCCACAGAGAGCCAAAACTCTGGCTAATCATAGGCTTAATGTTCAATCTCAACAGGTAAATTAAGAAAATGAAAAAGAAAAAAACTGGGAAATCTTGAAAAAATATTTTTCACCATTCTTGATGCTTCTTTTTGATGTTTAAACAAGCCCAATAATATGCAACTGCTGGCCTCTCTTTACCCTTTTACTCATTCTACCAAAAAAGTGTTGGAGTTCTTTCACTGAATGATAAATTTGGGAAGAATCACCAGAGCCTGACTTGTATGTCTTCCAAGTAGACTGACCATGAAGTGATAGAGATCTCTGCTCTTCCAAGGACAAGACTTCCACATGGTCAAACCTGCCTTAGTCCATAATATCTGCAAAAGGGTAGATAAAACAGATCTTATCCCAAAGTGATGACCGCCAACTGAGTCCAAGCTATAAGTTGTGTGTTATGTATGTGTGTGAATGTGTGTGTGTTTCTCAAGAAAGTACTGAAAAACTTCAAGATCAAGTGAATTAGAAAATCATAATTAAGTCAAGGAAAACCAGCAAGGTAATTATGACAAGGGCAACATTTGGAAAAGCAAGAGGAGTTGGGCTATTACCTTAATGCCTGTATAAACAAAACTGTGGGCAACAGATTTTCCTCCCAGTTTGATTCTTAAGACCTATTATTTAAATTAAAGTCATTGCATTTCTTATAGTGAAGGAATGAAGTTAAATTAGTACTTAGATGGGAAATTATAGCACTTAAGGATTAAGTGGGAAACAAAAACCAGTGGCTTAAATTTTCACCTTGGATTTTTAGAATAAGTTTAAAATGAAACGCAAGCAGCAGAAAGAAATAAATGTGAGTAAAATAAAATAGAAAGCACAATAAGAAGATAAAATCAATGAAATCAAAAGCTGATTATTTTAAAAGATCAATACATTTGATAAACTGCAAACCAGATTCATCAAGACAAAGACAAAAATCACCAATGTCAGTAATGAAAGAGTTAACAGCGCTGCAGATTTTATAGATGTTAAAAGGAAAATAAAATAACATTATGAATAATATATACAAATAAATTCAGCATCTTAGATAAAATGAACACATTGCTTAAAAGTCACATGTAACCAAATCTCATTCAACAAATAATAGCTTATAGTTTAAAATCTTCCCACAAAGAATCCTATAGGCAAAGATAGTTTTGCTGATTAATTATACAAAGCATTTGGATGAAATATTACCAAACTCTTCAGAGTTGGATTAAAAAGAGCATATGAGGAAACATGAAAATATAATCACAAAACAAAAGAGACAAATGAGAAGTGAAACAGGCCCAAAGTTAATCTAGAAAATTGAGATATTTTGTAAATTTAAAGTGTTCATGGATATATAAAACAAACCTGACAACATTGACAAATAAGTAGAATATATAAAAACACAACAAATGGAAACTCCAGAACTAAAACGTTCAGAAATTAATACAATAGGTGGAGATAGGGCATAGCAAATACAAGACTAGTGTTACTTGTTACTTAATATTCAAAGGATTAACTTTGCTTTTGTAGAAAGCTAGACTCAGTAACAATCCAGATTACTTTAATCCGATTAGGGCTTCAGTCTTTGCAAAGGCCAATTAATTTCTAGTTCATTCTTACTGCTATTGTCTAGCCTTTCTGGGCCACAGATTACAGGATTGCAGGTGGTGGGAGAAGGTGGTTACCAAACGCTTTTTGTAGGTGGTCCTGAACTTCAAATTGCCTGCCTAGTTCTATGAACTTTCTAATGGTTCTGCTCAACTTCTCAATTAGTTAGGCACATCTGTAAGGAAGATGCATTTGGTCATATGATATAAGTGACTCCAAATATACGATGAATCCACTTATGCTTTTTTCTTTCTTTTGGTCCTTGCCTCATAAGTTTACATTGCTTTTTTGTAGCTCTCTGATGTCTCAAATTACATCTTCTTACTATTTTAAACCAAGTTTCTAATTATTTTCCACATAACTAATTTTCTGAGTTACCTTGTCTATGGATATCAGAGGTAGCACTTAAGTGTAATACAATGACAAAAATAAACTAAGGTATTTTGGAAACATGATTGGTTGACATACTTCTTGCCACACAGTTCATGTTATACTACCAAATATCTTCAATTAGCGGGGGTTCTCTATGGCAGTTGCCCAGTGATTGACTTGAATTCAGCAGGTTACACATTCATATTTAAGAATGTTTGCGGCCTGGAGCAGTGGCTCACGTCTGTAATCCCAGCACTTTGGGAGGCCAAGGTGGGCGGATCACGAGGCCAAGGGATCCAGAACATCCTGGCCAACATGGTGAAACCCCCTCTCTACTAAAAATACAAAAATTAGCTGGGTGTGGTGGTGCATGCCTGTAATCCTAGCTACTCAGGAGGCTGAGGCAGGAGAATCGCTTGAAGCCGGGAGGCGGAAGTTTCAGCGAGTCGGGATCACACCACTGCACTCCAGCCTGGGTGACAGAGTGAGACTCTATCTCAGGAAAAAAAAAAAAAAGAATGTTTGCAATGTGTTTTGACACACTGCAATATATAGTAAACATAAATTAGTTAAGTGATTGCCCACTCAGTCTCTGGAATCAGACAGACTGAGTTTATGTGATGTTATATTTACTAGCATTTTGACAGTGGGCAATTTTATTTTGTTTTATTTTATTATTTATTTATTTATTTATTTATTTTGAGACAGAGTTTCACTCTTGTTGCCCAGGCTGGTTAGAGTGCAATGGCGTGATCTCCGCTCACCGCAACCTCCGCCTCATGGGTTCAAGCCATTCTCCTGCCTCAGTCTTCCGAGTAGCTGGGATTACAGGTGCCCGCCATCAAGCCTGGCTAATTTTTTGTATTTTTAGTAGAGACGGGGTTTCTCCATTTGGTCAGGCTGGCCTCAAACTCCCGATGTCAGGTGATCGCCAACCTCGGCCTCCCAAACTGCTGGGATTAAGGTGCGAGCCACTAAGCCCGGCCGACAGTGGACAATTTACTTAATAATCCGTGACTTGGATTTTTCAACTATAGAATGATGAAAATAGTATATTATTCTTACAAAGTTTGAGTAAAATATAAAAGCAATAATGACACTGTGTATTCTTATGGACCAAAGCCTCCTCCACCAGCTTCAAACTATTTCATTGATTATTTTACCTTATATATTACATTGGAATTCATGTGTTTTGTTTGTGAATAACAGCAGTCTTTGCTGTCAAGAATTAGTCTATCAGTCAAGAATTTGACAGAAGTACATTATTTTAAATAATTTTGTTAACAATCTCAAAGCCAGATATAAAGAAACTGACCATCAGATAGGTTAAGAAATGTAAAGTTATATAAGTTTTTTTCTTTATCTTCAATAAATAAAATGAAAATAGGGCACACAGTGTGCAAAGATAAAACCCAAACAAAGGCAAAAAGCAGCAGCTTTAGCTGAACACAATGAATATTTCAGAGAATAAATAACATCACCGACTACAAATGTCACCAAGAGTAGAAAGAGTACTAGAGAGAAAGAAGTTCAATAGCAAAGAGTCAATTTGGCTAGAAAGTTTACCTTTTTCACCGGTCTTTCAAATAGTAACTATCTGACTCAATAACAATAAGTACATATAATTTTTTGCTATATCTAGATGTTCTACAAACTTTCATAATGATTCAAAATGTATTAGTCCATTCTCACATTGCTTTAAAAAAATACCTGAAATAAGTAATTTGTAAGAAAAGAGGTTTAATTGAGTCACGGTTCTGCAGGTTGTACAGGAAGCATAGCAGCTTCTGCTTCTAGGGAGGCCTAAGGAAGCTTCCAATCATGGCAGAAAGGAAAAGGGGAACAAGTACATCACATGGTAAAAGTAAGAGCAAGAGAGTGAGGGAGGAGGTGTTACATATGCTTGTAAACAATCAGATATCATGGGAACTCAATGACTCGCTTGGGGACGGCACCACAGGGGATGCCTTCATCTGGCATTCATTTCTTAGGAATGCCAAACCATTCATAAGAAATCTGCCACCCTGATCCAATCACCTCCCACCGGACCCCACCTCCAACATTGGAGATTACATTTTAATATGAGATTTGGGCGGGGATATACATCCAAACTATATCACATAACTTTCCCAAACCTCTCTTTTTCTTGAAGCAGGGAAAGAGAACTATACTTCTTCCACAAAGTAGTTTTCTCTTCAACAACTTACCCCTGCCAGTACCATCCAAGAAGGGTATTCAGTAGCATGATACTGTATACCTTTGACTACTCACCAGCCATATTTGGGTAGCTGCTATACAGAAATTAAACTTTCTCAGTTTGTGCTATAAAAAAGTTTAAGAAAGACTCATCAACATCCAATAAGCCCCTAAGTTTTGTCTTTTCTACTCCCAAAATATGTGCTGCACATGCTCATCCCCATCTGGCCTCATCGCCACCATCTCTGTGAAGTACATAAGCATCTTTTCACAGGTACTGAAGCAGCAACAATCTTGATCATTCTAACCCATTCTTCACAAAGCAGCTGGAGTGAAATATTTAATAAGAACTGATCATGTTACATTCTTGCTTAAAATGAATCAGTGCTTTTTCATAGGCCTTGGAATATAATACAAGCTCATACCATAACTTAAGAGAATCCCTTATAAGAGACTTTCAGTACTAATTCTCCTAGCATCAGCTCAGGCCATTCTATCTTGCACTTTTTGCTCCTGACATACTTGACTTTTTCCAGGCCTTTTAATCTGTCAGGCTCAGATTTAAATGAGACATATACTAATCGCTTTACCTGGAATACATTTACTGACACTTCTATTGGCCCCACCCCCATCCCCATGGCTATCTCCCAATCATCCGCAAAATATCATACCACCTGTAAAGCTTTTCCTGACCCCATACATTTTCATAAGAAATCAACTACTGCATCTGTATTCTCCTGTTCCTGCTGTAACATAACATGTTATGTAATATAACATGTCTTTCTGATTTGCTTTCCTACACCCAGTAAGTGTTGTAGTGTTTGGTGCACAGATAAAAATGAAAATCAGATTTCTTATGGAATTGTTCTTTCATATTGGACCCAGAAGTCTCTTGTGAACTCCATGTATTTAACCTGCAACTAAGAAATAGCGGATGCTTCTTTACTTACCCTTCAAGTGTTTGTTCTCTGAATCATTCCCAGAGCATATTGGCATTTTAAAAGTATAAAAATATTGTTTTAGAGCATTTCTCATAACACCCCAGAGTAAGGAAATAATAATGCACATCAAGGTTTTAATTTATCTTATGAGCAGCTTCTCCTATCACCCTCTCTATTTAAAAAAAAAATTGATTAGCAAGGTCAAGGTTCAGGGTAGTGGGATTTTTAGACCTGAGTTTGAGGTGAAGAATGTGGTATCAGCCAATTCTCTCAGTTTGAACTGTGAACCATCAACATAGCTCATTTAGGGTATTTGCAAGATCAGTCTAGTGTATACGGAGATTAAAAGGCTAGGGAAAAATGGACATAGTACCCCTTCCCAAGGAGCTTACATGCTAGATAGGGAAATTAACATTAAACCAAAAATTTTATACCAATGAATCTATAAATACAAACTGAGATGTGTGTTGTAAAAATATAAAACATAGTTTCATGGGAACTTAGAACAAAAGATTGTAATCTAAACTGTTATTGGAAGGGAAAGCTTAAGTTGAAATCAGAAAAACATAAAATTTAATTGAACAGGTAGAAAGTATTCCAGTGCAGGAAAAAATAGATGCAAAGACCCTGAATCAGGAAGAATTACTGCAAAACAGTGCAGCTGAAAGAACACAATGGGGGGCCAGGACACAGTCATTATCTGTTTTGGAAAAACTGTGTATTAGGCCATTCTTGCATTACTATAAAGAAATACCTGAGACTGAGTAATTTATAAGAGAAGAGGTTTAACTGGCTCAGTTTTGCAAGCTATTCAGGAAGCATGGCGCCATCTAATTCTGGGGAGATCTCAAGTACTTTTACTCATGGTGGAAGGCAAAGTGGAAGCAGGCACGTTACATGGCAAAAGAAGGAGTTAGAGAGAGATTGAGGGTGGAAGTGTTACATGCTTTCAGTCAACCAGCTCTCACAGGAACTCACTATCTGGAGACAGCACCAAGGGAATAGTGCGAAATCATTCACGAGAAATCCACCTTCATGATGCAATCATCTCCCACCAGGCGGACCTCCAGCACAGGGGATTACAATTCAACTTGAGATTTAGAGATCACATATCCAAACTATATCATATTATTTTTTATTTTTATCTTGAGGGCATAGGCAACCCATTTTTAAAATTAAGGTAACATAATCAAATTTGTATTTTGAAACAATTTATTTTTATGTGTGACTTGGTATCTAGAAAAATCATTATTGTTTAGCTGCTCGGTTTTTCCCATTCTAGTTTAGGAAGGCAAATTAAATTATTGAATGAACAAATGGAACAATCAAATCCTATGAGATCCTCAATGCTTCCTATGTTGGCAGGAAAGAGTCATTAAATAACTGAACTAAATTCTCCTTTCTTATGCTTCACATATTTGATGCTCAGTTTTGTTTGTTTGGTTTTGTTTTTTTTTGAAGTTGTGAATCCTTTGAGCATAGAATAAAATCTTTACTGCCAGGCATACACAGTAGTGTGATATTTGAAGAAGGAAAATCTTAATTTAATATAATAGGAAGAAACAAGTTTCAAGGCATCTTTAATAAAAAAGAGCTTCAGAGGTCAGTATTTTGTGTCAGAATTCAAAACAACTATAATAACCAGAAATTAGATAGCAGTATAAACACTATTGCTTGCGGAAAGTATGCATGCTTAAAATAAAAATACGTGGATATAAACATGATATTTAAAAGGGCTTAGCAAAAACAGTATGATCAGCTATATACAAAGTGATTTATATCTAAAGCTAAATATTTTAGCATTTGCATTCCATTTTCCACACTTCATAGTTCTGCCATGATGCTACTTGCCTCTTAAAGTTTCACATCATAGTAAATCAGCTGGATGCTTCAGCAAATAAGGAAAATGAAATTTAAAGTTCTTTTTTTCAGATGATAAACTATTCTGATTTAAGAATGAATATAATTTTATGGGTTTTCTGAGTATAAAAGGCAAAGATCTCAAGTATAGTCTAGGGTTTGTAAAGCTTAACAATTTTTTTATGTTTTATTTGGAATATTTATTAATTGTTTTTTATAGTTTATCATTAATGTATTTCAGAGTAATTATAAAGTTAAAAAGTCAAAATATAATGGTAATGACATAGTTTTTGTTACTGATAGGGACAAAATTTCATTGTTATTATCACTTACTAGGTAGGAAAAACAGGCTATGGAGTTAATTCTAACATTGAGTTCCAGCTCTTCCACCTTGGAGAAATTACTTAACCTCTCTAGGCCAAAATTTCTCCAATATGAAACATACTTCCTTCAAAGTTTTACAGTGGCTATTAAAAATCATGCATATAGATGAATAAAATATGCCTTGCCCATAGGAAGAGTATAAGCATTTTTGTGTCATAGCGGGAACTACATAACACTCCCAAATTGGATAGTTTGAAGAGAGATTTTATAAAGAACTCTTGAGAAAGAATTGTCTAGAGTTTAGGAAAACCACATGATGTAGGGAAGTAATCCAGGGCTAAAACCCACAAGATAAAGGGATTAGATTGAAAGGCTCACATAACAGAAGATTTGATCTTCAGTGATGGACACAGCCCACCTTACACGGAGGGAGCTATGTATTAAACATACTGATCTTACTCTCTTATTTCTCTTCTTCTCTATGGATCTTCTAGCACTGCTTATCTCTGACTGAATTTAGCTAGAAGCTAGAGAATAAAGAATACACTGATTCAGCCTTTACAGTTCAGCCTTCTGGGACACAGAGGAAGACAGAGCACACAGAAGAATGAGGCAAATGGAAGATGTACAGCTTAATAAATATCAACAGGTTTTTGTGTGTGTGTAAACTTTTCTGGCTAATAGAGATGTTCAACAAACAATAAAATAATACATTTGATAAATTTTTACAAAGCAATTATCAACCAATTCAAGAAACAGAAATATAAATTAATGGTTTCAGCAATGAGAATATAGCACAAAGTGTAGACCAAAAAAAAAAAGGAAGTTATTTTTCTTGAGCTTTTCCTCTCAAAACTGAAAGTAATTGCACCTTTGCACCTTGCTTATTGGCATGAAGTCCCTCTCTCCTAAGATGGTCCCTGGTTGTTTTCAGTGTTTCTACCTTGTATCCAGCTGCTTTAAGGCGAAAGGCCATTAGCAGTGGAGCTGAGGTCTGCCTGTGTCAAAGGGAACTGAGGAACATAGGCATCTGTCTAAATATGCTGGGAACTTGAAGGAGGGCAGAGACTCAAACTTTTATTACTCCACTGGTTACAGAAATGCAGACACTATCGTATCCACCCTTATGGGGACTGGTTTCATTTGGATTCAACTGTTGGGGTTTGCTGAAGGTCCATACTGAGGTAGGGAAGTTAATGTGAGCTCATGTTATGGGTAGAGCTCTTTGGGCCAATTCAATGTCCTGCTTTTGAGCTTTTTTATGGGAATATATAGTAGAAATTAATGTGTTATATTCTTATATTTCTTCATCTCATAAATGGCAAAGGAGATATGATGAAACAGTAAGATTCATTTCATGAAGTGCCACTGGGACAGACAAATCATTCCCAAAGCTTTTACATCCCCCCTGCTTTTTCCTAGGTGGTCTCAGCCTCCCGAGTAGCTGGGACTACAGGCACCCGCCGCCACCATGCCAGGCTAATTTTTTATATTTTTAGAAGAGACGGGGTTTCACCATGCTAGCCAGGATGGTCTCCATCTCCTGACCTCGTGATCCGCCTGCCTCGGCCTCCCAAAGTGCTAGGATTACAGGCATGAGCCACCACACCCGGCCTGGAACCTGTGTTTTTAATTTAATTTACATTTCTCTTTTTTATTATTATACTTTAAGTTCTAGGGTAAATGTGCACAATGTGCAGGTTTGCTACATAGGTATACATGTGCTATGTTGGTTTGCTGCAGCCATCAACTTGTCATTTACATTAGGTATTTCTCCTAATGCTATCCCTCCCCCAGCCCCCCAGCTCCCGACAGGCCCCAGTGTGTGATGTTCCCTGCCCTGTGTACATGTGTTCTTGCTGTTCAACTCCCACCTATGAGTGAGAACATGAGGTGTTCGCTTTTCTGTCCTTGTGATAGTTTGCTTAGAATGATGGTTTCCAGCTTCATCCATGTCCCTACAAAGGACATGAACTCATCCTTTTTTATGGCTGCATAGTATTCCTTGGTGTATATATGCCACATTTTCTTAATCCAGTCTATCATTTATGGACATTTGGTTTGGTTCCAAGTCTTCGCTATTGTGAATAGTGCCCCACAATAAATATACGTGTGCATGTGTCTTTATAGTAGCATGATTTACAATCCTTTGGGTATATACCCAGTAATGGGATCACTGAGTCAAATGGTATTTCTAGTTCTAGATCCTTGAGAAATTGCCACACTGTCTTCCACAATGGTTGAACTAATTTACACTCCAACCAACAGTGTAAAAAATTTCGTGACTTTTTAATGATCGCCATTCTTACTGGCATGAGATGGTATCTCACTGTGGTTTTGATTTGCATTTCTCTGATGACCAGTGATGATGACCATTTTTTCATGTGTCTGTTGGCTGCATAAATATCTTCTTTTCAGAAGTGTCTGTTCATATCCTTTGCCCACTTTTTGATGTTTTTTTTTAAATTGTAAATTTGTTTAAGTTCTTTGTAGATTCTGGATATTAGTCATTTGTCAGATGGGTAGATTGCAAAAATTTTCTCCCATTCTGTAGGTTGCCTGTTCATTCTGATGATAGTTTCTTTTGCTGTGCAGAAGCTCTTTAGTTTAATTAGATCCCATTTGTTTATTTTGGCTTTTGTTGCCATTGCTTTTGGTGTTTTAGTCATGAAGTCTTTGCCCATGCCTATGTCCTGAATGGTATCGCCTAGGTTTTCTTCTAGGGTTTTTATGGTGTTAGGTTTTACATTTAAGTCTTTAATCCATCTTGAATTAATTTTTGTATACAGTGTAAGGAAGGGATCCAGTTTCAGCTCTCTATGTATGGCTAGCCAGTTTTCCTAGCACCACTTATTAAATAGGGAATCCTTTCCCCATTGCTTGCTTTTGTCAGGTTTGTCAAAGATCAGATGGTTGTAGATGTGTGGTGTTATTTCTGAGGCCTCTGTTCTGTTCCATTGGTCTATATATCTGTTTTGGTACCAGTACCATGCTGTTTTGGTAACTGTAGTCTGGTAGTATAGTTTAAAGTCAGGTGGCGTGATGCCTCCAGCTTTGTTCTTTTTGCTTAGAATTGTCTTGGCTATGCAGGTTCTTTTTTGGTTCCAAATGAAGTTTAAAGTAGTTTTTTACAATTCTGTGAAGAAAGTCAGTGGTATCTTGATGGAGATAGCATTTAATCTATAAATTACCTTGGGCAATATGACCTTTTTCACGATTCTTCCTATCCATGAGCATGGAATGTTCTTCCATTTGTGTACTTTTTTATTTCATTGAGCAGTGCTTTGTAATTCTCCTTGAGGAGGTCCTTCACATCCCTTGTAAGTTGGATTCCTAGGTATTTTATTCCCTTTGTATTAATTGTGAATGTGAGTTCACTCATGATTTGGCTCTGGTTGTCTATTATTTGTGTATAGGAATGCTTGTGATTTTTGCACATTAATTTGTATCCTGAGACTTTGCTGAAGTTGCTTATTAACTTAAGGAGATTTTGGGCTCAGATGATGGGATTTTCTAAATATACAATCATGTCATCTGCAAACAGAGACAATTTTATTTCCTCTTTTCCTAATTGAATACCCTTTATTTCTTTCTCTTGTTTGATTGCCCTAGCCAGAACTTCCAACACTATGTTGAATAGGAGTAGTGAGAGAGGGCATCCTTGTCTTGTGCTAGTTTTCAGAGGGAATGCTTCCAGTTTTTGCCCATTCAGTGTGATATTGGCTGTGGGTTTGTTTTAAATAGCTCTTATTATTTTGAGATACGTTCCATCAATACCTAGTTTATTGAGAGTTTTTAGCATGAAGGGCTGTTGAATTTTGTCGAAGGCTTTTCTGCATCTATTGAGATAATCATGTGGTTTTTGTCATTGGTTCTATTTATGTGATGGATCATGTAATTCAACATATGCAAATAAATAAATTTACATTTCTTTAATGACTAATGAATGGCAGTTTGGATATGTATAATGTTACTGTTGAAATTGTTGCCTATTTTCACCTTGGGCTGTTTTCCTTCAGGTAAATTTGGTTTACTCTCTGATTTCTTAGAATGAATTGTTTCTAGACATGCAGGCCCATGTTCTGATATTTGAGAACTTTGAATTACAGGTTAAAATCTGGAATATCATTTTAGATTTTCAGTTAAATGTACTTGTTGTAACTATACATTTGGGAATTCCTACCTTAGTTGCCAAGTCTGTATGAAGCCATGCCATTAAGAGAGTAATCCTGAAATATGTTTAATTGCATTACCTATTTCCTTGAACATACACAAAAAAGAGATTTGCTAAATAGCACAAGGAAGAGCCTTGTGTATTTACAGTCTCTGCTGACATCATGATGTTCTTTAATCTTCTCTGTCAAAGTAAGTCTTTTGTACCAAAAACCTTGCTCCCAAATTATTATCTCCTTGCCAAAGGACCACCACAGATTAATTCTATTCTCATTTCTCCTTCAATATGCCTTTGATAAAAAAGTACTTGAGATGCATATAGAGTTTTCAGTAAGATTTAGTTTTATGCAGATGGCAATTCTCTGCAAATATATAAATTTATTATAATCTCAAAAATAATTTCCTAGAATTTCAATATTTGTAAAGTAACTTTCAAAGGAGAAATAGGTAGTTATACTGAAAATGTAATAGAAATTTGCCCTACCATATTTAAAAATGTTTTGTAAAGCAACACAAAGTAATCAAAAGTGGTTTCTAGTGCAAAAGGAAGGTCAGATTAATCATGAGAATATAAGATATGTGATATATCAAATAAGTGATGTGTCAAGTTAAAAAGAAAAACATCAAAGATCATTTTAATTTCTATTACAGAGAAAATTGCAAATCTCAATGAAGTATTTGTATCTAATTATCAATTAAAATTGTGAAATTTCTGTATACTTCAGGATATGAAAAAATATATTCTAATACAATACCTATAGTTTTAAAACTACTGTATTTCTAAAAATATCTTGATAATATTTTAGTTTTAGTATTTTCTCTTCCAAGAACTAATGAAAGAAATTATTAGCCAAAGTATAAAAAGGTATGCACAAAGAGTGACCATATAAACATTGATTATTATATGAAACTTCTTTTTAAAGGACCTTGGTTAATTAATATGTTATGTTAGAAAAATTAAATCATAAGTCATTCAAAATATTTATGTAGTTATACATTTGATGGATCAAATTTCATAATTATTTGTAATGGAAAACAATCTAAAATACATGAGCATAAATTTTTACAAAAATATTTATGTATGTGTATCTACATGCAAAATCTATTATCATATACAAAAAGAATCTTAATTTTCTCTGGAAGGAATATAGATGACATTTTTACTTATAAAATTCATTAGCTCACAAATTTTTTTTATATAAGCTTTTAAATTTTGGGCATTATTTTATTTTATAATGAAAAATCTGTTTATAATGTTTTAAAATCAACTTTTAAACATTTTTCCCCAAAAGATTATGAATTAATTGTGTGTCAAAGACTATTTTAGGAATAGTGAATGACCTATTTCTAGGAATGACCTATTTCTAGGAATGACAGACAATTTGTACTTCATAAAAGTTGAAGTAAGTTATCATTATGGATTCATTCAATTCTAAATTCTGAGTTTAAAGTTAATTTGTATATATGTATAGCATGTATAATATACATAACATATATGCTTATAGAAACACAAAATTATATTAATAATTAGCAGAGATGCACGATTATACAGTGGCTAAACAGTTGTCAAGTCATTTCTGTTTGTCTGCTTCTATGTCATAATTTATTTGTGTAAAATCACTTAAAGTGATTTGTGTAAAATCACTTAAAGTGATTTGTGTAAAATCACAGGTCCTAGAATTTAATTGTATCTTTCTATGTTACAAATCATAATTTAGTCAATCACTATTAAAAATACAAAATGTAAGTTTCATGAAGTCCAGTCCTTTGTTTTCGTTACTATTTTTGTTAGATCCGGTATCTAGAATGAATCTGGCACATAATGGGTACTCAATAAGTATTTGTTAAATAATGAAAGTCATTTGGTAATGAAGATTAAGTTATCAGACATAAAGTAAAATTAAAACATGGATAATATTTTATGTATTTTATTTTACATTATTTTACTTTCTTTCCATGCAATCATAATTTATCAAAAACTTTATGGGATTTATAATTATATTTTTCATAGAACCATCTTATATATAGCATTGGAATAGCATTCTGATTTTTTCATTTTCAATATTACCTTCCAAATTCTACATTAAAGCATGATATTTTTTAAACTCCTTGGCCTTTGTAAAATGCCAAGTTTGATTGCACTGAGAATATGAGCAGTAGTTGTCATACTCTGAAATTATAAAGCCAAGAAAAAAAGAGACAAGCAAGTCAGTGATATCGCAGTGAACCACAGCTTATTGACTGAAGCTGAGTCACATAATAAAACTGTCATTCAAGCGTGGAAAGGAAAAACTCATATATTGCTTCTAATTTTTCTCCAAGATCAGTTTGTGGTAGGAAGTCCTGTGACAGCTGTCTGCTACTAGCTAGCTGATGTAAAATGGTCTTTTTATTTGCAGAAGTAACCTCTTTGGAAACATTTTCATTGAGATTTTCTTCAGTAAATACATACACAAAATCTGACCATACATAATTAATATAAATGAAAATGCATTAGCACATTAATCATCATTCAAATGCATGTCAGATTTTTTTAAATAAAGACTTAGTTTTCTAGATGTATAGATTGCATTGTGGGTTCCTAAAAATTAGTATGTTAATGCTTTAACCCCCAATATGACTGTATTTGAGAGAGAGGCCTTTAAGGAAATAATTAAGGTTAAATAAGGTCATATGAGTGTAATCCTCATCCAATAGGACCGATGTCCTCATAAGAAGACAAGGAGGCACCAGGAGGGTGTGTACATAGAGAAAAGATCGTGTAACCACACAAGATGGGAGCTGAGAAGGAAGCCATCTAAAAGCCAAGGGGAAAGGCCTTACTAGAAACTAACCCTTCCAGCACCTTGATCTTGCACTTCTAGCCTCCATAACTGTAAGGAAATAAATTTCTGTGCTTTAAGCCATCCAGTTTGGTATTCTGTTATGGCAGCTCAAGCAAACTAATATACTTAGTCTATGAAACAGATATTCAAGTCAAAATATTCTTTCTCAGCTTTTGTTCTTTTTATTATTCCAATGTAATTTAGAGTCAAATTTAGTGAAATTCCAAGCCAAGTTTCACCCAAGTATGTGTTCTTGGAGTTTCATTATCCTCAAGCACCACCTCTACTTTCATTTTTACCAACTTTCAGAGCACTGTTTCTGTAAGGTGTTGGTCACAAGTGCCCCTCGTTCGTTGTGGAATACACAAACTGAGAGCTCGGCAGGTTGTCAGGACAGAGGCATGCTTCCTAGAAGTGACTGGTGGAGGTCTCCCAAGAGAATATCTCCAAATTTCCGGAGACATCATTTACCTCTCATGTGGTTCCCTTAAGCAGAACATCTTCATGCCATCTCTGTGATTGAGTGCCCTAGGTCTGTTTCTCTCTCACTATGTTTTTACTTTCCATTCATGTAGCTGGAGTGCCAAATAAGCTGTAGTTCACACACAAAAAAACCTGCTCTTATTCTAGTTGGGTAGAAAAAAGTCTTATAAGCAAAAAGAACACATGGGTGGAAAAAGTCCTTTTAGGATAACAGATGGATCAATGTAAACACCTACTCATTCACAGAGCCAGAAGTTTTCAAGGTAAAGGAAAGAAAGAACTATGAATAAGAGCTATTTTTCCCAATATAAATCTGTTTTATTATTCCCATTTATTACTATTTTTGAGAAACATTTTTCAGAGTCAGAGAGTGTTTAATTTTTTAAAAGAATGAAGCACAAGAAAAAATAATTTATGGTGAAAAAATGTTTTTATATAAAATGCTGATCCCTCCATAAAACTTTAAAACAGTGAGGTTTTAAACTCACACCAGTCCTTGAAAGCAGAAAACTGTCCACAACTCAAACAAATTTACTTCTAATTGCTTAAATTAGGAAAGTTTGTATGTTTTCAAGACGTTTTGGTATATTTAATTGTAGACTGACTGCAACCTAAATTGTTTTAATTAGAGAAGTTCATATATATCATAGATTTTGGAATAGAAGAATTTGAAAAGACAAAATAATCGAAACATTAGAATCCATCTGAAAAAAGCAGATTCTAGGGCCATGCCCCAATAACAGTGTTAAAATTTTGGTCAGCAATATAGAAATAAAGCTCATAACTTTAATAGAAATATACCTGAACAGAATTTAATTAAGAAAAAGTGAGCCAAAGGAAATTGCATTGTTCATGGCCCTCAAAGATTGATGTGTGAGGATAATCATTTTGTACTTACGGAATTCTTCTTATGTATACTTCCCATTTATTGAGCATGTGCTATATTCCATACATTTCTCTAAACAAACCCACAAACAATGACAACAACAAAAATACAGATTAGGTATTATTTTTATTATACAAAAGAAGAAATTGAAAACAGGTTAACTACTTGCCCGTGGTCAAATAGCTAGGTAATGCGACGCCAGGACTCTAACCCTGGCAGGCTGGCTCCAGATTCAGCATTCTTCACAAATGTGCAACACTGAATCCCATATATGCTTCCCTGTAGTGTCAAGGAGACTTTCTTTTCCTTTTTTTTTTTTTTTTTTTCTTTTGAGATGGAGTCTCACCCTGTCGCCCAGGCTGGAGTGCAATGGCACCATCTCGGCTCACTGGAACCCCCACCTTCCGGATTCAAACGATTCTCCTGCCTCAGCCTCTCGAGTAGCTGGGATTACAGGCACCCACCACCACACCCAGCTAATTTTTGTATTTTTAGTAGGCACGGGGTTTCACCATATTGGCCAGGCTGGTCTCGAACTCCTGACCTCGTGATCCGCCCACCTCGGCCTCCCAAAGTGCTGGGATTACAGGCATGAGCCACAACACTGTCTGCCAAGGAGACTTTCATAGCTTGTCTAGGCTGGGTCCTTGTTTCAGAGAATTCTGCCCAATATTAACCCATCACATTTTTGACCTCCCTCCCTTGTGCCTTCATTAAAACCTAAGACTGAGCTGCTTTTCTAGACTGTAAAGCCTGTGTGCATTATTGTTTGATATCAAGGAAATAAGATCAAAGAGGGAAAGACTTCAGAATCCTATCAAAGAATTGCCTCTAAGTCTGTTCTAGAAATGTCTCCAAAAAGCCCATGTGGCTGTCCTCTCTTGCAGTGCACACAAAGGACTCCATACAATCAACAATGGTGGTGACAGGTGCTTTCAATGTTCATTATATAGCTAACCAAGGGCATATTCAATCGATTCTGAACTTCTGATAGTAACATGATTAACAGCCGTGTTAAATCAAATGTAACCAGCATATATTAGCAGTCAAGTTTTTCTGGAGAAGTGAAATATTTCAGAAACAAAAGCAACAACAACAATGACAACAACAAACCACCATCCCACTGAGTTCTGTTTCAATCAGGGCGTTTGTCTTTTGGTTGTTTTGTTTTGTTAATGTTAGAATGTTTTTCAATGTGCTGCTCCAGCAGTCAGGGCCTCATTGCTTTGATTTCAAATGTTAATGCTGCTATTTTGCTGAGGTTATTGTTTCTTAGGTTTGCTGCATGTATTAGTCTCTTTTAAATTATATTTTAAGACTGTAAGACTATTTGATAAATGAGAACTTTTTATTCCCCCCTGTAACCCTATCTAGAGTATTTAAATTAAAAAAAATCTCATTGTTTTAGCCTTTAAAAAAAATGAAATCGAGTTTTTTTTAGAAAAATTTTTTCTTTAATTTTTTATTTTAAGTTCTGGGGTACATGTGTAAAATGTGCAGGTTTGTGTAAAATTTGTAAATTTTTAAAATGTGCCGGTAAACGTGTGCCATGGTGGTTTGCTGCACAGATCAACCCCTTGCCTAGGTATTAAGCCCAGCATCCATTAGCTGTTCTTCCCAATGCTCTCCCCCCCCAGCACCCCACAAACAGGCCCCAGTGTGTGTTGTTCCCCACAATATGTCCACATTTTCTCATTGTTCAGCCCCCACTTATAAGTAAGACAATCCAGTGTTTGGCTTTCCGTTCCTGCGTTAGTTTACTGAGGATAACGGCTTCCAGCTCCATCCATGTCCCTGCAAAGGTCATTTTTAACCTCCGTAAACAAAAAAAGAAAAGTTTTAAAAGGAGAATTTTCTTTAAATCTATTTCATATTTATATATTTAATATTATTATAATGTTCTATATTATTTTTGTATGACTTCTGAAAAATATGCATAAATTAAAACAAGGAGTAAATGATGTTTTTTTAAAAGCTGCTCAGTTGGCTCATACACCTTTTCTTCACCTTGTTCTTCATTCTGGACAAAGTCGTATTTACTGCTCTCAGTTCTAAGAAGAAAAAAGGTCTGAAAATTTGCCCAATTTAAACCCATGCATATTACAAATAAAAAAGATTTTGTTGTTGACATACCAATAAAGAACAGTAAGTTCTCACTTCATGTCATTGGTAGGTTCTTGGAAACTCTAACGTTATGCTAAATGACTCACAGCAGTTCCTTGAATAATATCATTTCCTTTAATGTCCTTTCTCTATAATGTTAATGAGAAAAAAATGGTTTTGTTAAAAATCATTTTCCTTAAAGTTGCAGTTTCCAAGGACATATTGACAATGCATACATATTCTCTCAATTGATTGCGAATAGCCTTCTAAGACATTCAATTGATGTAGGCATAATTAATTACCTTCACCATGTAAATGTAGGGTAACATTTAACATTCATATTTTCAAGAAAAGATTATAGCTCTATAAAAATTTAAATCTAAAGAGAATTTATTCTAAAGCATAGATAAAGTTAACTGCGAAAATTACCATTTTAAATCACTGGAGTCTCTGGTCTTGCTTTACTGTACCATTTTCCTCTCTTTCATAGAAGTCCCATTCTTTGCTTTCAGGTATTTCAGACTTTTAATCCTTTCTTCCTTTCAAAAGTCTCCTAATCACTATATGCATTCAGAAATTTCCTGTTCACAGAGATAGTAGTTAGGTCATTCAAGACATTTTTCCAAATAAAAAATCGCTGAAAATCACATAAACAACCAAATCCTTGATAAACTAATTTTTAAAATCTTAAATCATGAAAATGTTACTGGAAAGTGGTTCTGATCCAGACTCCAAGAGAGGGTTCTTGGATCTCACGCAAGAAAGAATTCAGGGTGAGTCCACAAAGTGAAAGCAGGTTTATTAAGAAAGTAAAAGAATAAATGAGGGTTACTCCATAGGCATAGCAGCCTTGAGGGCTGCTGGTTGTCCCTTTTTATGGTTATTTTTTGATTATACGCTAAACAAGGGTTGGATTATTCATGCCTTCCCTTTTTAGACCATATAGTCGTTAAGTTCCTGATGTTGCCCTGACTTTTGTAAACTGTCATGGCGCTGGTGGGAGTGTAGCAGTGAGGACGATCAGAGGTCACTGTCATCGCTATCTTGGTTTTGGTGGGTTTTGGCCAGCATCTTTACTGCAAACTGTTGTATTAGCAAGATCTTTATGGCCTGTGTCTTGTGCTGACCTCCGATCTCATCCTGTAAGTTAGAATGCCTTCAAGATCTGGGAATGCGGCCCAGTAGGTCTCAGTCTCATTTTACCCAGCTCCTATTCAAGATGATGTTGCTCTGGTTCGCATGCCTCTGACAAAAGTCAAAAGTAGTGACAAGACAGTAATAATTTACCAAGTAAAAAGTTAAGAGAACACTAGAAACAAACACAAATATCACTACCACTTTTTGCTACAAAGGCATTCTCAGATTAAGGGAAAGTAAAACGTTTAGTTTTATGGCCTCAGCGAACAAAGGTAATTGAAATAATATCCTAGGGCTTTTGCAAGTGGTCTAGCAGTATAACCTCTCCATGATAAGCCTGGACAGCTATGAACTAAACCCTTAATGCAAGAATGAATAAGTGAAAAAGCCCACATAATAATATAGTGTTGGATTGAATTTCTAATATTAAGTTTGAATTTTATGTAACATGTCCTTATGTTGGTAATGTCTCCAGAAACTTTGTAAAAACAAGTGTAAATTCTCTCTGGAGGAATACGTATTCATTTTATGTCTTAAATTATTCCTGCAGATAGTTTTTGACATGCAATATTCCATAAAGAGTCGAAGATAATCAGACAGACAAAGAAACTACACCATATGATAAAGAACCAACAGAAACAACATACAACAGAAAAATACTTATATTTGTATATGTATATGTCCTAGGTGCGTGTATGTGTGTATATAAATAAATAACAATATCAATATCATATCCAATACTTATCCATACTATAAGCAATTATGCACACACTATGTGTATGTGTATACATATGATTATATTACATATATATACTATAATATATACATATGTATAGTATACACACACTATATGTGTGCATATATATGTGTGTATATTTAATATATATAAAATTATATATACAAATGTGTGTATATAATTATATAATATTAATTATATATACACAGACATACAATATGCATAGGTATTGGCCTTAATATATATGAAATACTATGAAATACTTTTATTTCATATGTATTACTTTTTTTTTCATGAACTCAATGTATATGAAGTAACATTCAGGCTATTTAAAAACATAGAGGATAAACTTAAAAATATATATAAAAGACAGATTTGAAAAAATAGGTAAAAAAGTTTTTTAATTAAATTAAAATTTTAGTTAAAGTGTAGAAGTTAAAGTGTATAAAGTAAGAACAAAATGAAATACATCCATATTTTTTAAAGTCTACAAGGCACATTAGACACAACATATGAGCAATAAACTAGAAGGTAGATCAGGAAAACATATGCCAAATATGGCATATATACACACATTAGCATAAAGGAGAAGACAGAAAAGGTGAAAAGGAGGAACGTAAAGGAGAAAACATTATCTTAGTAGGAAAAACAAAAGGGTACAAAGAGAAAGCCAAATTGCCTTCAGAAGGTGATTTACACACCCACTGGCCATGTAGATATTAATTGTATACGTGTTTGATTTTTATCATTTATTTTCATCTCTTATTTTAGCCAAATTTGGATAGAAGAAAACCTCAACAAAAAAATAAAATAATTTATTAGTTCACCTCAGTAATATTTAGTTTCCTGAAGTACTGATAAAACTTGCAGATTTCAGAATACAATTTCAAGGGTCAGATTGCTCGAGTTTGAAACCACGTAAATTACTATGTAATTGTTGAAAAATAAATAAAGTGCACTTCTCCGAGGCTTTATTTACTCCTGTATAAAATGTAGATGAAAACATTTCTCATCCTTTAGATGATATTGTGAACACCATAAAAAATTGCACAGTGTCTGGCACAAAGTAATTGCTATTTTTAGTAGAATTATATTCACAAGTCATGTATGAAAATTGTAATAGTATTTAATATATAAAATAAGTAGTATAGGTCTAAGTATTTGCCTACAATACAATTTCTTTGTGCATCTCGATGAGAAAATCCCTAAGGAGAAAGTCACAACTTCTTCCTCTTTCTTCCTTGGCTCTCTGCAACCTCCACCTCCCAGGCTTAAGAAATCCTCCCACTTCAGCCTCCTATGTGATTGGAACTACAGGTGCATGCCACCTCGCCTGGCTAATTTTTGTAGTTTTAATAGAGATGGAGTTTCGGTGTGCTGCCCAGGTTAGTGTCAAACTCCTGAACTCAAGCCATCCGCCTGCCTCAGCCTCCCAAAGTGTTGGGATTATAGACGTGAGCCACCGCGCCCGGCCTCTTCCTCACTTTCAAACACATACTCACTGTTCAGTACGTCGTTCCTTGTCATGATTATAACTTGTAGAATAGCTGCACTTTCTGCTTTGGTAAAGCTTAATTTTATCTAAATTGGGTTGGAAAATGCTATCAGATTATGCAAGGATATGTATTTCTAGTACTAATGCCTTTTTGAAATTTACAAGTTGCTAGTTGCAGATACAAAATTATCTTAGCTCTTCTTAAAATTGTTACACATTTACAGATGTGTAGTTTTCCCTTCCACAGTTGCAGCTGCCAAATTCTTTTTGCAGCTTCGCTTTGTCTTTAGGAGCATGTTTTGTAGTCACTCCCAGACTCTGCTCAATGTGTTGTCTCACATGTTAAGCTCTAATCTATCATTTCAAAAATAAATTTACACAATACCAGGATATATTAGTTTTCTTAGACCATATAATTCCTACATTTGATTATTTAGAGGAGTAATTTTCAGATTTCAAAATTTACTATAATCTATACCCTGCTTACATCAACATATTTCACAAAATGTCAAAAGATGATGTAAATATTTAATGGCATAGAAATGTAGATTGCTTGAAAAAGTAGCTGGAATGCTTTCCTTCCATGTAATCACTCGTACTTGCAATGTGACTTCTCATGTTTTTTCCTCTAGAAATATAATCTGTCTGCTTTTGTGGCTCACTTGAATCAGGATTGTCTTTTGAATACTTTTGACAAATAGAATGCAGTGAAAGAGGCATATGTCTCAAGAGGTCTTTTGTTCATCATCTTGGAATGCTGCCCAGACACTATGAGAATAAGTCCAGGCTAACTAACCCGTTGGATGATGAGAGACAATTGAGAATCCTACTGTCCCAACAGACAGAGAGCCAATCACCAGACATGTGAGTGAGACTATCCTACAGGAGCCAGTCTCCAGCCAACTGCCATCTGACTACAGATGCATGAAGGAGCTAAGCTGAAATTACCCAATCCTAGAGCATGTTGCAGAACTGCTGAGTGCCCAGTTAACCCAGATTCCAGACTCATGAGCAATATATATATACACACACACACACACATATATAGTATATAATGTATAGTGTGTGTATATATATATATATACACACACATTATATATGTATATATATATATATCTTGCCAATGAGTCTGGAATCTGGGTTAACTGGGCACTCAGCAGTTCTGCAAATGTGCTCTAGAATTGGATAATATGTATATATCTATACACATATGCATATGTATATATACACATATATGTACATACGTATATACATATATATGTGTATATATACGTATATACGTGTATATATACGTATATACGTGTATATATACGTATATACGTATATACGTGTGTATATATAGTATATACGTATATATGTGTGTATATATACGTATATACGTGTGTATATATACGTATATATGTATGTGTGTATATACGTATACATGTGTGAATATATATACATATAGGTATATGTGTGTATATATATGCGTACATATATATGTGTATATATATACAGACACATACATATGTACAGAGACACACACACACACACATACATATATATATACTCAGACACATATCAGTCATTCTGTTACACCAACAGATTTTAGGATAATAATGAAATCAATCCTCTAAAACCGATTTAGCATGAGTTTAAACCTGGTAAGTTAATGTAACTCTTACCATTAATTGGCATTTTAGTATGTATCTTAATTATGATGTTTTTGTTGTTTTTATTTAATCTCTGAAGTTTTTTAAAACCTAAGGATTTTCATATTAGTTAGAACCTTTAGTTAACCATTATCTTATAAGATTGTCATTTTTATTATTCAATAGATTTAGTTTTCAAGTTTGATAGATTCTAATTTGATACCTGTATAGGTCCACCTACTGGCTTTTTCTGTCCAAAAGAGATTTTCAAAGATTTAATTTCTTTATTATATGTATTTAAATAATTGTGCTTTCTGAACAATAAATGTTAATACTGTCCAAACAAAGAACCCATGTATAATATAGCTGTTTAGATAGTGTGTCTGAATTCCACTCTTTCAAAAGACAACTTTGTTCTCTTCTTTTAGTCACTTTATGGTATGTATTTGTCTATATCCTTTCTATATTCCTTAAAATCGAAGCCCAATTCTTTTAATTAATTTGGGATGTCCTAAAGTTGATGGAGTCTTTAACGGAGTTTTCCTGGAAATTCAATATTTTTAAATATTTAATGGTTACTTCATATTAATTTAAAGATTAATTCATGGACATTAAATATTCAACATAAAGAAATATTAAATAAAATAATACAACTATTTCTAATTTTATAAATGTTAATTTTTTAATTATTAAAAAACTATCTAAACACAGAAGTGATTCTCCAGGAATCTTAAGCAACAGACCATTGTGCAGAAATGTTTTGTTTCCAGTGTAAACAAAAAGTACTCCAACATATAATTTTCTCTAACAATCCTTTTTCATGTGTTACATTACAGAACAAAATTAATATTTTCCAAAAAAAATCTTTTACGGTTCTCTCAAAAAGAGTTAGCGCACATATTTCTGTGCTCCCAGTAAGTTTTTCTCTTTGTATTTATTTACTTGTCTCCCCAGTTCAACTATTTCTTAGGTTTCTGAAGCTGATGCCATTCTCATACTAAGGACTTTACAGAATTGTACAATCTAACGGCCCCTCAAGAGTGAATAAATAAATTCAGTCTGCATTAAGCAGCCTTACTGTTAATAAATGTTTCTGCTACTCAATTACTATGACCTTTAAAAATGTGTGATTTTTTTTTGCTTGAACTCTAGAAGTAAGAAAACATTTTATGTTTTCATTGGATGACAGGGTTAAGGGACTAATATTTTATTAGCTTTTGGAATAGATAAATTAAAAGATTACATCTTCTCATTTGAATACTTCTTTCCTTCCTTCCTTTCTCCCTTTCTTCGTCCATGTAGCCACAGCTAGACCACAAGAAGATATGTTGATAGTATTTGCAAGCTTACTAATCTGGGAAAATATGATAAGTATTTTTCCCTAAAAGTTTGAAAAATGATAGAATAAATATGCAAAGGGAAAGTATAAAATTGAAGAATAAACTTTGGATATTGCTGTATCTAAAATTGCCATGTTCTTAAGTACACAGAAAAGACAAATTCTGATATACAGTCTCCATTTTTTTAAAGAGATAGGCGAAAGAGATTAAATGTGCTCTTTGATTTTCTACAGAATGATTGGGTTGAAGCAACAAATTTGACAGAGACACAGGTATCTCTTTTTCAATGCCATTTCTTATTCATTTTTATACAATATATAAGTATATATATGATAGACAAATTAGAAAGATAAGTTATAGATAAATGGATAGATAGATAAGCAGATAGATGTAGTACAGTCTTTAAGTGCATAGGGGTAGTTTGCTCTGTTTTGTAAACGTTTGCTTCAGTAAACCCTCCTAGCATAATTTCTAGTTTTGCCAATGATTTCTTTGTATTGTTATATGTACTTACACATATGCATACTCACAAAGGTCTTTGACACACTGAAGGCTCTTTTCTAAAAATCTACTCTTACTATGACAGTGCATTCTTGCTCCCATCAGAGTTTCTTCTAGGTTTCCTTGATTTTATGTCTTGGAGCAAAAGCATAAAACATTGTTTTGATTTCAGATTTCATAGCAACTAAGAAAACTGGGAAACTGATGTAGTAAAACTATTGTTCAGTGTATAGGCCTGTTTATGCCTTTGATACAGCATTCTGTTAGAGCCAGTGAATTATTGGGGTGTATATGTCCTTCAATCTCCTAGAAAACTTTTAGAGCTCTGTGCACTGTTAAAGAAATTTGCCCTTTGCCTCCCTGTTTCCTTAAGTTAAAATTTGTCAACAGTTCTGAAAGAATGTTCTAGTGGAAATGTGAATATCTTATATCAAAAATTGCAAGGTTTTAGTCCAATAACAGGGACTAAAAAGAAATGATGTTTATTTATTAGTGTAACATTCATTATGTGTGAATACTAAAGAGTATGTAAGAATTTGACATCTATAACATACTTGAATTATGGGAGGTCTTACATGCTTATCTATGCATAGAAAAAGGATATTCGATGTCAAAGAGGCATCTAATTCATTTGAACCAGTCTCATACTGTAGGATATTTCAATTATTTTGTGCATAAACACCATTCTAGGAGTTTGAATAAAATCTGGGGCATCAATGTTCAGAAGTGTGTGAATTTTCAGGGATATTTTTAAACCTATGCAAAATATTCATTGGAGGAAGCCTAAAGGAAGAATCAACTTGTTATATACTTATTGATTAGAAGTTAGCATTTTGGAACATATTCTTAAGGAATGACTGCATAAGATACAGCCTGTATTCACTTGGCACTTGGCTGTAGGCTGACAATAATGAATGATATGGACAGAAGCTGTCAGGAGGCATGCCCATAGACAGGGTCTTCATTAAGAATAGTAATGGTGATACTTACAGCTCCCTGCAGTGACACCACAAAGACAAATATCCATACATGGATACTGACAGATGGTGAATGACAGTTTTATAATTCGATAGTAAGTTGGAAGCTAGCAGATAATGTTCATGTGCTAGATTTATATTTTACTCACTTGTGGGCTTTTGAGAAACTTACTTTCTATAAGAATTATGTCCGCCTTTGTATTCTTTATCTTCTCTACTGCCATGTATTCATTGCATTTGTTTCCTTTTTAAAACACCGAAAATATTCTTTTTGATATTCTTTCCAGAATATTTCACCATGACCTTTACAAAATGAGCTTTCTGAATTATTTGAAAGAAAGCATTAGACAAATGAGAATGAACTGAAATTTACTCAAATTTCTCTAGATATCATGATGAGTTTATTTTGAAACATTTTTGTAATGTATTTGAAATCAGAACAGTTCCAAATCAAGTGTATAATGGAGGAAAAAATCGTATTTATTCCTTTTAGAGAAGTGGAATAAATCAACATTAGCAGGATTGTAGACTCTCAATTCCCTTTAATCACAAAGAAGTTTAAAATATACACTTTTATATCCTTGTACCAGTAGAAATATCTCACAGCAGTTTCCAATAAAATATAGTCGTACAAAATAATGAAAGATTTATTTATTTGATTTATTTTATTACATAAGTGATTGCTTACAATAGACTTTTTCCAGTTTTTTTTAAACCACAAAATTCTAACAAACTGTATGAAAAATTTCAAAATAGTATAATAGAAACATTTCCTAGTGACCCCAGGTAGGCGTGTGTGGTATAAATATGAAATAATAGAGTGTACTAGGCTGTTCTTGCATCGCTATAAAGAAATACCTGAGGCTGAGTAGTTTATGAAGAAAAGGGGCTTAATTGGCTCAGCGTTCTGCAGGCTATGCAGGAAGCACAGTGCCAGCATGTGCTCTTCTTCTCATGAAGGCCCCAGAAAGCTTTCAATCGTGGTGGAAGGCAAAGGGGAGCAAGCACACTACATGGTATGAGTGGGAGCAAGATAATGAGGGATAGGGAGGTCCCAGACTTTTACATAACCAGAGTTCATGTGAACCACTTAAGGGCGAAGTCACTTATAACCAAGGAAATGATGTTAAACCATTCATGAGGGATCCACTCCCATGATCCCATCGCCCCTCCTCAGGCCCTACCTCCAACATTGAGGATTACATTTCAACATGAGATTTGAGGGGACAAACACTCAAAGGACATCATTCTTCTCCTGTCTTCAAATCTTACATCCTTCTGACATTGCAAAATACAATCATCTACTGTCAGTAGTCTCCAAAAGTCTTAAACTTGTTCCAACCTCAAGTCCAAAGTCCTAAGTCTCACCGGAGACTTATCTCCTTCCACTGATGAGCCTGTAAAATCAAAACAAATTATTAACGTCCAAGATACGATGGTAGTACAGGCATTGACTAAACATGACAATTTCAAGAGGAAGAAATTAGCCAAAAGAAAAGGATAATAAGCTCGACAGAAGTCTGAAACCCAGCAGGGCA
This sequence comes from Homo sapiens, assembly GCF_000001405.40. Taxonomy (NCBI): domain Eukaryota; kingdom Metazoa; phylum Chordata; class Mammalia; order Primates; family Hominidae; genus Homo; species Homo sapiens. Next base: position 171,012,616 of record NC_000004.12, on the reverse strand, counting down.
GTCATTAAATCTTTAAACTCCAAAATTATCCCTGACTCCATGTCCTGCATCCAGAGTGATAACAGATTGCGTATCCCCTCCAAATCATGCTGCGATGTAGTCCTCAGTGTTGGAGTTGGGGTCTTGTGTGAGGAGTTTGGATTGTTGGAGCAGTTTTCTCATGTGTGGCTTGGGCTATCCCCTTGGGGATAAGTGAGTTCTTGCTCTGAGTTCACACAAGGTGTTCTTTAAAAGTGTGTGGCATCCCCCCACTCCTTGCTCCTGCTTTTTCCATGTGATGTGCTAGCTCCTGCTTTGCCTTCTGTCATGTTTGTAAGCCTCCTGAGGCCTCCTCAGAAGCAGATACCACTAGGCTTCCTGTGCAGTCCACGGAACTATGACCCAATTGAAAAATCTCATAAACTATACAGCCTCAGATATTTCTTTATAGCAATACAAGAATTGACTAATATACAGAGCATACTGGGACAAGGGGTGGACTTCCAAGGCCTTGGGTAGCTCTGCTTCTGTGGCTTTGCAGGATGCATCCCCTGAAGTTTCTCTCACAGGCTGGAGTTGAGTGTCTGCAGCTTTTTCAGGAGCAGGATTCAAGCTGCTAATGGATCTACCATTCTGGGATCTAGAGCAAGGTGATACCCTCCTTGGCATTGCCTTAGTAGAAAATCTCTGTGAGTGCTCTGTCCTTTCAGCAAGCTCCTGCCTGGGCACCCAGGCTTTCCCATACATTCTCAGAAACCTAGGTGGAGGCCACCAAGCCTCCTTCACTCTTGCATTCTGTGTACCTGCAGACTTACCACCTCCTCCAGAGGGCACCAAGGCTTATAGTTGGTGCCCTCTGGAGCAGTGGTCCAAGGTGTACCTGGGACCCTTTGAGCTGGAGCTGGAGCAACCTTGATGCAGGGGGCAGTATCTCAAAGCTGTGCAGGCTTGCAGTGTCCTGGACTTAGGCCCTGAAACCATTCTTTGCTCCCAGGCCTCTGGGCCTGTAATGTGAGGGTCTGTCTTCAAGATCTCTGACATGCCTTTGAGGGTTTTTTTTCCCATTATCTTGAATATTAGCACTTGGCTCCTTTTTAGTCATGTTAATTTCTCATTCTGCAAGTAAGTGGTTGCTCCACATCCTACTTGGATTTTTTTTTTTCTCTGCTACATGGCTAGGCTGCAAATTTTCCAAACTCTTATGTTCTGCTTTCCTTTTGAATGTAAGTTCCAAGTTTAAGTCATTCCTTTTCTCCCCTATCTGATTATAGGCTGTTAGAAGCAGCCAGGCCTTGAATGCTTACTGCTTAGAAATTTCTTCCACCAGATACCCTAAGTCATCACTCTCATCTTCAAACTTACACAGATCCCTAGCACATGAACATAAAGTAGCCAAGTTTCTTGTTAGGGCATAACACAGATGGCCTTTACTCCAGTTCCCAATCACCTCTTTATTTCCATAAGACCTTGTCAGCCTGGACTTCACTGTTCATATTTCTATCAGTATTTTGGTCACAACCATTTTACTAGTCTCTAAGAAGTTTCAAACTTTCCTTTACCTTCTTGTCTTCTTCTGAGACCCTCAAGCTCTTCCAACTTGTGACTGTTAACCAGTTCCAAAGTTGCTTCCACATTTTCAGGTATCTTTATAGCAACACCCACTCCTCCATACCAATTTGCTGTATTAGGCCATTCTTGCATTGCTATAAAGAAATCCCTGAGGCTGTGTAATTTATGAAGAAGATTGACTGGCTGGTCGTTCTGCAAGCTGTACAGGAAGCATGATGCCAGTATCTTATTGGCTTCTGGTGAGAGCTGTAGAAAGCTTTTTTTTTTTTTTTTTTTTGAGATGGAGTTTTGTTCTGTCACCCAGTGGCATGATCTTGCCTCACTGCAACCTCTGCCTCCTGGATTCAAGCAATTCTCATGCCTCAGTCTCCAGAGTAGCTGGGACTACAGGCATGTGCTGTCATGCCTGGATAATTTTCATATTTTTTTTAGTAGAGATGGCATTTCACCATGTAGGCTAGGCTGGTCTCAAATGCCTGACCTCAAGTCATTCACTCAACTTGACCTCGAAAGTGCTGGGATTATAGGTGTGAGACACTGTGCCCAGCCTGTAGAAAGCTTTTAATCATGGTGGAAGGCAAACGTGAGCAGACACATCACATGGTGAGAGAGAGAGCAAGAGAATGAGGTGGGAGAGGTGCCCTGTTTTTAAACAACCAGATCTCAGGTGAACTGAGAGAGAACCCACTTATGACCAAGGTCAGCCTTAGCAACATAGCAAGACCTTGTCTTTAAAAAGATAAAAAATAAATATTAAAAAATTAGATAATATTAAACAATTAAATAGCAAGTAAAACATATAATATTGATTTGAACAAGAATGCAAAAAACCTTTATATTTTAGTAACTTTAATAGCACTTTCTTAATAACTTTTTTTGAAAATGGGACCCCACATTTTTGTTTTAGAGTAAGTTTCACAAATTTAGTTGCTTTACCTTATTAGAGGCATTTTCCCTTACTGTGAAAAAGATTACATGCATTTATTTCTAAATGTGTGCTAATTATAATTCTGCTCACCATTAATTTCTCAATATAAAAACAGGGAGTGTTTTAATGCATTGTGTGCATTGTTCCACGCCATTTTAACACATGTGAAGGTATGTGTAAGCACTGACACAAACGAAATTTAAAAATACTCTGTGATCACAAAGCTATCTGTCATGGAACCCTTTGATAGTCTCAATCATGTTCCTCTCTCCAAGCCCATGTAACCCATGGTCAGCACTAACCATGTGTATGTACCTCTTTTGTATAAATATTTTACTAATCACTCTAGGTATTACATTAGACATATAAAATTTATCACAATCTACAGATGTCAACATTTTACTAGTTTGTATGAAGTGTAGAAAACTTGAGGCCAAGGGGTGGATCAGTTGAGGTCAGGAGTTTGAGACAAGCCTGGCCAACGGGGTGAAACCCGTCTCTACTAAAAATGTAAAAATTAGTCCAGGTGTGGTCGCAGGTGCCTGTAGTCCCAGCTACTTGGGAGGCTGAGATGAGAGGATTTTTTTAACCCCGGGAGGCAGAGGTTGCAGTGAGCCGAGATCGTACCATTACACTCCAGCCTACATGACAAAGCAAGACTCCATCTCAAAAAAAAAAAGCAGAAAACATCTGCCTTTAAGTTTTCCTATTGTACTCTTGCTATAGAATTGTCCTAAATATTTTCATTACATACATTGAGAATGACATCAATGTTTTAACATTTGTTTCAACTGTCAAATATAATTTTTAAAACTCAAGAAACTGTCAAGTCTATTCTGTTTACCCATATTTTAAAGTTTGCAATTTTTTTTTTTTTTTTTTTTTTTTGCTTACTTCCTGATGTTCCGGAGTTTCTTTTTAAATAATTTCTATTTTGTTTCAAGAACTTCCTTTGGCTATTTCATTAAGGGTAACTTTTCTGGTGACAAATACTCTCAGCTTCCTTTCATTTGAAAATGTCATGATGTTTTCTTTTATTTTCAAGGAATATTTTCACTGGATTTAGAATCCTGGTTTGATAGTACTTTTTCTTTTAGGATGTCATCATTTTTCATGAAAAATCCACTTTTATTCAGATTGGTTTTCCCTTATAAATAATATATTGCTTCTTTCTGGATGCTTTTAATTTGCTTGTTTGTTTCTTTTTAGTTTCAAAAGTTGATTATAATGTTTCTTGTAATTTCTTTGGATTATCTGATACAAAGGTTCACTCAGTTTCACACATTTTTATTTTAAGGTACTTTTTGGACCAAATTTGTGGGAATTTCAGCAATTATTTTTTAAAATTCTTTTTCAGCCCTCCCTTTTTTCTCCTCTCATTTTGATACTTCCATTTTACAAATATTAGATATTTTGTTATAGTCCTACAAATTCCTGAGTCTCCAACAATTATTTTTCAGTCTATGTTCTCTGTTATTCCAAGCGGGTCATTTTTATTTAATTATCCTCAAGCTCACTGGCTGTTTTCTTTGTCCTCTCCATTCCACTGTAAAGCCCTTCTTTTGCATCTTTTATTGCATGTATTGTATTTTTCAAATCTAAGTTTTACATTTGGTTCTTTTTATATCTCTATTATTCTGCTAGGATTTTCTTTTTAGTTGTTTCAAACAGGTTTGTAAGTGTTTAGTGATTTTTATTGTTACTGCTTAAAGATCCTTTTTGGAAAATCTCTTTATCTGTGTTATTCTTGGTGTTGGCATTTATTATCTTTTCTTGTTCAAGTTGTGATTATTTTATTTCCTGGTATGATGAGAGTTTTCCCTTGTATCCTAGACATTTTTTATTATTATATTGTAAGACTTTGAGTAACCTTTAGATCTTCTCTCTTAGCTGACTTTCTATAATGCCTACCAGTAGGAGAAAAGAGAATACCCCACCTGCTGTTGTCAGGTGGGAGTAGAATCCAAGTTTTTCATCTGGCCATTGTTTACACCCTAGGGACTGCTTTCTTACTGCTGGATAAAGGATGGGAGTTCAGACTCCCCAGTAGACCTCCACTTACATATCTTGGCTGAGAGTAAGGGGTACACCTCATTATTGCTTCCATGTGGCCTCCACTAATACCTTTGTTACTTTGGGGTGGTGTTAATATTTATGGGTTCCACTAAGCTTGTGAGACATCCTCTCGCAAGAAAGGGGAGGAGTACCTCCTTATTGCTGGGTGAGGGTAGAAATCCAAGCTCCAACATGGTCTCCAGTGATACTGCTGAGGGGAATTGGGCTTGCTATTATGAGGGGAATACGGAAGTCTCAGTTCCCCATTTATTCTTCTCTGAAACCACATGACACACAGAACAACAAAAACAAAGACAAAGAACACATTAGAGTAGTCCCCCTTCTACAGGGAAAATACATTCCAAAAGCCCTGGTGAGTGCGTGAAAGCACAGACTGTACTAAACCCTATATATACTATATTTTTTTCCTGTACCTACATACCTATGATAAAGTTTAATTTGTATATAAATTAGACACCATAAAAGATTAAAACAGTAACTAATAATAAGATAGAACAATTATAACAACAGTGTAATGAAAGTTATGTGAATGTTGTCTCTCTCTTTCTGAAAATATGTTATTGTATTATACTAATGGTAAATGAAACTGTGGAATTTAAAACTACAAATTAAAAAGCAAAGCCTGCATTTACAGAAGCACAAAGAATAGAATGGCAGCTGACTTATTACTAAAACCTGTACATACCAGATGACAATACATTTATATTTTAATTAATTTATATTTTAAACAATACTGACTACAAAAGACAAAACAATAAAAATGCTCACCTTAAAATTCTATTCTCCACTAAATAAAAATGTTTTAGATCAGTAAGAGCAGAGAAAATGAATCCCTACCTGACCTGCACTACAAGAAATGTTAAGGATGTTTATTACTCAACAGAAAAATCCTACCTGATTTATGTATGGATCTACATGAAAGAATAAAGATGGCTAGTAGTGATACTTTTGAAAGTGAATATACAATATTTTATATTATTTTTCTTTATAACTGTTAAACAAATAATAATAATGTTATTTTTATACCATATGAAGAAAAATATATGGCAACAATAGCACAAAGAATCAGAGAGAGCAAATACTGGTCATATTTTAAGATTTTTACATTATTATTGATGTAATATAATGTTATTTGATAGTAGAAGGCAATAAGTAAAAGATGTGCCTTGAAATCCTAGAACAACAATTAACTAATAAAATACAGACATATAGCTAAAATGCTAATACTAGTGATCAAATGAAATTATTAAAAAATAATCAAACCATGAAAGGCAAGAAATAAAAATAAACTGCACATAGAACAGATGGGAGGCACAGAAAATAAAAAGCAAATTGGAAGACTTAATATCAAGTATATTGGTAATTACATAAAATATAAATTATTTAAACATGTGAATTAATGTGGAAGGCACAACCCACAAGCCTGACACATAAGAATTATGTGTTTTCTCTGCCCCTGGTTTGTCTCATTTGGTCATTATGAAGATTTTAAGAGAAGTCTAAAATTTCTGACACTGTTAGCATCTTTGATTAATCCTAGGGCCTACAGTAATGTAAATTAAATTTTATTTGTGAATTCAATTATAACTATAAGTAAAAAATTAGATAAATCTGTTTTCTTTCTTGTGATCAAGTGCTTTTCTCTTCAGTCCTCCGGAAACCAGCCAATCTAAAGTATTCCATACCTTTGTTTATGTATATGTTATCAAATGAACTAAGATCTCTAGATAGTAATTGAGTTTGTAATTCCTTTTGCAATTAATTCTATCAGAAAAAAATATTGTTGAATTTTATTTCTTATGCAATTTTCTCTATTTATATTTATACAATATTGTAACATCTTGGTTTTGTCATTCATTGACACTGTTTTGTTAACATTAATTTTCAAAACACTTCTGAGAATTGAAAGTTTATAATAATTGCCATTTGCAGTGAATAACTCTTCCCATTTGAAAGTATAAAGTTAGTCAGTGAGGTGTTTAAGCCTATAAATTACATATCCTTGATTAAATAGTGTCTATACAGTGTAATGAAGATTTTGAACAATTTGACAAGAATAGTTGGGTTTCCATTACACAAACAAATACAATGAAGATATATGCACAAATTAGAAAATCTAGAGAAAATGGATAAATTCCTGGAAACATACAAACTCCCAAGATTGAACCAGGAAGAAATAGAAACCCTGAACAGACCAATAACAAGTGATGAAATTCAATTAGTAATAAAAAAAATTCCAACGAAAGAAGCCCAGGATTAGACAGTTTCACAGCTGAATTTTGCCAGACATACAAAGAATGGCAGATAACCAATCTTATTGAAAAATCGTATCAAAATAACTGACAAAAAAAATTATCTATAACTCATTTTACAAATACAGTATCACCCTGATACCAAAATCAGTCAAATACACAATAACTCCAAAATAAACAAACAAAAAAACCTATGGACCAATATCCCTGATGGATATAGATGCAAAAAATTCTCAACTAAGTACTAGGAAACCAAACCCAACAGGACACCAAGAAGATAATTCATTACAATCAAATGGGCTCTATTTCAGATATGCAAAGATGGTTCAACATATGCAAATCAATAAATGTGATTCACCATATAAACAGAATTTAAAACAAAAACCATATGGTCATCGCTATAGATACAAAAATAATTGTATAAAAATCCAACATCCTTTTATGATAAAAGTCCTCAACAAATTAGAAATCAAAGGAACTTACCTCAAAATAATAAGAGCCATATATGACAAACCAATAATCATCATCATACTGAGTGGGGAAACATTGAAAGCATTTTTCCTAAGAACTGAAACAAGGCAAAGATGTCTACTCTTATCATTCCTATTAAACATAGTAGTGGAATTTCTAGCCAGTGTAATCAGGCAAGAGAAAAAAAAATAAAAGGCATCCAAATTAAAGAAGCGATAGTCAAATTTTTTTTCACTGTTGACATCATCCTACACCTACAAAACCTTAAAGACTCCTACAGAATACTCCTAGACTTGATAAGTGACTTCAGTAAAGTTCCCAGATCCAATCAATGTAAAAAAAATTAGTACCATTTCTATACACCAATAATGATCAAGCTGAGAATCAAATTAATAACTCAATTCCATTACAGTAGCCACACACACACTAAGAAAACCTAAGAATATACTTAATCAAAGCAGTGAAAGATCTCTACAAGAAGAACCACAAAACACCGATGAAAGAAATTGAAAAAGACACCAGCAAATAGAAAAACATCTTATGCTCATAGATTGGAAGAACCAATATCATTAAAATGATTATATTGCCCAAAGACACTTATATATTCAATGAAATTTCTATCAGATTCATTTCATTTTTCACGGAATTAGAAAGAACAATATTAAAATTCATGTGGAACCAAAAAAGAGCCCAAATAGCCAAATAAATTCTAAGAGACATTACATTGCCTGACTTCAATTTATACTATAAGGCTATAATAACTAAAACAGCATGGTACTGATACAAAAGTAGACACACAAATCAATGGAACAGAATAGAGCACCCAGAAATAAAGCCTCATCCCTACAACTAACTGATCTTCAATAAAGTCAACAAAAATAAACAATGGGGAAAGGACACCATATTTAATAAATAGTGCTGAGAAAACTGGCTAACCATATGCAGAAGAACAAAACTGGATCCCTGACTCTCACCATATACAAAATTCAACTCCAGATGAATTAAAGACCTAAATTTAAGACCTGAAACTATAAAAATTCTAGAAGAAAACCTAGGAAAAATTCTGGGTATCAGCCTAGGTAAATAATTCATGAAGAAGACCCTAAAAGCAAATGCAACAAAACAAAAAATAGACAAATGGGAATTAAACCATAAAACTTCTATACAGAAAAAGATAGAATCAACAGAATATACAGACAACCTACAGAGTTGGAGAAAACATTTACAGATGATGCCTCTGACAAAGAACTAATACCCGGAATCTACAAGAAACTCAAACTGCTCAATATGAAGAAAACAGCCTAATTTAAAAACTGGGCAGAGAAAACGAACAAACATTTCTCAAAGAAAGACATGCAAGCATCGAACAAAAACATTAAAAAATGTTCCACGTCACTAATCATTAGAGAAATGCAAATTAAAACCAAACTGAGATCTCATCTTACACTACTCAGAATGTTAAAAAGTCAAAAAACAGACATGGATGAGTGCTGAGAGAAGGGAATGCTTATACACAATTAGTGGGAATGAGAACTAGTATAACTTCTATGGAGACTAGTACAGTGATTTCTCAAAGAACTACAAGTAGAACTACCATTCAACCCAGCAATCACACTACTAAGTATCTACCCAAAAGAAAATAAATTTTTATATAAAAAAGACAACTGCACTTGTATGTTTATCACAGCAGTATTCACAATAGCAAAGTCAAAGAATCAACCTAAGTGTACACAGACTGCTGACTGGGTAAGAAAATGTGGTGTAAACACCGTAGAATGTGAAGTAGCCATAAAAAATAAAATGGTGTCCTTTGCAGCAACATAGATGGAGCTGGAGGCAATTATCCTAGTGAAACAACTCAAACAGAAAGTCAAATACCACGTGTTATCAATTATAACTGGGAACTAAAGAATGGATACATGTGGACATAAATACGACAATAATAGACACTAGGGACTCCAAAAAAGGAAAGGGTAGGCAGGAGCGAAGTTTGAAAAATTAACTACTGGGGATAATATTCAATATTTGAGTGATGGATACACCAAAGTCCAATCCCCATCAACACAAAATATACCCATACAACAAACAAACATATGTATCCTTTGAATTTAAAATAAATATAATTTTATTAAGAAAAAAATATACAAAAAGAAAATCTTTCCAACTTGGTAGCACGGTCTCATGGGTGTACCACACTGTGAAAACATAACAGCATTAGGTGACTTTGGCTAAAATTCCATTATAAAAGAGCTTTTTGAAACTGGATTTATGGGATTTTACCATCAAAATCACATATGATATATTTATCAGAACTTTCATGACTATAGCTCAGGTCTACCAAATCAGAATTACTATAGGTTTGGTCAGGATTCCACAATTTTAACTAAGTAATTCCTATGCACTCTAAGGTGTTGCTAACACTGATTAAGATACAACTTCCTTCATGGTCCCCAAATGGCACCTATTTGCCTTAGGTAACCTAGAAATAGCATAATCATTGGATCGCCTTCATGTGCAAATAATTGTAATATTTTTCTCCGTAAAAGTTGGACTGTAAGTATATTGAATCAAATCATGCAGTACCCTTGAAAAGGTCGGATACCAACCTGAAGTTATTATATTGCTTCCTTATATTTTTAACACTTGTTGATATAATTAATGATTTCCTGATGTTTATAAAATTATATTTTTCAAATATATTTCAAAAATTTAGCACAAGATATGTTTTAAAAATTTATAACATAATGAACAACTTTCTTATGTCTATCAAATATACTCTTCAAATATATTTCAAATATTTAACACAAGATAGACTATAAAATGGGAAATGATTCGTATTTTATCTCAATGAAACACTTGACTTTAAAGTAGCAATGCAAGTGATCTATTTTTGCTTCATCAGCTAAAATGACCTTGATGATTTATAAAATTGTTATTCATTTACTTATGATAGAAAACTGATAGTCAGAAAACTTACAAGGGGAAAAAGAATATTGAAAAGCTGATGAGTAGAAGATGGGAAATTTTCAGAATCATTAAACTCTTTCACACAGTATTTTATCTATATCTTTCCAATATAAATAAAATGATAGTATATCAAATAAAAGGACATAAATTTAGTTGTCATCCTGATATAATTCATTCTAGGAAACTAAACAATTCATGTAACAATTTTATTTCATAAATAGCTTACTAAATCATTGAAAGTTAAGGACAAAAGCATATATTTAGAATTGTAGATTTCATTAGCAATTTCATGCAGACCATTTTTACTGCTTATATGGAGTTTATTTCAAACACATGGATTGATACACTATCACTGTTCTCTAAATCTAGTATTCTGTCAGGGGATTGTATGTCTTTTGAGTTTAAAAATAACCTCATTGTTAGATATATGTAAAGGGGAAACAATACTTTGAAAGAAAAAAACAACATATTTCACTGAAATATTTCTGAAGCAGCAAATCAAAGTAAGTTTATAAAATATAGTAGTAAAACAATTAATTTTATTTTCATTTTTAATTGAAACATGAATTTTAAATAATCCTTTGTTTTCATTTATGTTAGCACAATCTTTAGGAATAGAAATTACATAGACTTTTCGTGTTCCCATGAATCTCTATAATTTATCAGTAGCTTTGCTTACAATAAAAGTTTTAGAGGTAGAGTTTATATGTGTGACATAAATTATAATTCTTCAGTAAAGGAATGAAGTCTACAGTCAAGAAATAAATGCCAAGAAAGGTCTGTAATGAGAGATGTTTAGCAATAAAAAGAAAGAAAAAACACGCTCAAAACATGTTCAATATCTTCATTTGTTTAATTTAAAACATCTTTATAGTATTTTTAAGTGATGCATACAATGTAATAAATTAATCTTGACTCAAATAATTTTGTGGTGTCTAAATCTGAGTTTAAACAAAGAATCACCATTAAATTTAAAGGTTGGGCCTAAATTAAGTATAAACAAATATACGATTTCAAAGACATTGGATTAATTCTTTTGTTTTGTTTTGTTTTTGAGATGGAGTCTCACTCTGCCACCCAGGCTGTAGTGCAGTGGCATGATCTCTGCTCAGTGCAACCTCCGCCTTCCGGGTTCAAGCTATCCTCCTGCCTCAGCCTCCTGAGTAGCTGGGATTACAGGCGAGAGCCACCATGCCCAGCTAATTTTTGTATTTTCAGTAGAGATGGAGTTTCACCATGTTGGCCAGGCTGGTCTCAAACTCCTGACCTCAAGTAATCCACCCGCCTCAGCCTCCCAAAGTGCTGGTATTACAGGTATGAGCCACTGCGCCCGGCCAAGATTAATTCTTTTTTTTTTATTTTGAGATGGTGTCTTGCTCTGTAGTCCAGGCTGTAGTGCAGTGGTGCAATCTTGGCTCACTGCAACCTCCACCTCCCGGGTCCCAGTTCAAGCAATTCTCTTGCCTCAGCCTTCCGAGTAGCTGGGATTACAGGCACGCATCACCATACCCAGCCAATTTTTTTTGTATGTTTTAGTAGAGATGGGGTTTCACCATGTTGGCCAGGCTGGTCTTGAACTCCTGACCTCGTGATCCACCCACCTCGGCTTCCCAATGTGCTGGGATTACAGGCGTGAGCCACCATGTCTGGCCAGGATTAATTCTTAACAATCTAAAAGTAGTATGCCCCTTTCCTTGGTCTTTAAGCCACTCTCGCTTTTGCTGCTTTTACTCTGCTATAGCATTCCCTGAAGAGAGTATTTATGCTAAGGCCCATTTTGGTCCCAGAGCAGTAGGCATTTCCCTATGCTTTCACACTGTTGGGGCTAAACTCTCTCATGGCCTTCAACTTTGCCTGCATTTCTGAACACAACTGTCCCATACTCTTCTGAGATAGAAATGATGTCCCAGACCTGGATTCATGAAGCATAATCTTTGCTAGTTCCCTCTAAATCTTCACTTGTGTGTACATTCTACATCATTCAGAATAGTCTACTTAATTTTGCGGTAGCAGGTAATTCTCAAATCTTCATAGTTTAAATTTACAAGCATCTATTTCTTCCTTGTAAAATGTATTATCACCTACAACCGTGCTTATTATTGTAGTTACTTAGGTTTCCAGGGAGAAGAACCTGAGTGAATATTTCAAATATTACCGGGTGAGGAAAAAAGAGAGCAAGGAAGGATATTGCATTTACAATTGTCTAGCCTGGAAGTGAAAAATGTAATTTCTACTTCAAGTTCATTGGACAAACCAAGTCACAAGGTTCCATTCAACCACATGAAGCCTAGAAAGTGCATTGTTGCCATGATATAGAATAAAAGTGGAAACATTTGGTGAACAGAACAGAACTACCACACTCACTGTCATCTTTACCCATTTAAGAGAATTTAACACACCTCCAACTTTCTCTACCACCCACCCACACCGCAAGACGAATGGGATTCTGCTATTTTTTTTTAATTTATGAGATTCCTCTCCAATGAGACCACTAGAAACTATTAAATTACTTATTTATAATTGTTGTTCTTGTTTTAGTATCAACAGTAGAGGCTTTGCTAATTAGCACTATGAACTTAACACTGGGTAAAATCAGTGTTGTTCAAGATATGTGCATTAACTAAAATAGTTCATATACATCCCTCACCATTATATTTTAAAAGCATAAAAATGTACTACACACTTTACTATTTGTATTAAGTTTCAATTTCTGTGTTGTCAAATTACCAGAAACATAGACGCTTAAAGAAACACAAATTGGCTCACAGTTCTCCACTTCAGAATTCTGGCAAGTCTCAGCTTATTCCTACTTAGGGTCTCACAAGGCCAAAATCAAGGTGATAGCACGGCTGGGGTCTTATCTACATGTTCTAGAAAAGAATCCACTTCCAACCTAATTCAGCTTTGATACCATGTTCTGTGCCTTGAGACTGCAAGAATGAGGTCCCTGTTTCTTGGTGGTTGTCAGCTGGGCATCTCTCTTGACCCCTGAAGTTTGCCTGCATTTCTTCTCATATGGTCCTTCCACCTTCAAAGAAACAGTGGCACATTAACCTCCCCTAATGCTTCAAATTCATCTGACTTTCTCTCCTGCTTTCTTCTCTGTCTTCCTCCTCTGCCACTACCTGGAGTAAGTGTTCTGTTTTTAAAGAACTCAGGTGACTGAATTAGGCCCACCAAGGTAGTGTCCCAATCTTAAGATCAATTGTGTTATATAACATAACATAGTCATAGGAATGAAGTCTGAAGATATCTATGGGTTTTCTCATACTCAAAGTGGAAGGGGTTATACAAAGATAAAGGTCATTGGAGGTCATTCATAAATTCTGCCCATGTACAATTTTTTCTTAGATTTTGCATTCTATGCTTGATCTTTAAGAGTTCCTGAGTCCTACTGCTAATCCTGAGGATTTAGGTTCATCAATAGGTACTTAACAAAATCTTATCACTATGATTTTATGATTTTGATAGGAGAATCTTACTTTCAAGGTGCTCAGGAGCACAAAAAAAAAAAACCAAAAAATAAAAACAAACGATAGTTTCAAGTGAGAATACATAAGAATGTGTGCAGTGTTGTCACTGATACTGTTGGTGAGCTCTCCCAAGTCTCATCCTTCAATTTAGATCACCAGGAGCTACAGCAGGCTTTTTGCAGCACACGTGGTACCTATCACTTCAATCACAGCATTTCTCTTCTCCGTTTGAGGTGATCTCTGGCTGACACTAAGGAAACGTTTTCTCTCAGCTTCAAGCAGATACAACTAGGAAAATGTGAGCATTAAATTTCTTGTGGTCAACGCTTATTCAATGGTGGCATAAGTTTCTTAGGCTGCTACAACAAAGTACCACAAACTGGGTGCTCTTCACATGATATTCTCCTTCTCTGTGTATCTGTTCCTATGTTTCAACTTCCAAGAGACACAGTCAAATTGGATTGGAGCCTACTCTGATGCCTTCATCTTAATTTGGTCATCTGCAAAGAGCCTATTTCTAAATAAGGTCACATTAGCAGTTGCTGGAGGCTAGAGCTTCAACAACTTTTTGGAAGGACAAAATTCCATCCATAACAATGGGGATAATAGCAGGAAAATGTCTCAATGCTCAAATAACAAGATTTTGAGGTGTATGATTTCACACAGGATCGGTTGCCAGTTTCCTCCATAATAACCAGCACTACATTGTGTGTTGAGCAGGGGGTGGTTTCTGGCCTTCTCTGTGTCACTCTTCTCACTTTTTCACATGTACTACCTGAGATCACATTCAAAATAACTTATTTGCACTCAAGTCCTTGTCTCATGATCTCATACTTCTAGAGTAAACCCAAATAAATCTGTAGATAGCACAAGTAGCTCTTAAAAAAATCATAGTGCAAGCCCAGTATCAGACTACTTACTTGCCAGATGACAATAAAAACCATTTTGCTTATGGTAAAAGACCTTGTGCTACTCCTGGCATGCTGTTGAATAACAATTCGTAAGACTCTCATCTATAATAGATTAAAGTGAGATACTGGTGAAAATGGAAGACTGTTTATGCATTAACTTTAGCACTTTAAATATATGGTAAAATAGTAATTGTAGTGATTGTAGAGTTGGCTTTTAATCATCTGGGAAGTACTACAGAGCTCAGGTGTGCCAGCTCTCAGCTCATGGGTGGAAACCAGAAGACCTCCTTGGCAGAGAATCTCATCTTCTGAAGCTGGACAGAAAATCATATTGGCGATAAGGCCCAGGATTTAATCATAAGAGCATTGATGGAAAAAGAGGCTGACATGTTCTTAAAACAAAGTCTGGCAGGTCTTCTAAGCTATAGACAGGAAAAGAAAAGGAAGGAGTGGGAGCTAGAGATGTGGACAAGAACATCTGTGTATATGCACTTGGCACTTTTACACCCTAAGATATCCCAGAATCCTGGAGACAGGAAGAAGAAGGAAACACTTTACCAAAGGAAAAGGTCCTTGCCATTCATTGAAGAACACTTAAGGCCATACCTAAGTCAGATGACTCCCAAGATCATGTGTATTCTTTTCAAGATCTATCATACCTCTCCATGGCATATAAGCCATTGGCTGTCTGGTTTTTGCACAGTTTGAGTAGAGAAAAGTAATCCCAGCTATAGGATGCATTAGCTTGTTTACTAAAATAGTTGCAGGACTTCAATACTACATACCAGCAGGAATTGAGGGAACATGATGAGAGTAGATATTGAGGGTGTTGAAAAGAAGTGAGAGGTGTTGACCAGAGACAGAATAAAGCCCTGGAGGATATGTTTATGGACAAAGGGACACTTTCTCATAATTTTGTTTTTAATATAATAAAAATGATACCTATAGTTGATAATAAATCCCTTCAGGGACCATTTCTTAAAATTCAGACATGACAATGGCCTATAGAAAATGAGTTGGAAATGCTAGAAATGTGTTGTCAAAATATATAGGAAGATGTCAGTAAGCTTAAAGGCTGGAGCATGTTAAAATAAATTTTACCATGTGAGAATAGAGAACTCACCCTATGTTAATGTTCTTCCAGAGAGTCCATAAAGCATGCCCTTCACCAAAGCACAAATATTTTGCATGTGTATCATTCCATAGTCAGTGGCAGCTGCAGCTGTAGACTATGGTTGAAGGTAGGAGATACTTTCATATAATTGAGTCCATTCTTGTAAACAAGAGTGTTTTATTGGTGACGGTTCTCCACAGAAATAGAACAAATAATATATAAATACGTATGGAGAGAGAAAGAGAGAAAGAGGAAGACATAGACAGAAAGACAGATCTATTTGAAGGAATTGGCCCTGATAGTGGAGACTTGCGAATCTAAAATCTTCAGGGGGTCTAGCAGTCTGGAGATCCAGGGAGGTTTTTTGGCAGAACTGCCTTTTCTTCAGAGGAGGTGAGTCTATTTATTTATTCTTTTCCATTAAGGCCTTAAACTAATTGGGTGAGGCCTACTCATATTATGGAAAGTATTCTGCTGCACTCAAAATCTACTAATTTAAATGTTAATCTTATATAAAAAAATACCTCATGGAAACTTCTTGAATAACATTTGACGAGATATCAAGGTACTGTGGCCTAGCGAAGTTGATGCATAAAATTAATCATCACATTGTGATTAAATTAGAGAGATTAGCCGATAGTACCTAACCGTCCAGAATAAGGTAGATAAAATTAATTATCACAGTGGGCCACTAAATGTCTACCAGGGGATTGTGACCCACAGGAATCTGTAATGATGGCTAATAGATAAGAATGATAGAATGACAGTGAGGCTATAACAAAAAAATAAATATCTGGTGAGCAGAAAGCTAGTATCAGCCAACATAATGGAAAACTATAATTTGTTTTTCAATATCCAGAGTACTCATGCCCAAATACTATTATAAGTTAGTTCCTCTATGGAAGGAACCTTGAACACCACTGCAATTATATACAAAAGCTGATCTTTCCATCTTTCACCAGTATCTCTATAGCCATTGTTCTGTGTGACTGTTTATTAGAAAGAGGGATATCAGATCTTTTTGAGGTTATTAGATACAGGACCTGAGCCTCCATTAATTCTAGGGAAACCAAAATGCCATCATAACTTAACTGTAGGACTGAGGGTAAATGGTGGCATGATAAAATTTTAGCCCAAGTTCTTCTCACAGTGATGGATCTAAAAAAGCTGTAGAACCACCTCATTTCTTTTCCCCACCACCAAAGTACATAATTTAGATAAATATAACTTGCAGCTGGAACAACCTCACATTTGTTCTCTAATCTTTGAAGTGAGTTCCCTAATGAAAAAATTAGGGTAACTGATAAGCCCTAAAACTCTACACATCTTTCTCCTGGAAAAAAATAGTAAATCAGAAGCCAAATGATACTCTGGGTGAAACAGCAGAGGTTAATGCTGCCTCAAATACACAAATGATTCAGTGATATTTCACCTTATTGTATTCTCAATTTAATTCACTTACATAGTTCTTAAAAAGGAAACAGATGGATCATGGCAGACGACAGAGAACTACGGCATAATTAAGCATGTGAAAACTCAATTGCAGCTCTGTGCTGGATGTAATATCATTACCAGAAGAGATCAATACCTACTGTAACTTTTGGTAAGCTTTTATTGATCTGGAAGATACGTCCTTTTTAATCGCACAAAGAGTGTAAATGTAGTAGTTCAAATTCACCTAGGAAAATATAGACAACACTCACTATCGTATCACAGGGGTAGACTACCTCCATCCTCTCTAGAAGAAGATACCGTTTTCATCTTGGCATTCAACAGAGCATCATTGTGGCCCTCTATTGTAATAATATTGTGTAAATTGGATTTGGTGAGCAGACCATGGCAAATAATTTCCTAGCAAACATGGCTGCCAAGAGTCAGAGATAAAACCTATAATCATAATTACACTGCCATATTGGTTATTACTTTAGTGATTTAATGATCTAGTCCACATCAGAATATGTACTCTAAACTCAAGGTCAAGTTATTTTTCTTTGTACCTACTACCTCCAACAAAAAGGCACAGTCTTGTGTGGAACTTCTTGGATTTTGGAGGAAGAATATATCATGTTTAAGAATATTGTTTTAGCCTATTAGTTAGATAATTCTTAAGGCTGTCAGTTTTGAGGTTCATAGAAAAAGAACTCTTAGGAATAGATTTAGCTCTGTTGCTACTTGACCATGAGACCTAGAAGATTCTATGTTAATAACCAAACTGTAGAGTTTCTATGAAGTGTTGAAACATGCTTTTTAAAATTTATTCATTTTATTTTTATAGATTCAGTGGGTATATATGCAGATTTGTCACATGGATATATTGTGGAAAGCTGAGATTTGGGCTTCTAATGTTCCTATTACCTGAATAATGAACATTGTATCCAGTAGGTAATTTTTCAACTCTCAAGTCCCTCCCAAGCCCCTCTTTTAAAGTCCCCAGCCTTGACTATTTTTCTCTGTTTGTACATGTCTCCCATTTATAAGTGAGAACATGTGGTATTTGATGTTGTGTTTCTGAGTATTTTGACCTCCAGTTACATCCATGTTGCTGCAGAAGACATAATTTTTTTTCTACGGATGTGTAGTATTTCATGGTATTCCACATTTTCTTTATCCAATCATCTTTTGATGGAAACTTAGGTTCATTCCATGACTTTGTTACTGCGACTAGTGCAGTGATAAACATATGAGTGCAGATATATATATATAACAATTTCTCTTTCTTTGGGTAGATACCCAGTAGTGGGATTGCTGGGCCTAATGGTGGTTCTATTTTTACTTCTTTGAGAAATCTCTATACTGTTGTCCATAGAGGTTGTACTAATTCATATTCGCACCAACGGTGTATAAGTGCTCCCTTTTCTCTGCATCTTTGTCGACATCTGTGGTTTTTTGACTTTTTAATAATGGCCATTCCGACCGGTGTGATGTGGCATCTCATTGTGGTTTTAACTTGCATTTCACTGACGGTTAGTGATATTGAGCATTTTATTTTATGTTTCTTGTCCTCTTGTATATCTTCTTTTGAGAAATGTCTGTTCCTATCTTTTCCCCACTTGTTAATGAGATTATTTTTTCTTGTTGAGTTTAGTTCCTTGTAGATTCTGGATTTTAGTCCTTTGTTAGATGCATAGTAACAGGCATTCCTGAGGGAGAAAAAGAAGAAAAATTAAAATATCTGGAAAACATTCTGGATAGGATAATTCAGGAAAACTTCTCTAGTCTATCTAGAAGCATACTTCTTTAAATATGTTTCTTACCAAGAAGGTGAAAAGCTTTGTTGCAAACAGTGTTATTTCAGGGAGTGGATGTATCATATGTAATGAACTTGTCTTGAGATGCATAACAGCTCTGTGTAAAGGGCAAGCCCATTTATGCAATTCACAATACATACCCCCAGTGCTTTGGAACAAGGCTCTTCTTTGTAGCATAAACCACAAGGTTAGGTGACTGCACCTGTTCTCATAAGCTCAGATCTCTCAGATACACCATATCACAAGGTGAGACAGGTACAGCATCAATCTATCACACTATGAAAATAACATTTTGGGATCACACCAAGTAAGTCCAGAGGACAGAATTAATTTATGCAAATAGGTGGCTAGAATCCTATGCCACTTCTCACTTTAACACTGACTCCTCTCTAAATTTAGCATCTAATAGCTTCATAAACTTTCTTTATGATGAGTTGAAGAAAGAGAAAGAAAACTGGGACCAGGTTCGCAGGTGGTTCAGCTTAATGTGTTAATGGGACCAAAAAATACTGGAGCTGCATTAAGTGGCACTTAGGGGTGACTGTAAAGAAAAATAATGAAGGAACAAATCCTTCCTGTACACAGATTTATAAGTAGTGCACTTCGGCATTTACATTGTATATAGAGGGATGGTCTGAAATAAAGATATAGACTCTTGGTCAGTGGTAAATAGTAAATGATTGATTGGTCACTGGTATAGATTAAAAGATTCGAGACAAGCAGTTTGACGGAAGAGGTATTTTGGCTCAAAGTGCTCAGATGTTGTACCTTACGTCAATTTCCACCTGAGATCATTCATTACAGAGGAGACAGTTATCCAGTGATGGTAAGTCACCCTCTATCGTCAGCAACCCCAGTACTGCACAATAGGCCCATGATTAGGAAAGTCACAGTGGCAACATGTACTTCTTTTCACAAAATATTTTAAAGCAGCTGTTTCTACGAAATTCCAAAATTATTAAGTTGTATGGATCAAAGAGTTTGATGAAGGTCCAAGACATTATAATAAACAAACAGCCACTCAGTGGCAACTCGATTACACCAAACATCTTCCAAGTATAAAATTCAGATGTATCTGATATAATAAAATAAAATGACTCCATATAATATCAAAAGGAAACTTTGGTGAATTCCTCTGTAGAACAGAAGACTGAAAAACTTTTCTATGACTCAAAATCCTAAAAAAAAAAATAAAGGAAGAGTGAGGTTTCACGGAACTAAAATAAAGGGTAGGAGGAAGAAAGGAAGGAAGGAGGAAGAAAGAGAGAGAAAGAGAGAAAGATAGATGATAGATAAGGGAAAGAGAAAGAAAGAAGAGAGAAAAGGAGAAAGAAAATAAAAGAAAAAAATAAAAGTAATGAAAGAGGGTTTTCTGAAAGATGGATGACTAGATGCAACCAGGAAGTGCCACTCCCACGGAGAGGGACCGGAATTTTGACTAAACCAACATAATTTTAACACATTTTCAGAGAGAAAATGCTGAATGTGGATGGAAAAAGGATGCACACACCAAGCCTGAAGAGGAAGGAAGCTGGGAACCCCTGTCGGGTACCCAAATGGAAGGGCTGGCTACTGGCCCTGAATGGGTCCTGGAGAAGGGGTGAGTGAAGGAACTGGGGGACTGCCCACTCTCTCCATAGACCTCTGGTATCCTGGTTCCAGAGATTAGGTGGAGATAAGGCTTCAGCAGGTATGGAGTGATCTTTGTGCATAGGACAGCTTCTATGGAACCCAGCCATAAGTGCCATCCCCCAGGGCTCCCCATCTTCCTCTGAGCGACTTTGGCACCAGCTAATAGATGAACTGGAAGAAACAGGGCTGGCTTCCCTGCAGGGTTGGGGTACATCTGTCCTATAGGCCTACTTACCTGCCAGCCTCTCCCAGGCTCCTGCTTGGCCACTCTGCAAGAACATGTACACAATGCAGCCCCCACTACCCGGTACTGATGCTTTGCTCCATCTGAGTGCAACCTAGCAGACCAGGAGCCTTTCAGATCCTCCAGCACATCCAGAACTCAACCCTAAGTATCTGGAGCAGGGAGCTGAGAGCAGGTCCTGGTGCCTAAGAGCTCTGGCTCGTGATTCAGGAATACTAAGTTGGGATCGCTGCCCAGCACTTGAGGGAGGAAGGAGGCCACACCCCCATAAAACTAAGAGAGGTGAGTTCCACAGGTTGCAGGCTGTTGTGGGACCTGGTTGTGCCTCCCTCCACAGGGCTGGTCTAGTAAGAGTGTGACCTGTCTCCCTGAAAAACCTCTACCTAAGGGAGCCCCCACTCTGAAACGCCTAACAACAACAACAACAACAACAAAAAGTCAGACACAGTGCCAGTGATCGGAAGTGACCCAGGAGTGTAGCCGGTGAGAAAGTCACATCTCTCCTGCTCACAATACAGAGCACAGCTGCAAACCAGAAGATGCACAAAAGGCTCGTGCAACAGAGTAAGAGCCTATCTACTACTCATTGCTCACAAGCGCTATCTACTGGATCACAGTCCAAACTACAACAGCAAAAAGCAGCTGCTTCTCTCTCTTGGGAAGCCGAGGGCAAGAATTCAACAACAAAGACCCTGTACAGAGCATTATAAAAACTTTCAGAAGTAAAATAAACTGACTATACTCAATTTACCTACAGTTAAAGCAACACCAACCCTCCCAAATGAGAAATAATCGGTGTAAGAATTCTGGCAATTCAAAAAGCCAGAATGTCCCCTTACATCCAAACAAGCTTAGTAGGACTTCAGCAATGGTTCTTAACCAATCTGAAATGGCGGAAATGACAGATATGGAATTCAGAATCTGGATAGCAAGGAAGCTCATCAAGATTTGGGAGGAAGTGGAAACCAAATCCTAGGAAGCCGAGCAATCCAGTAAAATGATTCAAGAGCTGAAAGACAAAATAGTAATTTTAAGAAAGGCCTAAACTGAATTTCTTGAGTTGAAAATTCAATACAAGAATTTCATAATGCAAACAGAAGTATTAAGAGCAGAATGCATCAAGCTGAAGAAATAATTTCAGAGCTCAAAACTGGTTCTTCAAATTAACTCAGACAAAAATAAAGAAAAAGAATTTTATAAAATGAACAAAACCTCCAAGAAACATGTCATTATTTAAAGAGGCCAAATCTATGACTCGTGTGCATCCCTGAGAGAAAAGGAGAGAGAATAAGCAACTTGGAAAATATATCTGAGTTTATAGTTGATGAAATTTTCCCTAATCTCACTAGAGAGGTAGATTGCAAATTCAACAAATATAGAGAACCCCGGATATATACTATAAAAGATGACCCTCCCCAAGACACATAATTGTCAGATTGACCATGTTCAACACAAAAGAAAAAATCTTAAGGTCACCTAAAGACAAAGGTCAGGTCACATACACAGGGACCCCCATCAGGCTGCCAATAGATCTCTCAGCAGAAACTTTACAAGCTAGAAGTGATTGGGGCCTATTTTCAGTATGTTTAAAGAAAACACATGCCAACTAAGAATTTAATACCTCATTAAACTAAGCTTCAAAAGTGAAGGGAAATAAAATCCTTATCAGACAAGCAAATGCTAAGGGAATTCATTTCAACTAGACCACACTTATGAGAGGTCCTTAAGGGAGTGCTAAACTTGGAATCAAAAGAATGACACTTGCTACCACAAATAGTCACTTAAGCACATATCCCACAAACACTATAAAGCAACTACACAATTAAGTCTACATAACAACCATATAACAGCATGATGACAAGGTAAAAATATCACATATCAACACTAACCCTTAATGTAAATGAGCTAAACGCCCCACTTAAAACACATATGAAATGGCAATCTGGATAAAAAGATGAGAATCAATAGTGTACTGTCTTTAAGAGACCCATCTCACACATAATGACATCCGCAGGCTCAAAATAAAAAGTTGAATAAATATCTGCCCTGCAAACAGAAAATTTTAAAAAGCAGGAATTGCTATGTTTTATATTAGATAAAACAGACTTTAAACTTTTTACAATTAAGAAGCATAAAGAAGGACATTACATAATGATAAAGGGTATAATCCAACAAGAACTAACTATCCTAAATGTCTGCACACCCAGCATTGGAGCACCCAGATTCATAAAACAAGTTCTTCCTGACCTACATGAAGACTCAGACAACCACACAAAAATGGTGGGAAACTTCAAAAATCCACTGACAGCGTTAGACAGATCATTGTGGCAGAAAACTTACAAAGAAACTCTGGATTTAACTCAACACTTGACCAATGGACCCAACAGACATCTACAAAATATTTCACCCCATAACCATAGAATATACATTCTTCTGAATAAAATATAGAACATAGTCCAAGAAAGACCACATGCTAGATCATAAACAAGTTTCAATAATTCAAAAAAATCAAAATAATACCAAGCAGATGTTTGACCATAGTGCAATAAAAATGGAAATCAGTATTAAGAAGATATCTTAAAACTACACAGATATATAGAAATTAAACAACTTATCCTGAATAACTCTTGGATAAACTTTGAAATTAAGGCAGAAATCAAAAAAATCTTTGAAATTAATAAAAATAGGGGCATAACTTATCAAAATATCTGGGATACAGCTAAAGCAGTATTAAAAGGAAAGTTCATAGTGATAAACACCTTCACCAAGAAATTAGATAGACCTCAAATTAACATTCTAACTTTTTTCTAGTTTCTATCCTAAAGAAACTAGAAAAAAAAAACAACCTCAAAGCTGGCAGAAGAAAAGAAATAACTAAAATTAGAGAAAGGTTGAATAAAATTAAAATGTAAAAATTCATACAGAAGATCAATGAAAGCAAGTGTTTGTTCTTCAAAAGACTAAATAAAATTTATAGACCCCCCCCCCCACAGCTAGATTAACAAAGAAAAAGAAAGGCAAGACCCAAATAAACGCAATAGGAAATGACAAAGGTGGTATTACAACCAACCACATAGAAATACAAAAGAACCTCAGAGACTACTATGAATGACTCTATTCATACAAATTAGAAAGTCTAGAGAAATTCCTGAAAGCACAAAATCTCCCAAGATTGAATCATGAAGAGAATGAAACCCAGACTAGAACAATATTAAGTTCTAAAATTGAATCAGTAATAAAGATCTTAACAACCACAAGAGCTCTGGACCAGATGGATTCACAGCTGAATTCTACCAGACATACAAATAATTGATACCAATCCTACTGAAACTCTTCCAAAATATCGGGGAGGATGGGCTCCTCCCTAAATCATTCTATGAGCCAGCATCAGCCTGTACCAAAATCTGGCAGAGACACAATGAACAAAGAAAACTTCAGGCCCGTATCTTTGATAAATATATACACAATAGACACGAAAATCTTCAATAAAATATTAGCAAACCAAGTTCAGCAGCACATCAAAAAGTGAATTCGCTACAATCAAGTAGGCTTTATTCCTGGTATGCAAGCCTATTTCATCATAGACAAATCAGTAAATGTGGTACATCACATAAACAGAATTACAAGTAAAAACCATATGATTATCTCAATAGATGCAGAAAACGATTTCAATAAAAATAAATTTCCTTCATGATAAAGGCTCTCATCAGACTAGGCACTGAAGGAACATACCTCAAATAATAAGAACCATCTATGACAAACCCACAGCCAACATCTACGGAATGGGCAAAAGCTCTAACTACTCCCTTTGAGAACTGAAACAAGACATGCATGCCCACTCACACCACTCCTATTAATAGTACTGGAATACCTAGTCAGAGCAATCAGGCAAGAGAAACAAATTTTAAAAAATCCAAATAGGAAAAGAATAAATTAATCTCTCTTCACTGATTTGTTTCAATACCTAGAAAATCTTAAAGACCCTGCCAGAAGTCTTCTAGAACTAGAACTAATAACTGACTTTAGTAAAGTTTCCAAATACAAAATCAACGTACAAAATTCATTAGCATTTCTTTACAACAACAATGTTCAGGAGAGTGAAAAAATCCCACTTACAATAGCCACAAGGAAAATGAAATACCTAGGAGTACAGCTAATCAAGGAGGTGAAAGATCTGTACAAGAAGAACTAGAAAACACTGCTAAAAGAAATTAGAGACCACACAAATAAATGGAAAAATATTTTATGCTCATGGAGTGGAAGAATCAATATTGTAAAAATGGCCATACTGCCCAGAGCAATCTGAAGATTCAACACTATTCCTATCAACCTACCAATGTAATTTTTCACAGAATTAGGCAAAACTATTCTCAAAGTCAATTGAAACAAAAAAAATAGCCAAATAGCCAAAGCAACCCTAAGCAAAATGATCAAAACCAGAGGTATCACACTACCCTACTTTAAACTACACTATAAAGCTACAGTAACCCAAACAACATGGTACTGGTACAAAAACAGAGACATGGACCAATGATACAGATTAGAAAACTCAGAAATAAAGCCACACACCTACAACTATCTGATTTTTGTCAAGGCTGACCAAAACAAGCAATGGAAACGGACTACCTACTCAATAAATGATTCTGGGATAACAGGCTAGCCATATTCAGAAGACTGAAGCTGGAACCCTATCTTTCACTATATACAAAAACTAACTCAAAATGGATCCAATTTAAATGTAAGACTTCAACCTATAAAAATTCTAGAAGACAACTTAGGAAATACTCTTTTCAACACTGGCCTTGGCAAAGAATTTTTGCCTATGTCCTCAAAAGCAACACAATGAAAACAAAATCAGACAAATTGGACCTAATTAAACAAAAGAGCTTCTACACAGCAAAATAAACCATCAACAAAGTAAACAGACAACCTACAGAATGGGAGAAAATATTCACCAACTGTGCATCTGACAAAGGTCCAATATCCAGAATCCACAGGGAACTTAAACAAATCAACAATAAAAAAAAGAATAACCTCATTTAAAAGAATGGGCAAAGAACATGAACAGACACTCTCCAAAAGAAGACATACAAGCAGCCAACAAACATATAAATAATGCTCAGCATCATTGATCATTAGAGAAATGCAAATCCAAACTTGAAGAGGATACCATCTCACACCAGTTAGAATGGCTATTATTAAAAACTCAGAAAACAACAGATGCTGATGAGGCTGTGGAGGAAAGGAAATCCTTATACGCTCATAGTGGGGATGTAAATTAGTTCAGCCACCGTGGAAAGCAGTATGGAGATTTTTCAAAGAATTTAAGATAGTGTTGCCATTTGACCCAGCAATCTCATTAGTGGATGCATACCCAAGGGAAAACAAATCATTCTACCAAAAAGACACATTAACTTATATGTTCATTGTTACACTATTCACAATAACAAAGACATGGAATCAACCCAGGTGCCCATCTGTGGTAGACTGGGTAAAGAAAATGTGGTACAAATACACCATGGAATACTACACATCAGTAAAAAGAATGAAATCATGTATTTTACAACAACATGGATGCAGTTGGTGGCCATAATTGAGCAAATTAACACAGGAACAGAAACTCAAATACCACGTTTTCATTTATAAGTGGCAGCTAACATTGAGCAAATATGGGCATATATATATATGAACAACAGATACTGTAGACTACAAGAGGCGGGAGAGAGTGAGGTGGCCACAGGTTGAAGAATTACCTATCAGGTACTATGCCCTCTGCCTGGGTAACGGGATTCATACCCCAAACCTTAGCATTATGCAATATTTCCATGTAAGAAACCTGCATATTTACCCCTTGTATTTAAAATAAAACTTAAAAAATAGTTTTAAATTTTGATGACAAGTAAAAAGAATAGAAAACATAAAGAAAAAATGGCCGGGCACGTGGCTCACCCCTATAATGCCAGCACTTTTGGAGGGGGAGGTGGGTGGATCACTTGAGGTCAGGAGTTTGCCACTAGCCTGGCCAACATAATGAAACCCACTCTCTACTAAAAATACAAAAAATAGCTGGGCATGGTGGCAGATGCCTGTATTCCCAGCTACTCGGGAGGCTGAGGCGTGAGAATTGCTCGAACCCGGGAGGCGGAGGTTGCAGTGAGCGGAGATTGGAGTGAGCAGTAGAGTGCACCACTGCACTCCAGCCTGGGCAATAGAGCAAGACTCAGTCAGAAGGAGGAGGAGGAGGAGGAAGAGGAGGAGGCAAACAACAACCAAAGAAAGTCATCATTTTTGAATGGCAAAATTATTCTAGACTTCCTCTACAATACTTTAAAATTCCTTCTTTAAAAAAAATCAGCACTTTTATTACAATGCGAACATTTTATTAAACATTCCTTCATTTTACCATTTTTAATGTATTTAGTGGCTTTGAAAATTTTCATGGTATTATTACATTTTTAAAAGTGAATTTGTTAGCTATATTCCAAACTTATTATGTGCGATAGCAATCTACTTTGAAAAATTCCTCATGGAACGTGGTAATTTGTCAGGTGCCTCCAGTGAGATAACTTGTGTTGATAAATATAAAGAAAAAAAAAACTTGCCCCAAAGCATAAGCTTGTTCAGTGCGAAAGTGGCTATCTTCAAAACTGAAACAGATCCCTTAATATGTTGCCTCTCAAATGTGGCAGTGATGAACGGGCTCACAACAGATTTCTTTCTCAGTTGAGTTTTATTGAACTGTCTTTAATCTTTCTACTGTCTATTATATCCTTGACATACTTGCCAGGTTTAATTTTTTGAAGGGTAGACAAAAAAATTACTCCTCTATTTAAAAGAAAAGAGTCTAGGTTCCTTAGAAAGGCATCCAAGCATCTCTCATTAATCCCAACCATAGTAAAATTACTTTATAAGCAATATTTTAAAAGATAAGTAAACAATCTAGATATAATTGCAACATATATTGTAGAAAAGTGTTAATGTTCTTAATATAAAAAATACAGAATAAAAATATAAAGACCAACAACATATGGAGAAAAATTGCAAGGCATAGGAACACAGCACTGAAAGAAAAAGAAACAAGATGGATAAGATGAATACTTTAAAATGTGGTTACATATATGGTGGGAAGAAATAGTATAGAAGAGCAAGGATAGTAATGGAGAATCTCTAAATCTCCTTTTTTTATTTGACATTGGAACTAAATAAGTTTGTTACTGAAGTCCTTCATAAAAAAGATGAATATAAGTAAAAATTGCATTGTTTGACATGGCTTATTTTTTACATGTGAATTTATAGCTAATATGCTCACAAAATTAGGTGTTAGAATATAAATTTATTTGAAAGCAGGAAGAATAGATTATTGTTAAATTATTTCACATAAATCCAAAATAAATAACTTAAAAATAATTCCATAATTGCAGAAAAATTTCAAGAGAGATTAACACTCTTGAAATTTAAAAACTTAAGAGCTTTGAGAACTAATATAACTGGTAGTTAGAATTTCTATTGATAGCCATAAAATGTACTTTTATTTATGCCTAGATTTATATATATTTTGTTGCTTTAAATGATTCCAGTAAGAGTATCATTCATATTTTAGCCCCTACTCATTTCCACAAAATCTTATAAGAAATGGGTAATTAAGAAATTCATTCATAGGAAAAAAATAGAAGTTATCACATATTTTTTGCTTACAGGATTCTGTGAATTTCTACTTTTAAATTTCTTACTCTACTTAGCTTTAGATATTAACATATAGTTAATAATACAACTAGATTTTAAGATTTTTAAGGGATTCTTGGACAAATATTTTTTTAATATAGCAAAAGTATCAACAAGAAAAAACAATCCAATTTTTATTTATTTTTATTTTTTATTTTTTGAGATGGAGTCTCACTCTGTCCCCCAGGCTAGAGTGCAGTGGCCTGATCTCTGCTCACCGCAAGCTTTGTGTCCCAGGTTGAGGCCATTCTCCTGCCTCATCCTCCCGAGTAGCTGGGACAACAGGCCCCTGCCACCACGCCAGGCTAATTTTTTGTATTTTTAGTAGAGATGGGGTCTCACCGTGTTAGCCAGGATGGTCTCGATCTCTTGACCTCGTGATCTGCCTGTCTCGGCCTCCCAAAGTGCTGGTATTACCACCATGAGCCACCAAGCCTGGCCAACAATCCAATTTTTAAAATGTGCAAAGGATTTGAATACACGTTTCCTCAAAGAACATATGCAAATGCCCAAATAGGCACAGGAAAAGATAGCATCACTAATCATTAAGAAAATGCAAATCAAGCCCGGTGTGGTGGCTCACGCCTGTAATCCCAGCACTTTGGGAGGCCAAGGTGGGCAGATCATGAGGTCAGGAGATCAAGACCATCCTGGCTAACATGGTGAAACCCCGTCTCTACTAAAAAAAATACAAAAAATTAGCCAGGCGTGGTGGCGGGCGCCTGTAGTCCCAGCTACTCGGGAGGCTGAGGCAGGAGAATGGCGTGAACCCGGGAGGCAGAGCTTGCAGTGAGCTGAGATCGAGCTACTGCACTCACTCCAGCCTGGGTGAGAGAGCAAGACTCCGTCTCAAAAAAAAAAAGAAAATGCAAATCAAAACTACAGTAAGATGAGCTATCAATTCACACCCATTAAAATGGCTATTATTATTCAAAAAAAAAACCAAAAACTGAAAATAACAAATGTTGAAAATGTAAAGAAATTGGACCCCTTGTACATTGCTGTGGGAAATGTAAAATGGTGCAGCTACTGTGGAAAACTGTATGGCAGTTCCTAAAAAATTAAATAATATTACCATATGATGGATGGAGCAATTCTGCTTCTGAAAATAGAGTTGTCCCTCAATATCCTCAGAGAATTTGTTCCAGGAACCCCCGAGGATAGCAACATCTGTGGATACTCAAGTCCCTTATGTGAAATGGCATAACATGTGCATATAATTTATATACATCCTCCCGTATACCTTAAGTCATCTCTAGATTACTTTTACCTAATACAATGTAAATGCTATATAAATCATTATACTGTATTTTTTAAAATTTGTATTATTTATTGGTGTATTGTTTATTTTTATTGTTTTTATTTTTAAAAAAACATTTTGGATCTGCAGTCGGTTGAATACGCAGTTGCAGAGCCCACAGATACAGAGGGATGATTGTTTACCATAAAAGAATCGAAAGCAAGGACCAAAACAGATATCTGCATCAATAGATAAACAAAAGTGATATATGCACACAATTGAATATAAATAAACCTTATAAAGGAATGAAATTTAGATATATGCTACAACTTGAATGAACCTTGTGGACAGTGCACTAGGTGAAATAAGCAAGACGCATTTCACTTATATGAGGTACCTAGAAAAGTCAAATTTATGGAGACGGAAAGTAGAACAGAGGTTACAAGGGGCGAAGAGGAGGAAATAAATAAATGAGGAGTTACTGCTTCATGAGGACAAAGCTTAAGTTTAAGACGATAAAAAAGTTCTAGGCATAAAAAATAGTGATGGTGAGCAACAATGTGAATATTACTTAATGCCACTGAACTTTACACTTAAAAATGATTCAGATGGTAAATATGATGGACACTTTATTTTACCATAAGAAAAGTCTTCAAAAATAACTTTCTTTGTAGCTAAAGAAAAACAACAAGATATATTTCTGTGTAATTTTTATTATTTGATTGTTTGACCCTGTCTCTGTATACCCTTGAGAGCAAGAAATGTAGTTTATATTTGCAAAATCACCTGAGCTAGATGGTTTTAAGGAATAAACATTACTTATTTTTTCATTCTAAGAGTAAAAATGATTCCTATTAAAAATGATTCATAAAAAGTAAAATCAAAAAATTAGATATTAAAGATTGAAAACATTGCCTCTCTCAATAATAATGTAATATCTGGTGAATACTATTCCAAACATGACTCTTGAATATAACTTTAAAAATTAACTTGAATTTAACTTAAAAATTTTAAGATGAAGGAATTCCTAATTTTTATACAAGTATTTTTCTACAACAAAAATATAAGTACTACAATATAACTGCTGGGCCAAAAACCAAGTCTTAAAAGACTGTAGAACATTAAAATCATCATATCCTTTCCAGCCACAATGGTATGAAATCAGGAATAAATACACAGAGGAAGATTTTCAAATATGTCCAAATTAAACAACATATTCCTGAATAATCAATAGGTCAAAGAAGAAATTAAAACTGAAGAAAAATGTATCTTGAAACAAATGAAAATTTTTAAAAAATGTGAAAGCTTATTGGATACAGCAAAAGCAATAAAACTGCAGCAATAAAACCTGCATTAAAAAAAAAAGTCAAATAAAAACCCTAATGTTGCACCTCAGGGAACTAGAAAAAGAAGAACAAAGTAAGCCCAAAGGTAGCAGGAAGAAGAAATAAGAAAACTTCAATCAGAAATAAATGAAATAGAGACTGGAAAGACAAAACAAAACTGAGAGTTGATTTTGAGAAAAGAAAAACAAATTTGACACATTTTTAGCTATGCTAATCAAGAAAAAATGAGAAACAAGTCAAATCAATAAAACCATAATTGAGGACACATTAAAACGGATACTACAGAAATACAAAGGATCATAAAATATTACTATTATGAACAATTATACTCCAACATATTAGATAGCCCAGAAGAAATGGATAAATTCCTATAAACATACAATCTTCCAAAATTGAATGATGTAAAAATAAAAAGTCTGAACAGGCCAATAAAGTACAAAGATATTAAATCTGTAATCAAAACTTTTCCAGCAAAGAAAAGCTCGGGACTAGATGGCTTCACTAATTAATTCTATCAAGCATTTAAAGCCAATTCTTCTCCAACTCTTCCAAAAAATTTAAACTTATTTGATAAAGCCAATTACTGTTATACCAAAGCTAAATAAGGAGACTACAGAAAAAAAAATTATAGGCCTAATAAACACACATGCAAAACCTCAACAACATACTAGGAAACTAAATTCAAAAGCCCATTAGGAGGATCATACACCATGATCGCATGGAATTTATCCTTAGGATGCTAGGATGGTTCAATCAATAAACAAGATACATCACATTAACAGAATGAAGTATAAAAAGGTCATGCCAATAGACACAGAAAAGTCTTGGACAAAATTCAACATCCTTTTGTGAGTAAAACTCAACAAATTAGGAATAGAAGAAACACTTCAACATAACAAAAGTTATGCATGTCAATTTTCTAAGTTCGGAGTCAGTGTTATAAACTCAATAATTAAAAGCTGAAAATTTTTCTTTAAAATCAGAAATAAGACAAGGGTGGTCACCTTCATCACTCTTACTCAGCATAGTACTGGAAGTCCTTTTAGAGAAATTATGCAAAAGGGAAGAAAAAGGCATCCAAATGAGAAAAAAAATGAACTTGTTGATATTTGCAGATGACATGATCTTATATATAGAAACCTCAAAAGACTTCATCAAAAAAACTGTTAGAACTAATAAACTAATTCAATAAACTTGCAGGATAAAAGTCAACATACAAAAAATGAGTTGCATTCTTATACACTAACACGAAACTATCTAAAAAAAGAAATTTAAAAAGAATACCAGGAAAATAGCAGATAGGAAACAGCACTAACTTTCAGCTCCCATTCGGATAAACAGAGCAGCCTCTGGAGACCCACAATGTGAACTTTTGCTCCAAGAACTATAGCGGGAACATACCAGGAAAGCCAAGAGAATCCACAGACCCTTTGAAGGAGGTGGATAGCCACTGCAGGCTCTGTGGGAGAGCCAAGAAACTGTGAGTCAGCTTGCTTTTCTAACTTGTATAAGATCATATACAAGCCAGGAGTGAGAGTGAGAGTATATATAAGATCATATGCAAGCCACTCAGTGGGAGTGAGACCAGCCTTTCAGGCCGCGGGCTGCGTGGGAGCTGGGAGAGTTCTGTGACTGGCCGCTTTCCCCCACTTCCCTGGCAACCTGTGTGATGCAGCAAAGGCAGCCAATACCCCCAGGAACATAACTCCATTGGCATGAAAACCACACCCCCATTCCCTACAGAAGACACCTCAAGCCCCACCAAAGGAGAATCTGAGCTCAGACACGCCTAACTCTGCCATCACCTGATGGTCTTTTTTTTTTTTTTTTTTTTTTTTTTGAGACGGAGTCTTGCTCCATAGCCCAGGCTGGAGTGCAGTGGCGCGATCTCGGCTCACTGCAAGCTCTGCCTCCCGGGTTCATGCCATTCTCCTGCCTCAGCCTCCCGAGTAGCTGGGACTACAGGAGCCCACCACCGAGCCTGGCTCATTTTTTTTTCTGTATTTTTTTAGTAGGGACGGGGTTTCACTGTGTTAGCCAGGATGGTCTCAATCTCCTGACCTCGTGATCCGTCAGCCTTGGCTTCTCAAAGTGCTGGGATTACAGGCATGAGCCACTGCACCCGGCCACCTGATGGTCTTTCTCTACCCAACCTGGTAGCCAAAGATGAAGGGCATAATCCCTTGGAAGCTCTGTGGCCCCACCTTACCCTAGGGCAAGCTTGTATCCTCCCTATACAACAGCAGCTGATGTAATCTTGAAAGCGCCACCTCCTGGCTGGAGGCCAACCAACAGAAAACCAGTGTGCTTAACAAAAATACAACCAAGGACCGTCATAAAGTTCGCTTAACTTCCCCTGTTACCTCCACAGAAGCAGCTGCTGGTATCCATGGCTGAGAGACCTGAAGACAGATCACATCACAGGTCTCTTTGCAGACACTACCCATTACCAGCCTGGAGCCCAGTAGCTCTGCTGGGTGGCTAGATCCAGAAGAGAAATAACAATCACTGCAGTTCAGATCTCAGGAAGCCCTATCCCTAGGAGAAAGGGTAGAGCACCACATCAAGGGAGTACCCCATGTAACAAAAGAATCTGAACAGCAGTCCTTGAGTCCCAGACCTTCCTTCTGACACAGTCTACCAAATGAGAAGGAACCAGAAAAACAAGTTTGGTAATATGACAAAACAAGGTTCTGAAACACCCCTAGAAGATCACACTAGCTTACAAGCAATGGATCCAAACCAAGACAAAATCTCTGAATTCCCAGAAAAATAATTTGGAAGGTCAACTATTAAGCCAATCAAGGGGGCACCAGAGAAAGGTGAAGTCCAACTTAAATAAATCAAAACAATTATACAAGGTATGAATAGGAAAATCTCTAGTGAAATTGATAGCATAAATAAAAAACAATCACAATGTCTGGGAATACGCAACACACTTAGAGAATTGCAAAATGCACTGAAAGTCTCAGCAATAGAATTGAACAAGTAGAAGAACTTCAGAGCTTGAAGACAAGGTTTTGAATTAGTCCAAACCCACAAAGACAAAAACAAATTTGGAAAAATGAACAAAGCCTCCAAGAAATTTGGGATTATGTTAAATGACCAAACCTAAAAATTATTGGTGTTCCTGAGGAAGAAAAGAAATTTAAAAGTTTGAAAATCATATTTGAGGGATTATTTGAGGAAAACTTCCCTGGCCTTGCTACAGATCTAGACATCCAAATACAAGAAACTCAAAGAACACCTGGGAAATTCATCACAAAAAGATCATTACCTAAGCACATAGTCATCAGGTTATCTAAAGTCAAGATGAAGGAAAGAATCTTAAGAGCTGTGAGGCAGAGGCATCGAGTAACCTATGAAGGAAAACCTATCAGATTAACAGTAGATTTCTCAGCAGAAACCCTACAAGCTAGAAGGGATAGGGGCCCTATCTTTAGCCTCTTTAAACAAAACAGTTATCAATCAAGAATTGTGTATCTAGCAAAACTAACCTGCATATGAAGGTTAGAAGGAAAGACAGTCTTTTTCAGACAAACAAATGCTGAGAGAATTCACCACTACCAAGCCAGCATTACAAGAATGGCTAAAAGGAGCTCTAAATCTTGAAACAAATCCTCAAAATATACCAAAATGGAATCTCCTTAAAGCATAAATCTCACAGGACCTATAAAACAACAACACAATGAAAGAAAAAAAAAACAACAAGCTATTCAGGCAACAAATAGCAAGATGAATGGAATAGCACCTCATATCTCAATACTAGTGTTGAATGTAAATGACCGAAATGCTCCACTTAAAAGATACAGAATGGCAGAATGGATGAAAATTCACCAACCAAGTATCTGCTGTCTTCAAGAGACTCACCTGACACATAAAATCCCACATAAACTTACAGTAAAAGAGTGGAAAAAGATATTCTAGGCAAATGGACACCAAAACTGAGCAGGATTAGCTATTCTTACACCACACAAAACAAACTTTAAACCAACAACAGTTTTAAAAGGCAAAGAGGGACACTGTATAATAATAAAAGGTCTAGGCCAGGTGTGGTGGCCATGCCTGTAATCCCAGCACTTTGGGAGACTGAAGCAGGTGGATCACCTGAGGTCAGGAGTTCAAGACCAGCGTGGCCAACATGGTGAAACCTTATCTCTACTAAAAATACAAAAATTAGCTGGGCATGGTGGCAGGCGCTTGTACTCCCAGCTACTAGGGAGGCTGAAGCAGGATAATCTCTTAAACCTGGGAGGTGGAGGTTGCAGTGAGCTGAGATAGTGCCACTGCACTCCAGCTTGCATGACAGAGTAAGACTCTGTCTCAAATAAATAAATAAATAATAAAAGGTCTATCCAACTGGAAAATATCACAACCCTAAATATATACGTACCTAACAGTGGAGCTCCCAAATTTATAAAACAATTGCTGCTAGACCTAAGAAATGAGATAGAGCAACTCAGTAAGAGTGGAGTGCTTCAATACTCCACTGATAGCACTAGACAGGTCATCAAGACAGACAGCCAATAAAGAAACAATGAACTTGAACTATACCTTAGAACAAGTGGACTTAACAGATATTTACAGAACATTCTACCCAATAAATGGAGATGTTGGTTTATAGCAGGGCTACTGATTTGGTAACATTAATTTTATATCCAGAAACTTTGCTGAATTAATTTCCCAGTTCTAGGAGCTTTTTGGATGAGACTTTGGGGTTTTCTAGGTGTATGATCATGTCATCAGCAAACAGCAACAGTTTGACTTCCTCTTTACTGCTTAGGATGCCCTTTATTTATTTCTAGTGTCTGATTTCTCTGGCTAGGACTTCCAGTACTATGTTGAATAGAAGTGGTGAAAGTGGACATTCTTGTCTTGTTCCAGTTCTCAGGGGGGATGCTTTCAACTTTTCCCCATTCAGTATAATGTTATCTGTGGGTTTGTCATAGATGGCTTTTATTACCTTAAGGTATGTCCCTTTTATGTAGATTTTGCTGAGGGTTTTAATCATGAAGGGATGCTGGATTTTGTCAAATGCTTTTTCTGAGTCTATCAAGATGACCATGTGATTTTT
This sequence comes from Homo sapiens, assembly GCF_000001405.40. NCBI lineage: Eukaryota > Metazoa > Chordata > Mammalia > Primates > Hominidae > Homo > Homo sapiens. The sequence continues at coordinate 170,976,370 of NC_000004.12, read as the reverse complement.
GTTTTTAATTCTGTTTATGCAGTGTATCACATTTATTGTCTTGTGGATATAAAACCAACCCTGCCTCTCTTATGTGAAACCCACGATCATTGTGGATTATCATTTTGATATGCTATTGGATTCAGTTAGCTATTATTTTGTTGAGGAGTTTTGCATCTATGTTTGTCAGGGATATTGGCCTGCAGTTTTATATTTTTGTTATGTCCTTTCCTGATTTTGGTATTTTGGTGATACCCACTTCATAAAGTGATTTAGGGAGGATTCCCTCTTTTTGTATCTTTTGCAATACTGTCAATAGAAAAAGTAAAAATTCTAATTTGAAAGCCTAGTAAAATTCAGCTGTGAATCATTTTGGTCCTGGAGGTTTTTTTTGTTATTAACTTTTTTTTTTTTTTTTTTCCCACATGGAGTCTCACTCTCACCCAAGCTGGAGTACAGTGGCATGATCTTGGCTCACTGAAACCTCCACTTCCTGGGTTTAAGCGGGAAGCCTCAGGCTGGGACTACAGGTGCATACCACCAAGACCAGCTAATTTTTTTATTTTTAGTAGAGATGGGGTTTTGCCATATTGGTCAGGCTGGTCTTGAACTCCTGAACTCATGATCTGCCCACCTCAGCCTCCCAAAGTACAGGGATTACAGGTGCGAGCCCACCAGTCCTGGCCTGTTGATAACTTTTAAATTACCATTTCGATATCACTACTTATTATTGGTCTGCTCAGAGTTTCTATTTCTTCCTGGTTTAATCTATGAGTGTTGTATATTTTAAGGAATTTATCCATCTCCTCCAGGTTTTCTAGTTTGTGTGTATAAAGATGTTCATAGTAGCCTTGAATGATTATTTGTATGGCTAAAACAAGATAGGCTTGGTGGCTCACACCTGTAATCCCAGCACTTTGGGAGCCTGAGGCAGGCTGATCATAAGGTCAGGAGTTTGAGCCCAGTCTGGCCAACATAGTGAAACCCCTTCTCTACCAAAAATACAAAAAATTAGCCAGGTGTGGTGGTGTGCACCTGTAACCCCAGCTACTCAGGAGGCTGAGGCAGGAGAATCACATGAACCTGGGAGGCAGAGGTTGCAGTGAGCCAAGATTGCACCATTGTACTCCAGCTTAGGTGACAGTGCAAGACTCTATCTCAAAAAAAAAAAAAAAAAAAGAAAGAAAAGAAAAGAAAATCAAGACTAAGCAAAAAGAACCAATCTTGAGGCACCACACTACCCAACTTCCAACTATAATATAAGGGCATAGTCAGCAGAACAGCATGGTACTGGCACAAAAATTGGTGTAAAGACCAATGGAAAAGAATAGAGAACCCAGAAATAAAGCCAAATACTTACAGTCAACTGATCTTTCACAAAGCAAACAAAAACATAAAGTGGGGAAGGGACACTCTGTTAAACAAATTGTCCCAGGATAATGTGCAAGCCACATGTAGAAGAATGAAACTCAATCTTCACCTCTCACCCCATACAACTCAAAGTGGATCAAAGACTTAAATCTAAGACATGAAACCATAAAAATTTTAGAAGGTAACATTGGAAAAACCCTTCTAGACATTGGCTTAGGCAAAGACTTCATGACCAAGATCCCAAAAGCAAACACAACAAAAAACAAAGATAAATAGATGGGACTTAATTAAACTAAAAACCTTCAGCACAACAAAAGAAATAATCAGCAAAGTAAACAGACAACCCACACAGTGGGAGAAAATTTTCACAATCTATACATCCAACAAGGACTAATATCCAAAAGCTACAAGGAACTTAAGCAAATCAGCAAGAACAAAGCAAACAATCCCATTAAAAAGTGGGCTAAGGACATGAATAGACAATTCTCAAAAGAAGATATACAAATGGCCAACAAACATATGAAAAAATGCTTAACATCACTAATTATAAGGGAAATGCAAATTGAAATCACAATGTGATAGCATCTCACTCCTGCAAGAATGGTCATAATAAAAAAATAAAAAAAATAGATGTTGGTTGAAGTGGTAAAAATGGAACACTTTTACACTGTTGGTGGAAATGTAAACTAGTACAACTACCACTATAAAAAACAGTGTGGAGATTCCTTAAAGTACTAAAAGTAAATCTACCATTTGATCCAGCAGTCCCACTACTGAGTATCTATCCAGAGGAAAATAAGTCATTATACAAAAAAGATACTTGCACATGCATGTTTATAGCAGCACAATTCACTATTGCAAAAATATATAATCAGCCCAATATAGAACCATCAATCAATGAGTAGAAAAAATATAGAACCATCAATCAATGACTGGATAAAGAAAATGTGATATATATATATATATAATATGTATATTACCTGAATATATATATAATGTGTGTGTGTATGTATGTATATATATATATATATATATATACCATAGAATACTGATAAGCCATAAAAAGGAACAAAATAATGGCATCTGCAGCAACCTGGATGGAATTGAAGACCATTATTCTAAGTGTATTAACTCAGAAATGGAAAACCAAACACCTATATTCTCACTCATAAGTGAGAGTTAAGTTATGAGAATGCAATGTCATAAGAATAATACAATGGACTTTGGGGACTCAGGGAAAGGGTGGGAGGCAGGTGAGGGATTAAAGTTTATACACTGGGTACAGTGTACACTGCTCGGGAGATGGGTGCACCAAAATTTCAGAAATCACCACTAAAGAACATATTCATGTAAGCAAACACCACCTGTTCCCCCAAAACCAATTGAAATAAATTTAAAAAAGAAAAAGAATCCTACTTAAACTACCACAAATAAAAATGAAATACTTATGAATAAATTTAACCAAAGAGCAGAAAGATTTTTACATTAAAATCTATAAAAGAAATTGAAGGAGATAGAAATAAATGGAAAGATGTCTTATGCTCTTGGATTGGAAGAATTACTATTGTTTAAATGTCCATACTACCCAAAATGATCTAACAGTTCAGTGCAATCACTATCAAAATCCCAATGACATTTTTCACAGAAAAAGAAAAACAATCCTAAAATTTATACAGTATTACAAAAGATTTCAAATAGCTAAAGCAATCTTGAGAAAGAAGATCACAGCTGCAGACATCACATTTCCTGCTTTCAAGCTATATTACAAAGCTATACTACTAAAAACAGTATGCTACTAGCATTAAAAAAAACACATAGAAAAATATAAGAGAATAAAGAAAAGAGAAACCCATAAGTGTATAGTCGACTAATCTTTGACAATGGCATAAAGAGAACATAATGGGGAAAAGTATAGTATTGTCAATTGATAGTGTTGGCAATAATGGTTATCCACATTCCAGTGAATAAAACTGAATCTTATCATACACCATATACAAAAATTAACTAAAAATAAACTTATATGTGAGACCTGAAAGTATAAAATTCCTAAACAAAACCATAAGGAAAAAACTCCTTGACACTGGTTTTGACAATTATTTTTAAAATATGACCTGAAAATTACAAGTAACAAAAGCAAAGACAAACAAGTAGTACATCAAACTAAAAAATTTCTGCACAGCAAAAACAAACAAACAACAACAAAACAATAAACAGAGTGAAGAGACAATCTATGAAATTAGAGAAAATATTTGCAAGTTATGTATTTGATAAGGGGTTAATATCAAAAATATATAAGAGGCCGGGCGCGGTGGCTCACGCCTGTAATCCCAGCACTTTGGGAGGCCGAGGCGGGCGGATCACGAGGTCAGGAGATCGAGACCACGGTGAAACCCCGTCTCTACTAAAAATACAAAAAATTAGCCGGGCGCAGTGGCGGGCGCCTGTAGTCCCAGCTACTCGGGAGGCTGAGGCAGGAGAATGGCGTGAACCTGGGAGGCGGAGCTTGCAGTGAGTGGAGATCGCGCCACAGCACTCCAGCCTGGGTGACAGAACGAGACTCCGTCTCAAAAAAAAAAAAAAAAAAAAAAAAAAAAAAAAAAAAAAAAAAAAAATATATATATATATATATATATATATATATGAAAGTCATATAACTAAATAACAATAAAATAAATCATCTGACTTTAAAAATAGGCAAACACAGAAAATAAACATCTACACATACATCAGATACCTCGGAGAGAAAGCTGGAATCTAGTTGAGAGACTTCCACACACTGGGCAACTGAGAAACTATCCACGCCAAAAGGGCTTGAAAAGTGAGGCAACACCCCCACCCCAACCACAGCTCAGTACAATGGGAAGGAATTCTCAAAGTCCCAGCTTCTCCCCGACCAATGAAGGGATTGCACCATAGATAGAGCATCCCAAGTTTTGCAGTTCCCCTCCACCGCGGGTATGACTCTTAATCACCTAACTCCGAGAGTGGAAAAGATCACCCACAAGAGGTGGTTTTAAGTGAGTGCATGTGCACCTCCAGCTGTTCTACCCCAGGATCAGTGCAGAGAGAACGGGATAGAATACCCAGCTCTCAGTTTCTCCCTAAAATGGGTTTGTCAGCATACTTTCCCAGCTGCTGCCTGAGGGCTGGGCTTCTAATGAGCCTGCATCTGGAAGTGGAACAGATAGGGCAGGTATACAGTGAGCTCCAGGAGCCCGAATAGGTAGTATGTGGGTACATTCGGTGCTTTCTCCCCACCAGCTTCCTACAGGAATGAAAGCAGGATTGCAGATTCTTCTTGAAAAGAGTTTTTGCATGCATCAGGCACCTCAACTTTAATAGTTCCCATCCAAGAGCCAGTTCCTAAGTCACCTTATTCTGATGATGGGGCTCTGCCTCCGTGAATCTCCCTAGAATGCAGACAACAAAGAAAAGGTTTCTAAATAAGCGCATTTCCATCGGCCATCTCCCCAGGCTCAGAGTGTGCAGTCTGCACCAGAGTGAAAGGATTTGCCACAGATTCTCTCCCAGGCTTAGTGCAGAATGAATGTCAGATAAACCCCAGCTCTCAGATTCACCCCAAGGATAGAAGGCCCTGAAACACACATCTAACATTCCAACTTTTTGAGCTGCATTTTGAGAAACTGGCCAACGTGTGAAGAAAAGAGAACCTCTGTACCCCGTTGAGGGGAATGTAAATTGGTAAAGCCATTATGGAAAGAGTATAGAGGTTCCTTCCAGAATTAAATTTGAGCCGCCAAATGACCAACCATCCCCTGAAAAAAATAAAATAAACTAGCACCTCATAGAGATATTTGTGTTCCCCTGCTCTTTGCAGCATTATCATAATAGCCAAAATATGAAAACAATCTGTGTCCACTGATAGATTTTTTTTTTGAGACAGGGTCTCACTCTCACTCTGTCACCCAGGCTGGAGTGCAGTGGCCGATCTCCGGCTCACAGCCACCTCCGCTGTGGGGTTCAAGCTATCCTCCCATCTCAGCCCCCCAAGGAGTTGGGACTATAGGCATGCATCACTACAGCCAGGTATTTCTTTTTTTTTTGTATTTTTTGTAAAGACAGGGTCTCCCTATGATGTTGCCCAGGCTGGTCTTAAACTCCTGGGCTCAAGTGATCCACCCACCTGGGCCCCCCAAAGTGCTGGGATTACAGTTGTGAGCCACCACACCAGCCCTGAGTGGATAAATTTTAGCATAAATATATATTTATATGCATATATTTATACATATATACCTATATATACACATAGGTGTACATATACATATATACATACACACATGCACATACACCAAATGGAGTATTATTCTGCGTTAAAAAAGGGAGAAACAGCCATTTGCAACAACATGGATGAATTTGGAGGATGTTTCATTAAGTGATATAAAGTAGACACTGAAATAAAAACACTGCATGATATCATTTATATGTAGAACCTAAGAAAAGTAGAATACAAAGAAACAGAATAGAATAATTGTTACAGAGGAGAAGAGGGAGAGAAAATGTGGATATACAGGTCAAAAAGTACAAACTTGTAGTTATATAAGATGAAGAAGTCTGGAGCTCCAATGTAGAGCATGCAGGCTATAGTTAGTAATACTGTATTGTATACTGAAAATTTACCAAGAGAGTAGATTTTGGGTGCTCTCACCATACATCACACGCACACACACACACGCACACACATAGTAACTGTGGAAGGTGATTGATATCTTAATTTGCTTGACTGTAATGAATCATTTCACTATGTGTATGTCTATTAAAATATCGTGTGCACTTTAAATATATACAATATTCTTTTTAAAATAGAACACCAATATATGCGTATATTCAACTTCTTTTCTCTGTCTTATCTATCATCTTTTATCAACTTATTCAATTTGTTTTCCTAATTTTGTTTTGTTTTGTTGCCCAGGTTTTCACAAGCTCAGCTTCTGTGCTTCTAATTTTAGCCATTTTTATAAAGTAATTTTATTCTCTGCAATTTCTTTTATTTCATCTTTCCTGAATGAAATCAACCATATTTTCTCTATTTGCTATATTGTAATCTCTTCCCTGAACCATTGTATTTCATTTTTGTACCCCTCCTTTTTTTGGTCTTAAGGGAGAAGTCATAGTGTCTGCAATTTTCTTTGATACTAAAATAAAATACATTTTTTTCTAAAATAGTCATGATTTCATTGATTAATTACTTTTATTATATGTTCTTCATCTGATTTTTGCTTACGCTGTTCTCTGCCTCTCTCTTTTATTTTCTTTTTTTCTAATTTAGAAATTTTTTGAGCCTCAGTCAGGTATGAATTCCTCTGGGATTGTTACATTTGAGTGAGGCAAAGTGTATTGTGTACAGGTGTGGTGTATGTGTATAAGTGTGCATGCATCATGTTCTGGTGGAGACATGGGCAGCTGTCTTGGTCTGCAGGTGTTATGAGGGTTTATTATCCCTAATATCATGTCAATAAATGGTTTACTTTGGAAGCCGGTACCTTGTGTTCATTCAAACTTCACATTAGTGGTCAGGTGCCCTATAGGGTTATTGAGTTTTAGTTGCATCCATTTTTTTCTTTGAAAAAAGTAGGTAATTTTTAGAATTTTTATTTTTTTTCTCTGAAATTGGAAATAGGCTGTGGAGCAAAAATGCCTTCATTTAAATAGGTTGTGGAACAAAAATGCCTTCATTTGATTGTTTGACCCATGGTTTTACAATTTATAGCTCTTGAAAAGTCTTGAATAGAATTATTACAAAAGTCTTATTTTTTAAAAAAAAGTTCACATATTTGCTTCTTGTTGCCTAAAATCTGCGTGAAAGAATGAGCTAGAGAATGTCTGTGTAAAACATAATTAAAGGGAGTGAGGTCGTAGACATTTGGGAACATTAAGATATTCAAGGCAATAAGTTAGTAAAACTCCCATAATTTTGTAAATTGTTATTTCAAGAAAATATTATTGAAGTAATTGCTACAACTAACGAAGCACATAACATAAGCATTCTTACTCAGTTTTAAATTTTGTTTTGGACATAGTCTATATATTTTAAAACAGTACAAGAAAACTGCATGTCTAGAAGGAAAATCAATTGAAAAGTTTTCTAGTAGTAATTTTTTCTTTGCATGCTATTCATGTCAAAATTACAAAACCAGCTACAGTCCTCAATTCTAATTAAATAAATTTTAACATGTACTTCTATATACTTTAGTGTTATCATTTGCAAAAATAAATTTTGTTTGACTGAAATTTAGGCAATCTTTAAAAGGTTTTGATTATATTAGTAGAGCTGTAGTGGTAAGTTGTAAAGGACCTAGATACACATTCTGGCTTGGTAAGCATATTTTCAGACACCTAGGAAACATGAAAATGTGAGATTTATAAATTTAATTAAAATGGATGAAAATACAGAATTACTTATAAAGCTTTGTGGTGATACTTTTCCTGCATTTTTTTCTCTAGAATCTTAAAATTGTGTCTTCATATTACTTACTTTAATAATTTCTGTTGCTTTTCTACTAGAACCAAAACTTTCTTTTTCTAAACCACTCTAGTTTATAAGGTATGAATAATATAAAAATTTGAAACATTAGTATCATATTGACAAACTGGAAACAGTTTACTTTATTGGCAAATACATCTATTGTTTCTATTTTAGGGATTTGAAATCATTGTGAAAGTATGTTTTAAGTATTAGTTACAGTGCGTAACAGAGATTATCACTGGACCAAAGAGATTTTTAAAGCAGGAATACTAGATTCAGGAAAATCACATTTCCAATAGTATTTGACTGTGGTTGTGATGAATATAATTTGTTCTTATATTTTATAAAAAATTATTGGAATAATTTAATACACAATATCTGGCCCTAAACTCTGCATTGGATTATGTATTTGCATTAGTTTCAAAAACAAACAATTCTAATTATAAAATTATTAGAAATATTCACATCATCTCATTAAAATATTTTGCAGATATACTCTGCACGTCAGTTTTTTTTTTTTTTTTTTTTTTTTTTTTTGAGACGGAGTTTCGCTCTGTCGCCCAGGCTGGAGTGCAGTGGCGCGATCTCGACTCACTGTAAGCTCCGCCTCCCGGGTTCACGCCATTCTCCTGCCTCAGCCTCCCGTGTAGCTGGGACTACAGGCGCCCGCCACCATGCCCGGCTAATTTTTGTATTTTTAGTAGAGACGGGTTTTCACCGTGTTAGCCAGGATGGTCTCGATCTCCTGACCTCGTGATCCGCCCGCCTCGGCCTCCCAAAGTGCTGGGATTACAGGCGTGAGCCACCGCGCCCGGCCTGCACGTCAGTTTTTGAGATGAGATATTCTGGGTTAGTATTAATGATTCTTATTGTGTGACGCTCTACTTACCTTTCCCCAGAACCAAATATTAATAACTGACAAGTAAAGTTGCTTCAAGATGATAATTACCAGAAGGATGAAAGATAAACCTTATGTTATAGTGGTGTGGTAAAGCTGGTTCCCACTGGCTTTCCCATTGCATATTTAGTGATGTTACATTGATAGCTCTAAATCAGCCCTTGTGGGAATATTTACAACATGAAAATCAGGAAATGCTATAGAACAGAGCTTTTAAGCAAAAGTAAAACCCTAGAGATCTGATTATTTAGGATTTGCCAACATACCATTGTGTAATCACTTCAAGGAAAAATGAAATTTTACATTAATTTAGGTTGTACCTAGCAGAGGGTGATAGGCTGTTGAGTCTGTGGAAATATCAATATATCACCAATACTTACAGTAGGCATTATTAAAAAAAACTGTTAATTATAAAATGTCACTTAGAAGGCAAGCCAAAGTTCATTCAGTAAAGTCTCATTTCTTTGATAATTGCCTTTCAGGCTCTGTAGCATACAACTTGAGATTTACAAATCTGCACAAAGCTGGAAGGAATTCTTGTGAACCCTACAGCTACCAATTCGTAGACATGTTACTTTAAGAAGGTTCTTCACTATGTTTAGACCTATTGCCTAATGGGTTTTTTCAAGTGGGTCATGTCCAGATATATACGTAATCCTAGAGGACTCGAATAGAAAAGATCAAAGGCTTTTGACAGTTCATACATGCACAACAAATTACATTTTAAAAAGAACAAATTAAAATGCTTATTCCTTTTAACTTGTCTCATTTCCATTCTGTTGACATTTATTTTGTTATATTTGATTTATGGTCTTTTGCATGTATGTGAAATAAATGATATAGGTCATGGGTAAATAAATTTGAAAAAACATATTCAATCTTTTATAGTTTTAATTTTTTCTGTATACTATTTATTTGCAATTGTTAAATATGATTAAATGAGGGAATGTGGTTTCATACTCATCAAAATAATTCGTTGACTAAAGTAAATTGAGAAACAGTGTAAAGCTACAGATGATTGCATCAAATGGATTTTAATCAAAGTAGCTCTTCCTCTAATATCATTGAATTCTGCTTCTCTTTTACTTTTTCCATCTTTATTATAAGGTGTAAATTTACAGGTCTTAAATTTCATATTGCTTCTTTACATTGTCATGTATTTTCAATTTGTTCTTTGACTACAGTCTGAATACATTCTGCCTATTTTTAGGTTTTGCTCTATTATTACATTTAACTTATTAAGACCTATGTAATGTTTAAACGTATTTTCATAGAAAGCAAACATAGGCTTTTTTACTGAGGCATTTGAAATTTTAACAAAGCCTTTGGGAGGAAGCAAGTATTTTAACGCAAAGGCCCACTGACACCTGCAGTCCTTACTATGCATTTTTCTTAATATCAGGAAAATCTGGAACTTTGGTTTTCCCATCTTGAAGTAAACTCATATAAAAGAAAAACCTTTTACATGGCTCAGTGTTGTGCAAACTTTCAACAGATTTTTTTTTACCAACTCACACAAAAATAAAAAGAAAAAAATCAAACTTTTATTAATCCAGGAAATATAATTCAAACACATTAAACTTTCTTGTACCTCCCAAAAATGAATAAAGCAAGTACTTTTGAAAACCGTCTTGGCTGAAGCTCTGGCAAGAGCAGGTAAGACAAAGCAAACAGAAAGTCCTTTCAACTCTAACATTTATACATAAGAACTGCGTGTTTGCTGGGCAGGATAAAATGTAATATATAAAGTATATGTTGCATTTTCTTGTTATGGAAATTTGTATAGCGAGAATAAGTTTATGAAATAAGTTCTATAGGCCAGTAAATGACCACTAAAAAGTGAGCTCAGGATTTGAGGAGATGCATAAACTCTATCATGCCATTAGGCTTCAATTTAGCATACCAAAAGGCAATACTTTATAGGACAGTGATATCTATGCTTAGTAACAATAATGAGGGGATATTTATGATTTATAAAAACACAGTGAATTAGAGAAAAGGTTTTCCATTTTCTCCCATTCAATATGATACTAGTTGTGGGTTTATATATGTAGTTTTTATTACCTGGAGGTATGTTCCTTCTATACTCAGGTTTTATCATATTGAGTTATGTTTCTTCTATACTCAATATTTTGAGAGTTTTTGTCATAAAAGAATATTGAAGTTTTGCAAATGCTTTTTTAGCATCTGTTGAAGTGATTGTGGGTTTTGTCTTTCATTCTGTTAATATGATATATCAATATTAATTGAAAATTAGAAACTAAAAACTAGCAAATTAATAATCAGTTTAGTAAGAAGATTACTATATGGGAATCATAACAAATTCCCCTTACACAATTTCTATATTACACAACACAGAAGAAAATATTCTGGTAATTAAAATTGTCCACACTAATTATTTTCTCATCCAGAATCAATAAACAAGTAGAGGTCTCATTTTTAAAGTGAAAATAGGATCTTGCATATTTATCTTGAAGTAATTTAAATATTTTCCAAATTTCCTTTTGTATTAGTCTGTTCTCATACTGCTAATAAAGAAATATCCAAGACTGGGTAATTTATAAATAAAAAGTTTAATGGACTGACAGTTCCACATGCCTGTGGAGACCTCACAATCATGGTGGTAGGTGAAGGAGGAGCAAAGGCATGTCTTACACGGTGGCAGGCAAGAGAGCATGTGAAGAAACCATCTAATTTCTTGAGACTTACTCACTATCATGAGAACAGCACGAGAAAAACCTACCCTCATGATACAATTACCTAGTACCAGGTATCTCCCATGACACATGAGGATTATGGGAGCTACAATTCAAGATGAGATTTGGGTGGGGACGCAGCCAAACCATATCACTTTGTCTGCCAGAATTCAATATATTCAGAGTCAGTACCAAAACTTTCTTAGATGAAACTGTTGTTATTTTAACTTTTCACATGTCACATGTTTCTAATATTTAGTGAATTTTTTGAATTGTAAAACATTGGTCTTCAGCTCTTTTGAGTATAGAAAATCTTTTAAAATTTTGCAAATCAACTTAGTAGCAATTAATTATGCATTCAATATTTGTTAATTGAAGAAAATACATATTTTAAAAATTCTATAGTGACTTCAGTATGTCTTTTAAATGTCTCTTCCTTTTATATAGCCAATATTTCTGAAAACTAATATCCTCCATATATAGAGAACTGAATGTGAGTGCATTCAAGGGCCACTTCTAGTTACTTTGCAACTTTTCAGGGATTCATGGCCCTGGGTATGATAACAAATGTGCTAAAATGAATCTTATAAAACCTAACTATTGAGATGGTGGGAGAATGTGTAAATATAACACATTTAAAATACATATAGGCACATTATATTTTATCAACAGCAAATATTCTCATTTAACTTGATGTATACTTCCAAACTGTGGTACAAAATGAAAAATGAATTTACTTAGTTTTTGTTGTTGATTTATGAGTGCTATTTATATTACAGGTCTTGTGATTTATAAAAAGTCTAATTAACTTATAAATGGTATATAAATCATTTTCTTCTTTGTTTACTTCAGTTTAATTTTTTGAGTGCCAAATTGTTCTGTAGCATTTAGGGATTCTTCAGACAGTTATGGAATGTTTTGGCTGAAATAACACTTTTTAAAATAAAAAATCTAGAGACAAATTTTAAATATGAATTTTTATTAAAGTTCAGTAAAACTGAAAAAAGTCATCAGTTCCACATTCTGCTTTTTTAAAAAGTATCAATATATTCTACATGTGTAACATAAACCTTTATATTAAGAATTTTACTAATTTGTACTTTTGAGGTCTGAATTAAATATCAAGATGCAGTTTTTATATTATTATCTATACCTCAAGTAAAACTGTTAAATTTCTTGCATTTTTTCTGTAACATGTACATTAATATATGGTTTACAATGTTTACTTGTAGATGTAACATTAAAATAATCTTGGAAGAGTCACTGATTTGAAAACTGTCTATGAATTTATTCTGGTTTTGTTACTGTTGTCATTATCACATAATCTCAATTATTTTTTTTAGAGTTCTTCCCTGGAATCCAGCAAGACTATTTTGAAACTTCCTAGTCAAGTCAGTTGGCCCCTCTTTGTAAGGCCTTGTATGTGTGCCAATGCCAGGTTCCATACTACTTAAATAATAAAATTGCAAATAGGCCATGCACAGTGGCTCACACCTATAATATAGGCACTTTGAGAGGCCAAGGTGGGAGGATCACTTGAGCTCAGGAATTCAAGACCAACCTGGGCAACGTAGTGAGAATTCATCTCTACTAAACATCAAAACTGTTAGCCAGGTATGGTGATACATGCCTGTACTTTCAGCTACTCAAGAGGCTGAAGTGGGAGTATCGCTTGAGCCTAGGACGTAGAGGCTGCAGTGAGCTAAGATTGTGCCACCACACTCCAGCGTGGGCCACAGAGTGAAAGACTGTCTCAAAAGCAAATTTTCTAATTTAACTCTATGTGTACTCCAAAGTTGTGATGTAAAATGAAAAAAAAAAAGAAAATATTCACTAAATTATAAATTCGTTTTTAAATTTTATTGTAAATTTACAAATTATACGTTCATATACTTATGGGATACAAAGTGATGTTATAAGCACAATGTGGAATAATTAAATCAGGTGAATTAATGTATCCACCACCTCAAATACTTATCTCTTTTGTGGTGAGAACATTTAAAATGTACTCTTAGAAATTTTGAAATGTATAATACACTATTATTAACTATATTCATTATACCATGCAATAGATACTTTAAAAATATTCATTCCCCAGTATGCTTTGACTAACATCCCCCTATATTCCCCACTACCTAGCCTCTGGTAACCACCATTCTATTCTCTGTTTCTATGAGTTTAATTGCTTTAGATTCCACTTACAAGTGAGATTGTGTGGCATTTGTCTTTCTATCCCTGGCTTAATTCATTTACTGTTACTGCAATGTCCTCCATATTCATCCATGTTATTGGATGACAGAATTTTCTTTATTAAGGCTGAATAGTATTCTTGGTATTCCATTTTGTGTGTGTGTGTGTGTGTGTGTGTGTGTATGTGTGCGTGTCTGTGTGTACACACATATATGCCACAAATTGTTTATCCATTTATCATTTAATGAACACTTTTTGATTGGTTTTATAACTTACTTTAAATAATGCTGCAATGAGCATGTAGTATAGACATCTCTTCATAAGGATTTCAAATATTTTGAATAAATATCCAAAAGTGGAACTGTTGGATCATATGGTAATTGTATTTTCAGTTTTTTGAGGAAGCCTCATACAGCACTGCATAATCGTTGTGCTAATTTGCATTGTTACCAATGGCATGTAAGAGTCCTTTCTCCACATAATCACTAACATTTTTCTTTTGTCTCCACTTTTACTCCTCCCCCAACATTTCCTGTATTTGATGTCAAAATTTACATTATTTTGTAATATATATCCCTTGACAACTTATTTTAGCTATAGTTGATGTTAATAGATTTGAATTTTAACCCTCATACTAGAAATAACATTACTTTACAAACCATCATTACAGTCAAAATATTCTGAACAACTCTTATTATTTATATCATTGAGTGTTGTACTTTCAAATGTTTTACGTTATTAATTAGAGGTCTTTCTTTTTTTCAGCTTAAAGAGCTCCCTTTAGCCATTCCTATAAGCAGGATTAGTGATGATGAACTCCCTTAGTTTTTATTTGTCTGGAAAAGTGTTTATTTCTCCTTTACTTCTGAAAGACAGCTTTGATGGTAATCCTTGGTTGGCAGTTTTGGTTTTATCTTCACCACTTGGAATACAGTGTCTCACGCTTTCCTGGTCTTCAGGATTTCTGCTAGGAAATCCACTGGTAGTTGTGCTGAAACTCCTTTGTACACAATGCTTTTCTAATCTTTTGCAGCTATCATAATTTTTTCTTTATCTTTGAATTTTTATAGTTTAATTATTATGAATATTGGAGAACTCCTCATTGGGGTTGAGTTTGATTGGACACGCTTGCTCTTTCTGTACCTGGATGTTGGCAACTTTCTTTAGATTTGAGAATTTTTGTCATTATTTCTTTAAATATATTTTCTAAACCTTTTTCATTTCACCTTCTTGAACTTTTATTATGAATATGTTAGGTCTCCTGATGGTATCCTGCTACTCTCATAGGCTTTCTTTATTCTATTTTACTCCTTTGTCTCTTTGCTCCTCTGACTGGATAATTTCAAACATACTGTCTTCAAGCTCACTGATTTTTTCTTCCGCTGATCAAGTCTGCTGTTGAAGCTTTCTATTAAGTTTTTCAGTTCAGTCACTACTTTCTTTATATTTAAAATTTCTATTTTTTATTGTTTCTATTTCTTTGTCAAACGTATTTAGTTTATGTATTTTTAAAATTTATTTAATTTTTATATGTGTATATTCTTGTAGTTCACTGAGCTTCTTTTTTAATTTTAAGTTTAGGGGTACATGTGTAGTTTTGTTAGTTACATAGGTAAACTTGTGTCACAGGGGTTTGTTTATTTCATCACCCAGGGTTTAACCTAGTATCAATTAGTTATTTTTCCTGATCCTCTCCCTCCTCCCACCCTCTACCCTCCAGTGGGCCTCAGTGTCTGTAGTTCCCCTCTTTGCGTCTATGTGTTCTCATAATTTAGCTCCTATTTACAAGTAAAAACATGTGATATTTGGTTTTCTCTTCATGTGTTAGTTTGCTCACAATTATGACCTCTAGTTCCATCCATGCTCCTGCAAAGGACATAATCTCATTCTTTTTTATGGCTGCATAATATTCCATGGTGTAATATGTACCACATTTTCTTTATCCAGTCTACCATTGATGGGCATTTAGGTTTATTCAATGTCTTTGCTATTGTGAATAGTGCTGAACACTTACTTTCTTAAAGAGAATTTGTCTCAATTTTTGGTCAATCATTTTACAGCTCTCCATTTCTTGAAGGTCTATTATTGGAGATTTATTACTTTCTTTTAGAGATGTCATGACTTCTTGATTCTTTGTAATCCTTGTGTTCTTGCACTGTTGTCTGTGCATTAAAAGAGATAGCATCATTAAGAGTAATCATGCTCTCAATGGCTAACATCTGAAGAATGGGTCTGAATCTATGATCTTTCTACTTTTATAATCCAAGTCAGAGCTGCTTCACCTACACCTTTGATCAACTCCAGAAATTTTCTTAGATACTGCTTCAAGGTTTATTTTACTAACATGGAATTTTAATACATCCTAACTGTACCATTTATACAGGTAAACTGAGGGGGAGCCTAGATAAAATATGTTAGTGAGGTTGATTCATGAATGTATTTTACTCAATAGATGTGCTGCTGTTAAATTATTTTGATAATTCTGCTGATTATATACTTTTATGTTTTTATTTTTACCAGTATTTTTAAGGGAGCTATAGTAAAAGGCACATAAAATAAACACTATTTTGAGTGACAACATCGAGAAACAATTAAAATAATTCACTAGGAAAAGAGAAGTCTCAAGTTTATAGGCTGATTACATAAATATTTTAAATGCATCGATTTATTTAATACTATTTCACTATATTCATATTGTTACTTGCATCTTTACACTAATTTCTGTCTGATAATTTGCCTGAATATTTTTTAATCGTGTTGCAGTAGATATTTCATTAACACAGAATAAGGATGTTAATATCAACTTTTTTAAAAACAACTATTTGATTCAAAAAAGTAGAAAGAGTGTCAACCTACAACGTCTCACAAAATTAAGAAAACTGAACTATTTACATCAAGCTTGTCCAATCTGCAACCCACATGCTACATGTGGCCCAGGATGGCTTTGAATGCAGTCCAACACAAATTCTCAAACTTTCTTAAAATGATATGCAATTTAAAAATAATTTTTAGCTCATCAGCTATCATTAGTGTTAGTGTATTTTATGCATGTCCCAAAACAATGTTTCTTCTTCCAGTGTGACCCAGGGAAGTCAAAAGATTGGACACCCCTGGTTTGCATGGCCTGGGTATACATTTTCAGCATTATCATATGAAACATGGCTTCAATTGGTACATGTAGGCTAGCTAATTTGGACACTCAGCATATTAAATCTATTAACCCTTCTTAGAGAAAAACACTTTAAATAAATACTACAGTTATAATCTGTTTAATATCCACAAAATTATGTTTTCACAGGAAAAACAAAGGAAGTTTTTTCACCTGTTAAACAATAAAATTGAAATAAAGATACTGAATAGATGTGAAAATTGATTAAATGATCTGTAATTAAAAATTCTTTCAATGAGGCATGGTGCTCCTTTGCTTATTATCATTCCATTTCAGTCTAATATTTGCATGATTTTATAAACAAAATTATTGTTGATTCAAAGAAACATCAAAATACATTACTGTCAAAATTAGAAGCTAGTAAATGTTCTTTCATTAACTAGATCAATGTGTTTTAATTGTGAAATATTAACTCACCCTCCCATAATTGCCTTTAATTTTACAAAGATAGTTTAACAAGTACTTTCTTCCATAAAATACATTACAGAAATTAATAGTTATTATCCCTATATAGTATATAAACAGAAATAATACTCTTTATCTTTGCTTATTAATTCACGTTAGATAAGTAAAAATAGATATTTGCCAACTTTTCACTTTCAATATTAAACATAATTTGAATATTTCTCTCAATAGCTTGTTTCCTTAAAGATCATTAGAATAGATTATATGGTTAACATGTGGATTTAATTACTTTCAAGTCTCTTATGTTTTAAAAAGATTTATATACAACTACATTTTTGTCATTCTTTTACTTTTAAAAACTTTAATATATTCTGGAATAAAAAAACTGATATTTGAAGAATTTAAGAATCTCAATATTTTCTCAGGTATTTTAATTGTAAGTATCAGACCAAACTAGTCCAGTATAAAATGCCTTTCAATGAGTCATTGTTTGATCCATAACTAAAATTGTTACTTGGGCCTCACTCAATATTAATAATGAGATAATTAGTTACATTTTATTATTTATAATTATTTTACCTTTCTGAAGAAAGTCAGGGCATTTCATTGAAGTAATATAGAGATGTTCTTATATTTTATAATAGCAGGAAAGAACACAGAAGGTAACAACAAAGCTCTCATGAAGGTCAGATATCTGTCCCATGTTTCATAAATCCCTCTACTTAATGCATTCATATCTGAAATCCCTTATGGTATTCTAATTTTTCTTTTGACTATAGGACTTACCATCTTCTTATATACTGTATAATATACTTAATTATTGTGTTTATTGTTTATTGACTGCTTCTACCTCTATGATGTCAGCTTCTTAAGGAAAGGAACTTTTCTTAACTTGTACAATTGTTCTGAAAATATTTGAGATCTGTTCTGCAGAACACCATGCGCTAGTTATCAATCCCAGGGAAGGACTCCATACACTTCTAGCCATTGCATGTTGGTATCCACCAAGAGAAACAGCACAGTCAAGCATTGGATGGACAACACTTTATTTACATAGAGAAGTGACAGAGCAAGATCAATGTCAACTGTGTGCATTGTTTCCCCATGGCCAGGAGGGCTCATCCTTGCATCAGATGTATGCCAAATGGCCACCCACACCCCTTTCCTGTCACAGATTGATCCTGTGACTTTCCAGAGGAGGACAAAAGGAGCAATGGGGTTGGCCACGTGCCATGCCATGCACATGCTTACGTAGATACATTGAGGATACATTGAGCTTGCAATAGGCAAAGATAATCCCTCATAAGGTGATAAACCCAGTACAGGTCTTACGGGCTCCTTATCTCTTGGTAAGACAGGGTTCTAGGCTCAAGATCCATTCCTATGCACCCAAATGGGGGGCAGAGAATGCACACAGACTGTTTTTCCCTGCAACACTCATACGCAGAAAAGGAATAATGATCTGTCTTTAGTACCATACAGAAAACTAACTCATAATAGATCATAACCCTAAAGTAAAAACCTAAACTATAACACTTCCATAGAAAAATACAGATAAAAATCTCTTTGACCTTTAATTGTTGGGTGAAATTTCTTAGATTCCACACTAAAAGTATGATTTTGTAAAAAGAAAAACCTCATTACCATTAAGGAATTACGTTCTTCAAAATACACTCTTAAGAAAATTAGGGGAAATATGTAGACGGCAGGCTACATTTGCAAAATATATAACTGACAAAGAACTGATATCCAGAATTAACATAGAAATTTCAAATCTCAATTCTAATACACTATCCCCCCAAAATGGAAAAACTTTTGACAACGCACTAAAGAAGAACATAAAAAGAAACTCGACATCATTAACTAAGAAAATGAAAATAAAATCCATAACGAGATGCCATTACACACCATCATAAAGGAGGATAAAGAAAATAACAAATATCAAGTTCTGTTGAGGATGAAGAACAACCAGAAAGCTAATACAGTACTAATGTGGATTTATAATGGTACACCCATTTGGGCAAATGATTTCTGAGTCTTATATAAAAGTAATAATACAGTTACCTGATGACCCAGCAATTTCACTTCTACATATTACAAAATAAAATAAAACATATTCACATGAAATATTTTGCAAATCTTTATGATGACTTCATTTCTATTCACCAAATACTAGAAAATCCCGACGTAATTCAAAGGGTGTATGAATACAAAAACTGTTGCATATTCATAAAGATGGAATACTATTCAGAAATACAAAGACATGAATTCCAGGTACACTTATAATATGAGTCATTGTAGAATACTTTATGCTAACTTTATAAGCAAAATTCAGAAGGCAACATGAGAATGATTACATTTGTATGACTTTCTAGGAAAGCAAAAACTACAGCGGCAGAACACAGATCCGTGGATATCATAAGACAGGTTGGCAATCACTTTTGAGTGGTAAATTACCGTGATAGCCAGCATCCAAGAGAAGCTCAGTTATCATACTGTATTTCCTATTATCATGGTTGTGTATGATTGTGTTCGATTTAATGTTTTTATTTTACATAGGCATATGGCATGCATCATCACTGTGCATTTTGCTAAAAGTTAAAGCCAAAGACAGTATTTGATTTGTGACTTGAAATATTAGCTAGCAATGTCATAATGATTTTTTACGTCATACATGAATTTGGAACTATTTTGTATTTTTGTTTCAAATAGTACGGCTAATCCTTATTCCTGAGCAATAATTTCTGGATACAACCATTTTTTAATAGAGTCATCTTTCACTGTGTTCTTGAAGCACTATTGCAGAAAGGTCCCATCTGTGAATAAGCCTCTGATAGCTCCTGTCTAAGTCAGCAGAAAAGAATGATCAAAGCCAAAACCAAAAATCCATTTGTGGATATAAAAAAGTGAATTTTATAGAATACCATAACATAACCTCAGTTACTTCTCAGTGGTGTTTTGAGGATTATTAGGTCATTATGAAGTTTAAAAAAATACCTCAGGAAAAGTAGAACCAGTTACAATTTTGTGGCATAGGTTTTTAATAAATAATTTTTTAAAAAACTTTAAATGATCTCTTACGATGGTTGTAGTAGAAAATTTAACAGATACTGTAAAGGTAGAGCTCAAGAGATTTTGTTTGCTTGGGATTTTGATTATGATTTTGTTTCATTAAACTTTTATTCTTAAAAAGACCTTATACAAGATAGAACTTAACATTTCAAATTCAAGGGAAAAGTACATTATTTATTTAAACAGCTGTATTTGAGAAAAAAACTCCATAAGAGTGCAAATCTGAAAAATTGCATTATGTAAAAATGGGATGCATGTAAAATGGTTACTCTATTTTTAATTGTAACAAGAATACTTATAATGCATAAAATTTTAAACAGCATATACTATAATTTATTTAATATATAAAAATATTTACTGTCAAATTCAAAGTGCAAATGTAGTCATGAGGTGGACTATCAAACTTTAGAAAGCAATAAATTTTTAAGCATTTTACCCGTATCCATTTTATGCCAAGGGGTGATATGCTGATATTGAACTGGCTTTATCTTTTATTTAAAGCTAATTCCACAGGGTTCTCTGTAAAATAATTTGTTATTCTATATTAGTATTTTTCCAGGTGCTCTATAAGTTGAATTTAAATATTAAATTTTCAATCCAAACTTTCACTGCTTCTCACATAATGTGCTTTTATTCTATTATAAAACTTTTGATATTTATTAAGAATTTAATGCTCATTCGTGAGAGAATAGAAATTATAAAAGGTGAGAAAGAATTCCTCTTTATTGCTGTGGAATTCAAAATGGTATAAGCCATTTTGAAAAACAGGCATTTTCTTACAAATTTAAAACACAGTAATTTCACACAATTTAATACTCGTGCTCCTTGTGATTTACCCAACTGATTAGAAAACTTACATTCACACAGGAACATGCATGCGAGTGTTTACAGCAGCTTCATTCAGAATCACCCCAAACTAAAGTAATGTAGATGTCCTTCAACAAATTAAACTATGGCTTATCCATCCAATGAAATATTACTTATAGAAAAAATATATGCACAATTAAGCCACCACAAAGGGACATGAATCAAACTTAAGTACATATTCGAAACAAAAGAAGGCAACCTTAAAAGGCTATATACTACAAGATTTCAATTGTAGAATATTTTGGAAAAGACAAAACTATAAAAACGATATTTGAAAAAAGATAAGAAATTTTCTAGAGTTTAGAAAAAGGAGGCAATGTCTGAATATGTAAAGTGCATAGAATTGTTATGGTGGTGAAGCTATTCTGACTGGTACTATAATGGTGGATAAACAAAATTATACATTTGTCAAAGCCTATGGAACGTTACAGCAGAAAGAGTGAGCCTTAACTTATGCAATTAAAAAATCATGTACAAGGTCAGGGAATAACAGTTGAGAATACAGATTATGACAAAAGAATCTAAATATATTATAAATGCATGAAACAACTTTAATGAAGGCACGAGTGAAAGGTTCATATTCTAAGTAATGTTGGAAAAGAGTGGAATCTCTAAGACTAAAGGTAAAATAAAATGTACACGAGCAATGTAGTCTAGTTAACAAAGTTATTTCTCACAAGATATGGGTTAACAATTGTGATACCATAACCTGGAATTAAACAGTGTAGTAAATATATGGTGGGTGGTGAAAGCCAGATTTCTCACTGTCGGTAATGGGAGGTTACAGATAAGCAAGAGGAGGAGGCTGGAAAGCGTCATGCAGTAATGGATTAGAGTTGGAGACATCAGTATGAACACATATATTTAACTTAATATGGTTTAAATGGTCACATATAAATATAATTATAGATATCTGTATATACATGAGTTAGTATATACACATATATTTTCTTTCTCTTAGCTGAGAAGGCCTACAAGCAATGACATCCTAGTGACAACGAGCATACTGAAACACCCAGCTCTTGGTGTCTAATACCATTATCCAATAAAAGAAAATAGGGCTTTTTGGAGAAATGTATTTTCTGCCTCGGACTAGGCAGAAAATTTACAAGATGAGGCTGAGGCTGAGGCTGAGGCTGAGGCTGAAGTATCTTTTTTTTTTTTAGACGGAGTCTCGCTCTGTCGCCCAGGCTGATGCAAGCTCCACCCCCCAGGTTCACTCCATTCTCCCGCCTCAGCCTCCTGAGTAGTTGGGACTACAGGCGCCTGCCACCACACCCAGCTATTTTTTTGCATTTTTAGTAGAGATGGGGTTTCACCATTCACAGGATGGTCTTGATGTCCTGACCTTGTGATCTGCCTGCCTCGGCCTTCCAAAGTGCTGGGATTACAGGCGTGAGCCACCGTGACCGGTCTAAAGTATCTTTTAATGAGAAAGAGAGAAAGAGAGAGAGAGAGAAAGAGAGAAAGAAAGAGAAAAAGATGGATGGATTGAAGGAAGGGAGGGAGGGAGGGTAAGGGAAGGGAAAGGAAGGAAGGAAAGAAGGAAAAGAAAGGAAAGAAAAGGAAGGAAGGAGAGAGAGAGAAAGAAAAAGAAAAAGAAAGAAAGAAGAAAGAAAAAGAAAGAAGAGAGAAAAAAATAAAAAATGATGGGGTATGTCAGAGACACAGGAGCCAACTAAGAGCTTGTTTAATGTTCAAAGCTTGAAAAATTTCAGCAACATTATAAGTAACATAGTATTAGATTACACTGTAATGTATAAAATATCCATGAGTACATACTGATACATAAATAAATGACTTAATAAATAAATAAATGAGAAAAAATTTTAGAAGAGACAAATTTTCCATAAAGAAGTCCAACTAATTTATATAGGTACTCCACACTCAAGAAGTTGTAGATTTACCAACTCCACCCTCTTAAGTATTGACTAAACATAGTAATTTTCTTCCAAAGGCTAAATTATGAAAAGGGTGGGGGTGAAAAAGAATAATTTTTCATTGGATAAAGTTGACTAACCAACCTCAGCCAAATGATCAAGGTTAATATCATAATAGTAAGTGATGGTGATGGTATGTACTCTTGATATGATGTGTAAGGCACTTTACCTCTGTGGTCTTCCCAAGGAAACATAATTACTGTAAAATAATCAGAAAAACATCATACAAATCCCACTTGAAGGGAATTCAACAAAATGCCTATACCACTCAAAATTATCAAGGCCATCAAACACAAGGGTAATAAAGGAAACTGCCATAGTCAAGAGGAGACAAAAGAGACATGAGGACTAAATATAATGTCATATCTTGAAGGGGACCCTGGAACATAAAAAGGATAGTAAGTAAAAACTAAGAAAGTCTGAATAAACTATGAACTTTAGTTAATTATAATATGTCTATATTTGTTGATGTGGTAACAATATTAATATTGATTTTACTAAATGTCTCATGTAAATATGTTAATAATGGGGGCAACTGAGTATAGAGAACATGAGAACTCTCTCTATTGCTCTCCAAATTACTTTGTCAATTTGAAACTGCTTTAAAGTAAAAAAAAGTTTATTTTAAAAGGTAAGAAGAGACAAATAAAAGGGAAGTATGGGCCGAGTAAATGATAGATTTTGATCTACGTGGGCACCTTGAGTCATACATTTATTTCTAAGATTATGAACAAATATTATTAAAAGGAGTACATGATATCTGCTATATTAATTGATTCAAGAAGGCATATAATTTTCAGTGGTATGTATCTTGTTAAATTTTTCAAAAGGATAAAATACATTGGGGGACTAACAATATGATAGCTCTTTTCCACATTTTTCCCCAAATGGAAATGTAGGATATTTTATATAATTTTTGAATAAAAATGTGAAATAGCAATTACTCTTACAAAAACCTTGATCTAAAATTTTATATGGGAAAAACTGTAGATCCCAGAAAAAAAAAATGCTTAATGTAGTTACTTTAAAAAATGAGACCAATTTAAATTCAAGAAGATAAAAATAAATATCAGCATTTCAAATCAGAGATAAATTCTTACAGAAGTTGTGAATATTTTTATTAGGAAGAATTTGTTGCAAAAGAGATAAAACCATTCAAGTGAATGGGATTCATCATGAGTATACACTCATCACTGAATCTGAGAACTTTGTACAAGCAGAGAGTCCAGAATCATTAGAAGCTGGTATTCATGAAACATTTTCTAGTACTCCTTTTCCTACTTCAGTATTTGTTGCTTTCAGCACAAAACCATGTGCAACTTTTGTATACTCATTGGACATTTTAAAATATGTCATTTTAATGTTGGCTGTTTGGTCTTAGAGACCTCAATCATCTCTACCTGATGAGCTTTGCTTCAGTAGCTCCACTTGCCTTTTGTTACCTACGAAAAAGATTTTATTTTATTTTATTAAAGTAGTAGAGAGGAGATGGGGAGTAAAAGAGAGAATATGAAGACTATTACTACATTTCGGGAGCAGATACTTAAACAAAAGTTTAAGTGCGAGTTAATTATCCACGTAATAGATATGTTTGGAATCCAGATTCAGGTCCAGACTAAAGTCATGTTCTTTTTTCATTCAGAATGCATGATTTCCAATTCAATGTTGCCCATTATTAGAATAGCTTCCTGTTTCATCTGAAGACCTTCCCTCCTGTGGTAACTCATAAGATTCAAGAGGCATTACACAGTCCAAAATGTTATGTAGTTAAATTTTATTTACCTCTGAAAACAACAGTCTAGGGATGTACTCCAGGAGTCTCCAGATACTACCTTTCTTTGTGTAACAGCAAACTCATTTCCCATTGATAGCCAAAGTCCATTACCACAGACAACCCCCTTCTCAGATGTCTGTAAAAAGTCAGAGGAAACTGACTGTGTATTAAAGACTCTCGAGTTTCCAGTTTTTTTTTTTTAAATTTACACCTACATGACAGGTAAAAGCTCTGCTGTGTCTCTTTCCTTTACCATCAACCCTTACCCAAAGCTGTCCATAGCATACGGCTCAAACAGGCAAACTCTTGGTGGTGGGTGTTGGGGAGGTAGTTGTTCCAGAGAGCTTAGTTCTAGAAGAAAGTTCTTCTCTTTCTTTTCTGTGGCTTCCACATCCATCTGATGTCTAGTTGTCTCATCTGCAGCATTGGTCTGTTACAAATTATTCAATCTACAGAAAATGGAGATTCTAAAAGAAAAGAAATTACTAAAGAATATTCTGCATGAAAATGTATACAAACCATAAGCAATTCATGGATTATAACAAACAGCATAGCTGTGTAACCAACAGTCAAGAAATAAAATATTCCCAGTACCACATAGTTCTCTCCCCCGCTTCCTCCCAGTTTCTAGCAATCTAACATTTCTACAGGTAATCGAAATGTTTTCAGTTTCTTTATATTCAAACTCAAGGAATTTTAGAAGTGAAATAAGTTACATAGTTATGTGAATAAAATTGAACACTGTGCATTTTTAGTGCAGTTGGCTTCTTTATTCAGCATTATGTCAGTGAGATTCACCAAGCTGGTCGCACAGTGTTAAGTTTGTACATTTTTACTACTGTATAGTATTTTGTTGTATAAACATGTAAGATATTTTTTATCCATTATATGGTTAATGGATAATTTTTTTTCCACATTGGCTCTGTGAATATTCATGAACATATCTGTACACTGCTATGACTTTCTTACAACCTTTCAGTGCATCTACATAAGATCATTCTTTTCAGAGGCATGCTCTTCAATCCTTCAGCACTGACATTAACACAAGGTTTCTGCAAACAAATTATCTGTTTTCCATTTACTTATGTGGGCAAGAGGGGTAGTCTAAATATTTTGCCTTTATTTTGAAGAATTTCTTTTTCTGGAAATAGAATTCTGTGCCATGTCATGTTATTGACATCCCTAGATATTTTACCAACTATCTAATAAAGTGAACTATTAATATATGCTCAAGTAAGCTATCAATTACTACTAACACAAAATGAAGTTGTTTTTGAGCCTTAAGACAGGTTAATGACAGCTAGAATTTATTTTTCAGTGAAGTGCTGTATAAATAATTACTTTGGTAAAATACAAAACGTATTTTACAAAGTGACAAAATGTCATTTCCAGGAAAACTGGAAAATAATTAGACTTTTATTTGCTTTTACAAATTAAGTTATATTCAGTTATATATTAACATGAATTTTGTTCTTCTTTGTATTACGCTTAGAGGTATTTTGTTATGGTTTCTGTAAAATAATTAAAAACTTCAGAGAACCAGAAAGCCTGTATTTTGATTTGATAATTTGCTTTTTCAAATCAAATTACCACAACACTCATTTTTCTGTTGTAAAGTTGAATTGAGATGTATTAGAACTTTCATTTAAATTTAAAAATGGTTATTTTATGCAAATTAATTCATTTGATACGGTGTTCTTTAGAGACATTCACCAGATTGAAACTTTTCTTTTCATGTGAATATATTGTGTCCCATAGAGATAAGCTGACCTAAAATTATACATTATCAATTTATATGCTCTTTTTGTATTGAAATTGCTATACCTAGAAAAAAGAGGATAATAACAACTTTGTGTTAGGAATTTTTTGGTTTATCAAAACAAGATCCAAACTACATATAATATTACATTAAAAACAACAAACGTAACACTAACCCATTCGCTCACCTGAATATATTATGTATGCGAAACCATGGATAGATTTATCCTTAGGGATGGTTAAAACCCATGTGCCCAGACACTGGTAAAAATCATTGTCTCCTTTTTTTTTTATCTATGCTCTTTCTGAATATCACCTTCATTCACGAAAACTGGCTGTCCGAAAGAAACTAGTTACTCCTGGCTTACCTCCTTACAACTTCTAAATGAGAGTTGGCAGTTGTCTATAAATCTAACTAGAGTAACATCTAGAAACAATTCTAATGTCCCAGCTCATTATCTCTAGATCAATTGCTACATGTGAGTGGAGTATTACAATTGTTTTAAATGTGGCCAGCTGCCCATTTCCTAAGCCAGGGAGTAACTGATAAGCCTCAACAGGATCACATGGTTGGAATGAGAAAGAATTCGATTCTCATAAAGGAGGGAGGATTTTATCTGACTAATCAGAAAAAGAAATGTATACATATTGTACACAATAACTACTAATTACAGTATTTGCATTGAGAATTATCCTAAGGCACAATTACAGTTTCTACATTTAGAAATGGCTTTATGAGTGATTGAACTTATTTAAAATGACTGGGTAATTTTAAGAGGATCCTCTACCAGTAGACATAAAATCACATTAATGCCTGTGTTCCAATATTTCATATTTTTCTGTTTTATGCTCTTCTTTTATCCTTTTCTCACAATCACATTTCTTCCCCATTATCATGATAAATCTCAATAGAAATCTTGAAAATTGAATGAATGTCATGATAGTCAACTTACCATTGACTGTAATGATCAATAAGAACCTGACTTCGTAGTAAATGGACCTTTGAAAACATGGTCCTACCTGGCATGAGCACTTAAATATTACCTCTTTTGATGTGCCCAACAGGAGTATGATTTTATTATTTCTTTCCACTTCTGTCTACTTCTAGAACAGAGTTGTGAAGTGTCCCAGGTGAGTGCTGTTCCCATCATCTTACTTTGCCAATGACAGAAATGTGAAAATGTTAAAGAGGAGAAGCCAGTGGTGGGGAGGTGCGGTAAGAAAGCACTAAAGAGAATATGCAGCAACATTATGTGAAAAACTCATGCAAAGTGGAAGCCAAGATCTTGTGCCTACCCTGGAATGACCTTTCAGAAAAAGGCTGTAAAAGTCAGTTCACCTTTAATAATGACACATTACATGGCACACAATTTTGAAAAGACCTTCAAGGATGAACAGTGACAAAAGCCTATGGGATAGGTTAAGCTCAGCTGTCATCTCCCATGATATTTTTCTGCAGACTTGCTTTCCATGGTGAAGAACTGCATTAACTTATTTCATTGTATTCACATATGCTAATACAACTTTGTAGGAGCTGGGATATAGTCCCACACAGAAATTTTTATAATGAAAAGAGGCAATTTTCCATATTAATAAGATGCATAGTAAGAAAAATGACTTGCAGAAACTAATTTAATTTTGCAAGTTACTAGTGTTGGACATTTTTATTTAAACCTGAAAGATTATTCTGTAATGTAAGTTTATTAATTTAAAATGTAAAAGATTTCTACCTAAAAATAAGTTTTTAAATTAAAATAAATTTTTTCACAAGAAGCTATTCACTTATTCTCACTGGCTTAAGGCATTTTAAAAAATGAAAAAAAAGAGTTACAGACCCCATAAATGTATGAATGTAACAAAATATGAATTTAATTTTACCATGGGCCATATTATAGTTGTGGTTTAAAGAACATTATTTCAGAGGTTGGAGAAATCTGAATTTCCCTTGTATATTATCATAAATGTGCATGGTTTTTATCACCAGTTTATAAAGTGTAATTGCTAAAAGTGTCAGAAATTCTTTATATTTATGTCTGAACAAGTACGTTAATAGTCTATGTATATTAGGCAATGAAAAGGAATAAAGATGTAAAAAATAGCTAATATGGGTCTAAAGATTCTAGTATATAAAATTATATACAAAACTATAAAATGTCGTAGAAAAGTAATGTCCACATCATAAAATCCAAAGAATGCTATTCTAACCCCCCAGAATCTCATAACCAGTATTTACCTAAAAGTTTTTAACAGAGAAATCCATACACACCAAAAATGATACAATAATGACATATTTAACAGTAAACCTAAATTCAGATTTTTTTTTCCTTTTCAATGTGGTATTCTTATTGAGAGCTTACTGTATATTAAAGGTTTTATGTACATCGTCCCAACTAATCCTCATTTCAAAGAGAATTTATATTTTAATCTTCAATTCTGAGAAAATGAAATAAAGGCTTAGACAGACTAAACTGTTTCCCTCCCAGAAAACAAAAACAAGACTATTTAATGACTGGTTCTGAGTCCATTTTTCCCTAATTTCAAAGCTGATGTTTTTAACTTTTTACTGTAAATATTTCTACTGCTTGTATTCTACTTACATTTGATTAACATTGAACCTGAAACATATCCATAGAATATTCAGACACTGTAATGAAGTTTACTTTGCAAAACTCAAAATTCAGTTTTTCTGTCTCTTTGTAAAAGTTGAAACCCTAGTATTTGGCATCAATCTTTGGGAATGTTTTCATTCACACATGCATTTGCTTGTAAATCAATTAATAAAATTGTATTAAGCTCCAACTATACTCCAAGTTCTGTTTTTAGGTATATTTGATACAGTGGGAAAAACAAATAAACAACAATCCATGCCCTAGTGGAAATACCACTATGGAGGACAGAGATAGGCAATAAATTAAATAAATATATCATTTAAATGGTGTAAGATGTCATGGAGAAAAGTAATGTTTAATTATAAAAAGTGCGGCAGGCTATATTAGAATTGCAATTTTCAATAGAGGCCTTAGAGAAATCCTCACAAAGGAAATAAGCAAAGACACAAGTGTTATAACATAGGGAGTCAGGTGGATATCAATGGAAAGAGCATTTCAGACAAAGGGTCTACAAGTATAAAGGCGCTGAGGTTGAAATGTATGTGAAGCAGTCAATGAACAGCCAGGTGGCCAGTGGGGCTAGAGCAGAGAAAACAGAACAAAAAACGCTGGAAGATGGAGTTAGGTGGAAAGGATATCAGGGGCATCAGGCTTTGAATTGCAGCTTTACTTTGAATGAGATGAAAAGCCCTGGAAGATATTGACCAGAAGTGTGACATGGTCTGATTCAAATTTTTGAAGGATGGTGATCTGGTTACTCAGTTGAGGGGCAAGGGGAAAGGCAGAGAGATCTCTTTGGATGCTGTGAGGGTTAATACTCTGTCAACTTGGTTGGATTGAAGGATGCAAAGTATTATTCCTGGGTGTGTCTGTGAAGGTGTTGCCAAAGGAGATTAATATTTGGGTCAGTGGATTGGGAGAGGCAGACCTACCCTCAATCTGAGTGGGCACCATCTAATCAGCTGCCAGGGTGACTTGAATAAAGCAGGCAGAAGTTGAAAAGAGCATTCTGGCTGAGTCTTCTGGTCATCTTTCTCCCGTGGTAGATGCTTCCTGCCCTCAAACATTGGACTCCAAGTTTTTCAGCTATTGGACTCTTGTACTTACACCAGTGATTTGCCAGGAGCTCTCAGGCCTTTGGCAACAGACCAAAGGCTGCACTGTCGGCTTCCCTACTTTTGAGATTTTGGGACTGGAACTGGCTTCCTTGCTCCTCGGCTTGCAGACGGCCTATTGTGGGACATCACCTTGTGATTGTGTGAGGCAATTCTCCTAATAAACTCCCCTTCATATATACATCTATCCTATTAGTTCTCTCCCTTTAGAGAACCCTGAAAAAACAGACACAGAGGAATTAATACCCAAAACTTAATTTTGTACATTCTAAGGTTAAAGTACTGACTAAAATACAGGTAGAAGTATTAAATAGAAAATTGAATATAAAATCTGGAGCTGAGGGGAGATTTCTGGGCCAGACATACAGCTTCAGGGGCAATAGTTTGTGAATGGCATGTAAAGTCCTGAGATTGGGTGAGATCTCCCCCTAGACTGAGCATCAGCAGAGAAGGTCATGGGTTGTTCTTAAATAAGGTGGTCACTTGTGTAGATAAAAATAAATTATCAAAGGAGACTCAGAAGGAATAGCTACTAGGTAGGATGAAATGAAGGAAAGTATGGAGTGCTGAAAACCAATACAAAAAAAAATGTTTCAGTGAGGACTTAATGATAAGCTGTGCCAAATGTTGCTGGTTCATGAAGAAAAGTGGAGACTGGTAACTCAAGATTGGATTTAGTAAATAAATCTGAGTGTTGGCCTTGGCAAGCAGTTTTTATGGAATGATAGGGAAAATGTCAGAGGCAAGTGGATTTGAGGATTGGTAGGAGGGAAATTGGAGACAGCAAGTATACACAACTCTCTCAAGAAGTTTTGCTGTAAAAGAAAACTAGAGGGGAAAGTAAGGTCAAGAAAACGTTTTTGTTGTCATTGCTTCTTTGTTTGTTTTAAGGAAAAAAATCTTTTTTTTTTCTTCCAGAATTAGAAAAACTGAAGCTGCAGGAGGGATAAAGGGGAAATGCAGGAGACAGTTCCTTGAACAAGTACAGGCATGAAGCTGACCCAGGAGTGATAGTGTCTGCATTTATTGGGAGCACAGGCAGTTCCTCCTGTAAAAAACTCCAAGAAAATGTAAAAATATATGAGTGTAGGCAGAGAGTTAGATGTGCTGGTAGATACTTGCAAATGATCTCCTCTAATTCTTTAAATGTTCTTTGTAACATAAGAAGTGAGTTCATCAATTGAAAGGAGAGAGGAAGGGGTACTGGAATTTTAGAAGATGATTATTGGTGGTGAAATTATCATAAAGAATTATTAGAGAATGAACAGAAATGAGATAATATAACTGCTCATTAAGGTTTCACTTGAGAGTAAGAGGCATGAATGAATAAGCATTGGCAGCAAAGTAGTGTTTTTTCTAGCCACATTCTGATGCCAGCAGTGCAGTATAGAGTAGACTGAGAGATAGAGTTGCTGTTTTGTGAACATTGACTCCTAAAATTGCACTATTTATGGTTTGCTTAGAATAAAATATTTATGTTAAAAATTTTAAATAAATAGAAATGATTCCAAATAATAGAGTTTTTCTAAATCATTTTAAAATATCATATCTGAAAGTCTTGCTTGGTGGCATTTTCTGTTACACTCTATGTGTTCTCTCTCCATAATAGAGAAAGAGAAATTTACTCAATTGCTTTGTCAGAATCACTGGATCCCACCACAGAAAAACTACTATATTCATTTAGGTTATATTGTGCGATCCTGTTGCTGTGTTTCCTGGAGTATGTATAAATTCATGATCAATTTAACTCTTATTTTCAACTCTGTGGAACATGGCAGGTTCAAGTGAAAGTTCTAGGATTTATTTAAATTGAATATAAAATAATATTTCTTAATATATGTCCATTATACTTTCTTTTTTAAATTTCTTTTAAAAGAAAGGGGATCCATGTGCAGAATGTGCAGATTTGTTACATAAGTATATGGGTGCCATGGTGGTTTCCTGCACCTATTGACCCGTCCTCTAAGTTCCCTTCCCTAACCCTCCACCCCGCTACAGGCCCTGGTGTTTGTTGTTCATGTGTTCTCACTGTTCAACTTCCAACTATGAGTGAGAAAATGCAGTATTTGGTTTTTTGTTCCTCTGTTAGCTTGCTGAAGATGATGGCTTCCAGCTTCATCCATGTCCCTGCAAAGAACATGATCTCATTCGTTTTAATAGCTGCGTAGTATTCATGGTATACATGTACCACATTTTCTTTAGCCAGTCTATCATTGATGGGCATTTGGGTCGGTTCCATGTCTTTGCTATTGTAAATAATGCTGCAATAAACATAAGTGTGCAAGTGTCTTTATAGTAGAATGATTTATATTCCTTTGTGTATATACCCAGTTATGGGATTGCTGGGTCAAATGGTATTTCTGATTCTAGATCCTTGAGGAATCAAACATACTTTTTTCCACAATGGTTGAACTAACTTACATTCCCACCAACAATGTAAAAGCATTCCTATTTCTCCACAGCCTCACCAGCATCTATTGTTTCCTGACTTTTTAATAATCGCCATTCTGACTGGCATGGTTTTGATTTTCATTTATCTGATGATCAGTGATGTTGAGCTTTTTTTTAATATGTTCGTTGGCTGCATAAATGTCTTCTTTTGAGAAGTGTCTGTTCATATCCTTTGCACACTTTTTGATAGGGATGTTTGTTTTTTTCTTGTAAATTTAAGTTCTTTGTGAAGTGTGGATATAAAACCGTTGTCAGATTGGTAGATTTCAAAAATTTTCTCCCATTCTGTAGGTTGCCTGTTCACTCTGATGATAGTTTCTTTTGCTGAGCAGAAGCCGTTTAGTTAATTGATCCCATTTATCAATTTTGGCTCTTGTTGCAATTGTTTTTGGTATTTTGTCATGAAGTCTTTGCCCATCCCTATTTCCTAAATGGTATTGCCTAGTTTTTCTTCTAAGGTTTTTATGGTTTTGGGTTTTACATTTAAGTCTTTAATCCATCCTGAGTTATTTTTGTATAACGTGTAAGGAAGGGGTCTAATTTCAGTTTTCCGCATATGGCTAGCCAGTTTTCCCAGCACCATCTACTGAATAGGAGATCCTTTTTCCATTGCTTGTTTTTGCCAGGTTTGGCAAAGATCAGATGGCTGTAGATTTGTGCTGTTATTTCTGAGGTCTCTGTTCTGCTCCATTGGTCTATATGTCTATATTGGTACCAGTACCATGCTGTTTTGGTTACTGTAGCCTTGTAGTATAGTTTGAAGTCGGGTAGAGTGATGCCTCCAGCTTTGTTCTTTTTACTTAGGATTGTCTTGGCTATATGGGGTCTTTTTTATACCGTATGAAATTTAAAATGGATTTTTCTAATTCTGTGAAGAATGTCAATGGTGGTTTGATGAGAAGAGCATTGAATCTATAAATTGCTTTCAGCACTATGGCCATATTCACGATATTTATTCTTTCTATCCATAAGCATGGAATATTTTTCCATTTGTTTGTGTCCTCTCTTATTTCCTTGAGCAGCGGTCCTTCATATCCATTGTTAGTTGTATTCCTAGGTATTTTAATCTCTTTGTAGCAATTCTGAATGGGAGTTCATTCATGATTTGGCTCTCTGCTTGTATCTTGTTGGTATAAAGAAATGCTTGTGAGCTTTGCACATTGATTTTGTATCCTGAGAATTTGCTGAAGTTGCTTATCAGTTTAAGTAGGTTTTGGGCTGAGATGATGGGGTGTTCTAGATACAAAATCATGTCATCTGCAAACAGAGACATTTGACTTCCTTTCTTTCTATTTGAATACCATTTCTTTCTTTCCATATTTAATGCTTCTTTCAGGAGCTCTTGAAGGGCAGGCCTGGTGGTAACAAAATCTCTCAGGATTTGCTTGTCTGGAAAAGATTTTATTTCGCCTTCGCTTATGAAACTTAGTTTGGCTGGATATGAAATTCTGGGTTGGAAATTCTTTTTTTTAATGAATGTTGAATATTGACCCCCAATCTCTTCTGGCTTGTAGAGTTTCCGCTGAGAGTTCCGCTGTTAGTCTGATGAGCTTCCCTTTGTAGGTGAACTGGCCTTTCTCTCTGGCTGCCCTTAACAGCTTTTCCTTCATTTCAACCTTGGAGAATCTGATGACTACGTGTCTTGATATTGATTTCTCATGGAGTATCCTAATCGTGTTCTCTGTATTTCCTGAATTTGCATGTTGGCCTGTCTTTCTAGGTTGGGGAAGTTCTCCTGGATGATATCCTGAAGTGTGTTTTCCAGCTTGTTTCCATCCTCCCTGGCTCCTTGTGGTACTCCGGTCATTCATAGATTTCGGTCTTTTATGAAGTCTCATATTTCTTGTAGGCTTTGTTCATTCTTTTTCATTCTTATTTTTCCAGTCTTGTCTGCAGGCCTTATTTCAGCAAGGTGGTCTTCAAACTCTGATATCCTTTCTTCCCCTTGATCGATTCGGCTATTGGTACTTGTGTATGCTTCACAAAGTTCTTGTGCTGTGTTTTTCAGCTCCATCAGGTCATTTATGTTCCATTCTAAACTGGTTAGTCTAGTTAGCAATTCCTCTAACCTTTTATCAAGGTTCTTAGCTTCTTTGCCTTGGGTTAGAACGTGCTTCTTTAGCTCAGTGTAGTTTTTTTATTACCTATCATCTGAATCCTACTTCTGTCAATTTGTCCATCTGATCTTCTGTCCAGTTCTGTGCCGTTGATGGGGAGATGTTGCAATCATTTGGAGGAGTAAAGGCACTCTGGTCTTTTGGGTTTTCCCCTTTTTTGTTGTTGTTGTTGTTGGTTCTTTTTTTGTGAGTTTGTCTAGTTTTGGTCTTTGAGGCTGCCGACACTTGGATGGAGTTTTTGTGGGGGCTTTTTTGTTGTTGATGCTGTTGTTGTTGCTTTCTGCTTGTTTGTTTTTCTTTCCATGGTCAAGTTCCTCTTCTGCAGAGCTGCTGCAGTGTGCTTGGGGTTAACTTCAGTCCTTATTCATCTGTCACTCCCATGGCTGGAGAGGTCACTCAAGCACACTGGAGAACAGCACAGATGGAAGCCTGCTTCTTCTTCTGGGATCTCTGATCTTGAGGGACACCAAGCTGATGGCAGTAGAATTGCTCCTGTATAGAGTGTCCGACAACCCCTGTTGGAGGGTCTCACTCAGTTGGGTGGCAATGGGGAACAGGACCTATTTAATGAAGCACTTTGTTCCTTAGTAGAGGAGGTGTGCCTTTCTGGGGGGAAACCCACTCATCTGGGCTGACTGGATTCCTCAAAACTACCAGGAGGAAAGGCTAAATCTGCTGGGCCACAGAGACTGTGGCCACCCCTCTCCCTAGGGGTTCAGGCCCAGGGAGATCCAGGTTCTGTCCCTGAGCCTCTGGCTGGAGTTATTGGAATTCCTGCAGGGAATCCCTGCCCAATGAGGAAGGATGGATCAGGGTCAGGCCTGAAGAGGTCCTCTGGCTACAAACTGCCACAGTCAGTGTGTTGGGCTGTAGGGGCAAGTCTTGGGACCAAGCTGTCTAGTCTCCCTGGCTCCAGCAGGGGAAAAGCACAGCCTGGAGCTATAGAGATGGGTGTTGCCCTCCCCCTGCCCAGGGAGCTTAGCACGTTAGGAAGTTTTGAGACCCAGTGCTGACTGTTGCTCCTCCCTCAAGCAGCTCAAATGGCTTAGACAGCAGGCAGCGACAGTAGTGCTGCTTGCCCCCACCCCCTGTCCCCCATGGGAGTTTCATAGGTTTAAGCAGATTCCATCTGAGAGGCTGTTAAGAGTCTGCATGCTCCAGGGGTTGGGACCCCAGGCCCCAGTAGCATGGGTTTGTGAGTGGGATCTTCTGAACCGTGGGTTGCACAGTTCTGTGGAAAAAGCACTGTTTCCCTGTCTGGGTAGCACGGTCACTCACCACCTCCCTTGGCTTGGGGGAGGGGGCTCCCCTGCCCTGTGTGACTCTCAGGTGGGCCGCCACACCACACTGTTCTTCCCTCTCTCCATAGGTCATGTCAGCCTCCTAGTCACTTCTGACGAGAGAACCTGGACACTTTCATTGCCGGTGAAGGATTCACATGCTTATTATGTTTTTGTTTGTTTGTTTGTTTGTTTTGATGGCAGCTTAGGAACTCTGCTGTTTTCCAGTTATCTTGGCCCCGTCCCCCATTTTACTTTCAAATTTAATAATCCGAGAAAGCGCTGTGTATTTTCCCCCTAGCAAAGTTCTGGAGGTTTTCTTAGTGTTCAAACTCTAATGATATAGCAGAAATAATAATTTCTTGTAACAGACGTAAAAAAATACTAGCTGGCAGTAATGACAGGGACAGTCATGTACAATCACCATAAAATGAGAATGAACACTGTGATTTATAAGTGATATGGATTTCTTTTCCATAAAACTATTTCAAACTGGGAATTTTCATTCAATGTCTCTACATCCATTACTAGAAATTAAATAAAAAGCCTGACAAAAAAGTCCATCACTTAAAACCTCTGTTTTGACTGAACAGGCAATTCAAAGCTCTTAAGAAAATTAAATAGATGAACATCTCACTTTGGAAGCTGAAATTTTCAGTAAGAGACCATAAAATACAAATATTATTATCATGTGAAGTTTTTCAACAGCATTATGTACAAAAAATTTTGCTCAATAACTATTTTAACTTCAATTAGAAATTAAAGTATTTTCTCTACCCAAGATTTTATTTTTAATTGAAACAGGAGTTGGGAGCCAATGGCTGTCAGCAGGGCCCTAGTGGGGAAGTTGACAGTTAAACAAGGTACTTGACTACTGACCATTGGTTTTTCCTTGTATGAATTAACTTTCTAAAGCTACCTCATTACATGTGCAATGTAGTCACCTATAAACTGTTATATTGAGGATATATACTAAGGGGTGCATTTCTCTTTCTTTCTCTCTTTCTCTCCCCCTCTCAAGTTAACTTTGCCCTTTTCACTTTCACTTATAGACTCATAAATCCTCTCTCTCTACTCATTCACAGTAACTCTGTCATGAACACTGCCCATCAACTACAATAATATTTGAATAAGACACTCAGGTTCTAACTGCAAGGGTTTGTTCACTTAGTTTCTTACTCCTCTTTGGATGTTGAAGATTTTGACTACATGATGCGTTCTCTGGGTCTTCTCAATTGTCCTTTCATTCTAAGGGAAGCTTGCAGCTATAATATATTATTATTCAGCTTAGTAGAGACTCTGTTGTTATATATTTTCATTATTTAGTTATTCTTAGAGCATAAAAATTGGCATGTACCTCATTAGAAAGGGAGGAAAAAGTCCATAAAATGCTGACACAACACTATGATACTCAACAATCACCAAGATGTAAGGAAATTAAATCTATAATAATAATAGTTTTGAGTTTTAAATGTTCCATAATTTATGAATTCCTATTATAGACTTAATCTCACATAATCTCATGCACTTTTCAAGGAGCCTAGGTAAGCAATGAACAAGAAAAGCATACATAATATGTCAACCTCATTTAATTTGCAAAGCAAGGTTTTATATATTTAGATATAATCTTTAACTTTCCTAATTAAAATTGTTGTGATGAATATGAGTCCCAGAAAACTTTTCATAAGTGTCTTTAATAAAGCTAATATTATAAAATATTTTATAATAACATTATTGCATCAATTACTTTTTGATATGTTTGTTTTGTCAGTCAATAAAATACTTATATTTTGACATTTATAACTAATACCACAGCAAGTCATATTAAATGAAGCTTTTAAATGGTTTGAATTTCATTTAATAAATGAAAAATTCACCAAAACCTAAGATAATTATAATATATGAAAATTTACAGAATTCTTAGTAGACCAACACAATGATTGTATATTTTTTTCCTCCAGAATGAGAGCCATTGCTATATATAGTATAGATATTTATGTATGTTTTCTTGTATTTTTCATGAGAGAATTACATTTACTATATAACTTAATGACAATTTGTTTTGTGAAAATTTTGGATATACATCTATAGGAAAATAATTTTTAAAACTAATTAATTTGAAAAGATTAAATATTTAAACCTCTAGATTCAGTTGTGCAGACATTTTCTCTCCTTCTCCTTTCCTCCCCCTTCTTTCTTTCTTACTTGTTTGCTTGCTTTTTTTTCTTCTTGTAACAAAATTGTTAACTTTCTCTGGCTCCCATTCAACCAAAACAAAGGAAAAAAAGCCACTGTAAAATAACTGCAAATTTTTAAGTTTAAAACTTTATAAGATTACTTCAGGCTTCCTTTATTCCTCTTCTAAATTATTTTCTTTCTTCTGGGTGGTATCTGGATACGAGCAAAGAGGAAAGTATTGTCATACCATGGCAGCTACAAGGAGTCTTCAATCTGTGTTTTCCCCTCAATTCTCCTGGCCATTCACCAGGAATGGAATTGACTGAATGGAGCTTTTTGATGTGTGTTGACATCTACTACTTCTGTCTGACTCCCGCCATTGCCTCTTGTTACAAAGTTCTGTCATTTTGCATCCCAGATCTCTTCAAGTTCATGGAGTCTATAAGCAATTTCTTGAACTCGAAGGCACATATGGGAAAACCTTGGTCTGGCCCAGTTAGCATCAGTGGAGATGGGGCCCACATTGCCTCTCACAACTTGAAGACACCATGCCACTGAGTCTTCTCTGTCACTGCTGGACATCATTCATATGGGTAACCCTACCTGGAAGCCTCCCGCTGGAGGCCCAAAGAAGAATTGGGAAAAACACCTATTTTCAGATTTTTTTTACAAAGTGTCTGAGTTTCTATTGCAATATTCCCATCCCTGAGGCACCACACAGGTTCTGAAGCACTCGGGACCTACCTAACCATAGCTGGGTATCCTCTGTCTGACCCCAGAATATATTTCACCTGTTTTTTATTTTGTTTTTTTTTCATGGGAACCTGACATACATTAGTTACCACATTATTCCTTGCCACATGCTATAGTATATTTTGATACTCTCAGTGCTCTAGGCTTCCAATGTTGAGTATTTAAAAATTCACAAAATTACTGTCCATTTAAGAAAGTCACATTCTTGAAAATAAAAACCTTGATTTCAGAATGATTTTCCTAAAATTAAAAGCCAACATTATGGTCTATCTTATCTGTCCCTGGTTAGACCTGGCTGGACCTAGCTGACCTCCTTAGGCATGACTGATCATCACTTTTGTTGGCAGAAAGAACAGCCAGACCAGGAAACTAGATCAGAAATTTTATATAATCCAAATACATATAGAAACTTATCAACATATTAAAATATGATACATTTGCTATTCATTAAAACTTATCAAGTTTCTATTAAAATTTTGTCCATACATTCTAAAAGCACATTTTCTCCCCTTAAATAATTGCTCCCAGACCAAATAAAGATATTTGTTTTTACTTTTGATGAAATAAAATTATCCTTAAACCACAAAAGTAATTGTAACTTTGCTTTCTGGCTAGACATTTCAACTAAACTGTTCCAGATAGCTGTGTTTGTTACAACCCTGAAAAATACAACCTGCTGTGTACTGCTATTCCATCTCCTGCATTTCTCTTCAGCTGTGACAAATGAACTTTCTTTGACCACACATTGTAGCTTTCATTGTACAGTTAGATTGTGTCTACTAACAGCATCCTCCTCTTTTTCCAATCCTAAACTTATAAACTTTACAAATATTTAATTTGCTTAAATATGTGCTAGGAGAGCAGAGGTAATTCTAAGTAACATTCAGACATTGAAAGCAAGCAAGAGGCTATTTGTGTACTAAAAATAGAAAGAGGAGAAAAGGCTCTTCATAAGGTGAAGGTATCTTCTTGCACACTTTGTGGTCCCTCAAACTTTGCCATGCATGCACAAATGTTCCCTCAATCATAGCTCCACCCTCAGTCTTAAACAATATGTCTTCTACTGAGAAGATTTAGAATACTTTGATTCCAACAACTCCTGCAAATTATCTTCAGTGACATCTGAATTGTTTAAGGTCTTCATTTAAAGCAACAGCATCAAGTAAAACAAAACAACAACTCCAAGACTTTCCTAGTGCTTTTAGTTGTTGTTTACCAGCCATTAACAAACAAATATTATAAAGCTGATTCCAGCCTAAAAGAAATTTGTAAAAGCATTTGAATCCTAAAAGCATAAAAACACGTTTGTTACTTGAACTTTATTATTTAAACTTCACATTATCTTAGCCTTTGGGAGATACACCAATAGGGATACAGATATCTTTATCACTTGCTTTGAAAAAGTAGTGAATTAGTTATTCCTACTATGGGAAAAATATTAATTTATGAACTTCTTCAAATTAAGTGCTAAGGGAATATTGTTGACAGATTGTCATTTTTATTTTTGCCAGGAAATAAAAATAAAATCCCTTCTTTGGAACAGGAATAATTTAACCTATTTGACTTAAAAAAAGGAAAAAAAAACTTCATTATATGAAAGTTGTTTATTTTTTAATATATAATAGAATCTTTACTTTCAAAATGATAATAATCGCTACAGTGATGTTACTTGCCCTAGACCAGTAATTATTAAACTTTTTGTACTCAGAAATTTGTTATAATCTTTAAAATTATTGAAAATGTCAAAGAAATTTTAATGTGGGTATATCTAGCTATATTTACCACATTAGAAGTTGCAACAATTATTTGCTATATTTATTTTTAAGTCATTAAAAATAAGAATAAGCCAATTATGTAACATATTTAATATGTTTTATAAAACTTGAAATTTTTATAATATGTGACTTAATAGAAGCCAGCTAGATTCTCATGCCTGATTCTGCATTCAGTTTGTTGTGCTATCACTCATAGTGTCGTTTCTGAAAAACTCCACTATACACTCATGAGAAGATGGGAGTATAAAAGGAAAATAATACAATGTGACTTATACATATATGTATCTTCTTTAAAAGCAAAGGCTCCTATGCCTTTGTATTTTCTCAAGGACCCGCTTAACATACCCACGCATATAAGTAAGTGATAGTACAAGCAATTTGGGGTGTCTGCAGCACAGAATATTCAAATTGGGACACTTTATTCAAAAGCTGCTAAAGCTATCTGTGTCAGGAGCTTCCTGAAATGTGGGAAAATGCAGCCATATTTCTTCTTCCAATGAAATAACTGTCCATAAATAAAAAAGTACATATATGTATAGTATACAAATACACAAATAAATATCTTAGATGATAAGAGATAAAGCAAAGATCTCTCTGTATCTTAGGATACCTGCTTTAACTGCTCTTCCTCCAGACAGAGGACCAAGCTGACTACCTGGGACCCACAATGCTTAAATGCCATCTCCTCCAGCAGAATGCGTGGTGGCTTCACAACTTGTTTCTTCTATTTGCTTCCTTTGCAATTGCCTGTATCTTTATAGCAATTATCACATCCCTGTATTCATTGTCTCTTTCTCTTTCTCCACCTTGCTATTTCTCTATCAAAGGCAGGTATTATTAGTATAGACTTCATACATTTCATTGAGTTTGGGGGTGTTTTTTTTGTTTGTTTGTTTCTTTTAACTGTTATATTTAGCTGTATATATTTATATTTAGTCTTCTGTATTAGACTCAGACTTAAGGGACAGGATTTTTTCCCTTTCCTTTATGCTATCTTTTGTGTGCCATTACTACTGCTGCTTCTCTCTGAATTTCCACCAAAAGTTAATATAATAATGTAATACATTTGCTCTCTGGGCACAACTGTTATTGATCTGTTATTAACAGATCAACAAAGACTGTAGAAGCTTAACCTGGAAAAAATTGAATGAGTCTAGTTATAATTTAAAGACTAACATTAAGAAACAAATTACTTTATGTGCATACCAGTTAAACAAATGTAATGCTTATCACAAAGAATGCTAGATGTAGAAATTCTCTAGTAGTGAATTTCTGATTCAGAAAGCTAAATTAGGGAAACATTAGGGAGTGATTCAAAAAACATAGCTGATTGGAGATTAGTAAAATATAAGTGAGGAATTCACAGTCACATTTATATGTGCTTGGCTATGTTTTTTGGCCATGCTACTAGAAGAGAACTATAGACTTTCTCTCACTAACAGCTAATAATTGAGTTGATTTAGAATGTTTTCAAAATCCAACTAGGGTATAATTTTGATTACTGAAAACTTGTGAATGTTTTAAAATATCTATATTTATGTGTACTAAACAGAATAATTTTCACTAATAAAAATATTGAATTCCTACTTCTTTGAATCTGCTTACATTTACATATTGTCATTGATAAAACTCATCACTATAATGTTTGTTATAAAAATAAATCTCTTCAGTTTTGATATAGTTTATGTTTCAAAGTAAACATTCCAGATTAAGGGCAAAGGTATCTTTAACAATAACTGGATGTAGAGAAGTATGTCCATTTCTTCCTTGTGTTGTTTTCCTTGACTGTCTTTGAGCGTGCATGTGGATGTGTATTCATGTATGCAGGAGAAAAGGCCATCAAAAATTTAAACCCACTATATTAACATATCAGAATTTGAA
This sequence comes from Homo sapiens, assembly GCF_000001405.40. Lineage (NCBI taxonomy): Eukaryota > Metazoa > Chordata > Mammalia > Primates > Hominidae > Homo > Homo sapiens. The sequence goes on along the minus strand of NC_000004.12, from coordinate 170,933,608 downwards.
GCACAAATCTTCCAGAATGTTATTTTTATTTGCAACTGCACATGGATCAATGAGAAGCTTTTGCCTACTCAGTGCATTAATGCAACCTTGGATCAAGACAGTGGGGGTTTATTTAATAAATAATGCTATAGCTATTTTATTATCAGTTTAATAATTAACTAAGCTTTTATATTCAGAGTGTCTAACTTTCATACAGAACACTAGGCAACATCCTGCATAACATGATCACAATCACTATAGCTATTATGAATTAACTAATTTAATGCTTCTCCTTGATTTTTAAAGAAAATTAAAATATTCCTCACATTAAGTAATTTGAGTTCTTTGCTTTTCTGAAACATGATGACATTCTAGAATATTCTTAATCATATGAAATATAGTAATACATGCTTGTGAAATGTTACAGAATTAGTTACAGAATGTTACAGAATTAAAATTTTTAAAAATTAAAAGTTGTATATTAAGATTTCTATTTAATATTTTTTTACCTTCTGGCATTTAATTGGTTTGTGGTCCTTAAGGATATTGTATTATTTTTAAAATTATAATACAGTAAAGTTGATTTTTTTGGTATAAAGATTTTGAATAGAAATGTGTAACAATCACCAAAATTATGAGTTTTCTTCTAACTCCTAGGTGCTATTTTTTATAGTCATATCCTATTCCTAAACCTAAACCCAACAACTATTCACCTGTTTTCCATCCCTATTGATTTTTTTCTTTTTGATAATGTCATATAAATGGAATCAAACGCATTATAACCTTTGAGACTGGCTTCTTTTACTCCACATAATGTCTTTAAAACGCAACTAAGTTGTTGCAGTCATTAATAATCCATTCTTTTGTACTGCTGAATAGTACTCCATTTTGATATAGAATACTTTGTTTTCCCATTAACTGATTGAAGTGCACTTGGGTTGTTTCTAGTTTCTAACAATTATGAATAAAGCCACAATAAACACTCACATATAACAGAAGGATGTTTTGTCTTACTTTTTGAGTAGTTTGATTTTGCCACATCTATTCAATTATGATATGTCTTGGTGTAGATTTCTATGGGTTTATTTTGTGTGAGGGTCACTGAGCTTCTTTAATCTCTAAATTTATATTTTTCACCAAACTTGGGAAGTCTCAGCTGTTAGTTTTTCAAATATTTTTCCACACCTTATTTTTTTTGTCCTGCAGTTAATTATACAATTGTTATACCTTTGGCTATTGTCCCGCACACCCCTGAATTTCTGATCCTTTTTGAATTTATTTACTTTTTTTCTTTTTGGTTCAGACTGAATAATTTTTACTGATTTATAATCAAGTTAACTGACTTGGAAGCCTGAAAGCCTTTGCAGTGGTATTTGAATCTGCCTGCATGTCCATCAGCCAGTGGCCAGTCTGGGAACTGTGCTGTGGTCTGCCTGTTAGTTCCATTCTCCATGTCTTTGATATCTTATTATCAATTAGATACATGCTTTGAGGCTAGCCCTTGAATGTCCATAAATTCTTCCTAGGGTCTTTTGCCTAAGCTCCTCCCTTTCTGTCCTCTGTGGCTCTTGTTACTCAAGGGCTCCCCATATTATTTTTCCAGCCAAAAAGTTGGAGTTTATTTACCTTATTTTATTGTGCATTTCTGTGATCGTGCCCTCTTTTGTGGGCAAGTAGCAGGAGGACAAAAAAAAAAAAGAAAAACAAAAGAGCAACAACATTTCATAGATCAGTGAGAAAGATTCCTTATCCTCAGAATTTAGCTCCTATGGGCCATAGGATTGCGTAGGGTCTAGGATACAATCAATAATAATAATAATAAATTTTAAAATTAGGAAGAAAATGGAACATTTATGCACGCTCTCTGGGCATTAAGAATTTAATTCTTTCTCCTCAATCAGAAATAGAGGGCTGTTCCCAGAATTCCTTCTATGTGTGCTCAACGCCACCTTCCATGTTCTTGGGTCCACTGCATTCAGGCTGAGGATAGCAGAAGGGAAACAAATGGTAAACTCAGTGTGAATTTATGGGTACTTTGCATTTGAGTCTTCTCCAATTCATCTGCTTCTGTTTGTTTACTTCTGAGATTCCTCAAATAGCTGCTTCATGCATTCTGTCTAGATTTTATAATTGAGTTTGGTAGACAGAAAGGAATGTGAGTACTAAATCTCACACACAACTAAAACTATTTTTATTACATGATTAAGATACATAGCTATTAACAAAACGAATATGTTCAGACCATAGCCTGTCAGACAGTAATATGATATTTTGTCAATGAGTGTCAAAATTCCTCTTCAAGTTAATAGTGGTATTAAAATAAAGTGTTAATGTTGAAAAGTGTTTTGGATGTTCATATATGTAAAATTATGTATATGTGCATATATATACATATATGTATCTCTCTTTATATACATATGCATGTACGCACACATACACACACATACACAAATGCAAACCCTTTTATGGGGACAAATGAAAATCTGCTACATTTAACATGCTGCATTGTCGAATGTGACTTTTACCATCATAAGAAACAAGTAAAATAATAAAAATAAACATGTTTCTTTAAATTACAAGCATTAGCAATTCTCTATATAATTATTTATACGTGCATTGGGAAAACAGAAAAAATATTTTGAAAATGTTTTCCATTTTTTAATTGTAAAAGGAATTGCAAACATACTGACAGTTACTGCTATTTTGATATGGTTTCAGATGTAACCAAACAAATATCTATCTTTAATTTTTTGAAGAATGAATCTATATAATTTAATGGCTGACAGTAACGTATGCAATCTGTCAGATTTTGGTCATTTATTTCTGTCAAACTATCACTAGTTACTCACTATTTATATGGAAGATGAAGATTATCATTTAGATCTCTTTTCCTAAATAAATCATATTCTATTATAATTAAATGATAAAATACCCTTTTATAAATTTTAATGGTGAATCATTTTTAATATGCTTCATTTACATTATATTTTGAAACATATTACTACCACAAATTAGAGATGAATCAAACAGATAATGATGAGAATAATCAGTATATATACTAAAGCAGAAGCAGCACTTAGATTTTCAAAATTAGTGGAATTGGGTGTCTTTTTAAACAGATGTCTATAAATATCATAAATAATGAAAAAGTCACCTTTCCTTTCTCATTCCTTTTATAAATTATTAAAATAAGCTTAATAAATCTACTATAAAAAGATAACAGAAAAAAATAAAAGAACTTTAATCCCTTTTATTTCTGCCCAGGAGACCATAATGAACTTCACACAAGATAATACAATTCTAATCCTTCTGCAAAAATGTTCAACCTTATAAGATGTCAGATTCTTTCCAGCCTTATCAATATTATCATACATCACATATCTTGTAAATTAATTATTGCTCATGATTTCTTTTAGAAAAGTACTTAAAAATTCAGATGGGTGTTCTGTGGAATCAAAACTTGGTCAGCCTACTCTTCCATTGTTAGCTCTTTTTATTCAAAAGGTAACCTCTGTAACATTCACACTCCTCCAGATGTTTCTGGGGCTGTGCAACTTGTAAATCTTTTTATGATGATTTTCCTCAGACTATCGGTCAAAGTTTCAAGACAAGAAAGACAAAACATTGTAGGCATGTTCGATATCAAGGTATTTAATGTAGGGTATTAAATGCCTAAGAAATTTCTGGGAACACTAAAGGAGTGAAAGTCAAGGGAGAGCTGCCAGTATGGCTGATATAAAGGACACAGAAAAGTCTAGAGGTAGGAAGCTGTTGCTGCCGCCACTGCCTCTGCTGCCACTGTTCCTATGGGCATGCAAAGAAGAATGAAAAGCATAGAAATATTCTTTTATTTTTGAGACGGGGTCTCACTCTGTTACCCCGGCTGGAGTGCAGTGGCACAATTGCAGCTCATTTCATCCTCAACCTCTTAGGTTCAGGTGATCCTCCCACCTCAGCCTCTGGAGTAGCTGAAACCACAGGTGCACTCTACCAAATCCAGCTAATTTTTGTATTTTTTCTGCAGACAGGGGTCTCAGTATGTTGCCCAGGCTGATCTTGAATTTCTGAGCTCAAACACTCTGCCTGCCTCGGCCTCTCAAAGTGTTGGGGTTACAGGCGTGACCCACTCCACTTGGCCAGAAATATTAAATCTAGAAGCTGCAACTGCTTCTAAACCCTGCTTGTTGAAATCACTTGCTAGCCAAAAGTGCAGCAGGAAAAATCTGGTTCCAAATCTGGAAAAGTACACTAAGATACTGTCTTTCTGCAATGTATCCTTAATGAACATTATTTAAGACTTCATTCATTGAAACGAATTTGCATTGCATTCTAGAGCCCTAGCTGTAAAGTAACCTAGAAAATATAAAGTTGAATTTTCTATTCGTAGTTTTATGGGAGAGGACAGAGAAGACAGAAATTGATGTAAAATATAAATCAACATATCTAACATACATGGGATATTTCTATTAATGTCAAATATTTATGTCTTTCAGCTAAGTTGAGAGAAATATATTAAACTATTCAAGCAGGAGAATACTTACGGAGTTACAGGAGTTTTCTTAAATGAAGTTATTAATTGTATAAAGTTATCAGAATTGGGGTAGTGAGAATTTTGTTTGAATTGTAACTCAAGGTTCAAAATATATTTTCAAACTGAAAGGAATTAATAAACAACCAAAGAACATGAGATGAAGGAAAAAGGAACATTATGCCACTCTTTTCATCAACCAGGCTGAATTGTTTGAATTTTATTTTTATGCTGTTGTTTCATAATTGTTAGAAGCACTAAGCTTAAAAAAATAGTGTGTTAAAGAAAAGATTTACTCAGTCGGATTCACTAATGTAAATATGACTGATACAGTATAATATAAAGGATGTGAGAAATATTTAATATTGTACATATATTTTTATGATACAGCTAAAAAAGACAAAACATGGTTTTTGAGGTTTTAAACCAAATGATGGTAGCACATTAACCTATAATTTCACTGTATCTGAACTGCTTGAAAAGTTTTTTTATTTTTTAAATCTTATTGCAAAGTCAAGTGTGTTATTAATTTAGACAAATATAACTCATATTTTATAAAAATAAAATTCTGCTAATCATTTTGAGATAAACTTTCTAATCTGACAATCACAAGTCCTTGTGAAGCAGTTAAATAGCAATTACTGGCTTCATTTTATGTAAGACTCAGAGAAGTTTTAAGATTTGCCGAAGCTCACATAGGATGAAAATTAAAGCCCATTGCAACTTTCATAAGACTATCATAAACTCAGTAAGATACTATCTTTCTGGAATGCAACCTTAATAAACATTATTTAAGTTCAGTGTATTTAGTGAATTACATTGGTTCTAACTTCCAATGCAAACAGTCTTAATAGATTCTTTATTGTAAACCAAACATCTAGGTTAGACTAGAATTCTTTTGCTTTATTTATGTATGCACTAAATATTATCAATTAAATATCATCAAAACACTTCGTAGCATTTATGTATCTATTTATGTGTTTTGTATGTGGCATAAAATAAATATACTACACATGCACACACATGAAATTCACACACACTACACACACACATATACACACATATACACACACACCCCTCTCAAAAGGATTACAAAATCATTCCTCTGAGAAAAAGATGTTTAAGTATCTGCAAAAAACAGTAGTGGTTTTATAGGAGGGGCATGGTTTTGAGGCGTGGCATTCACCTAATAGAGTTGAGTGAAAGAAAACAGGTGGGAACACATAATGAAAGAAAACAGGTGGGAACACATAATGAAAGAAAGGACAATTGTTATGTAGTAAATTGCAGGTCTCTTGCTATTTGTCTTTGTGCCTTTAAGGTGGCATGAAATAAGAAGGCTGTGGAATGACTTAGACCTAAATGGGATTTAGATGTATGTGAAAGCAATGGCCGACTACAGAAAGAGACGGGATTGAGAAAGTTAGTGGTGAGGTGAAATCACGGTATTCTCTTATTAAATTGCGTGGGAAAGGAGCTAGACCACGACATATGGTCAGATTTTGTTTTCTCAGATGGGGTATGCTCTACTTTTGGTCTTGTTGTCACTGTATTACACCTTGGTGAAGCGTTCTGTGTAGCAGTGTATACATTTATATAAAACACCCAAGTGGAAATAATATTTTGAGTGAAGCATTTTCTCTAGATTATTTCAATAGTCTGGTTAAAAGGAAGAAGAGAGGCCGGGGCGCGGCAGCTCACGCCTGTAATCCTAGCACTTTGGGAGGCCGAGGCGGGGGTATTGCCTGAGCTCAGGAGTTCGAGACTAGCCTGGGGAACACGGTGAAACCCCGTCTCTACTAAAAATACAGAAAATTAGCCGGGCGTAGTGGTGTGCGCCTGTAATGCCAGCTACACGGGAGGCTGAGACAGGAGAATTGCTTGAACCCGGGAGGCAGGGGTTGCAGTGAGCCAAGATTGCGCCATTGCACTTCAGCCTGGGAGACAGAGTGAGACTCCGTCTCAAAAAAAAAAAAAAAAAAAAAAAAGGAAAGGAAAGACAAGAGACAGTAGTGAGGGAGAAAGAGAAATAATCCATCCATTTAACTTCTCATTTTTTCCTCTAATCCTTCTTACATTATCTTGAGGTGATTAAGTTCATCTGATTATTTTCTAAATGGATTCTTTCAAAAATATTAACTGCCTTAATTTGACCCTCTGAGGACATATATTACATATCTTTTTCTTGTTCTTTTTTCTTTTCATAGCTGGTTTTATTTTAAGAACTGAACCACTGATTATACTTACACTTAACCCTGCTAATGTTGTCTGTATCTCAACTCACTGGAATATGAATTAACAAAATTAGTTGTGTAAATAGTACATTATTTTTCTTTTGTTATTATTGAATAGCAAACTATTTTAGTAAAATTGACCATTCATGTATTAATTTAGAATAATCATATGAGAATTCATGCCATAAACCTCTGCAGCTACAACATTCCATTTTCCTCCTGAAGTGTTGTAAGTTGAATTGTGCTTTGATTATTCCACTCATTTTAAACATACTTACCCTGTATATATCCCTTTTTCTCCTATTAGTTTTATTTACATTGTACATGAACATAGTATTATTTAATATGCTATTGTGAATTAGCCATTAATTTTCTGCTATTTTCAGCATTCTGCTAGTGGGTTATAGATATGGTAGTCACTTTGTATTTCATACACTATGACATTTTGATGTGCATGAATCTGAGCATGATTATTATAATGAATACAACTATATGAATGCCGCTAACTTTCATCCATAATATTCTATGAAGATTTATTTCCTTGTTCTATATGTATATAAATTTATGGAAGTGACTGCCAACAAAAGGAACAGTTTTTATAAGAATAATCCCAGAGTGGGTTAGATAGTGTAATGTAGGCACAAGGACAGACAAATAGAATCCAGAAACAGTCCTACATATATATGGGCACTGGATTTATGACAAAGGCATCACTGTAATAAAGGGTAATTGTATCTATTGGATATACGGTAAAAATAAATATTTAATTCTATGTCACACCTTATAAAATAAATATCAAATGGATTAAAAATATTACATAAAAGTAAAGATTGAGACAAAAATATCTTTAAAAGAAAATCGAATATCTTTATTTTTGAAAAGCAATAATTTATTAAAAGGCCACTGAAGTTACTAAATATAAATTAGTTAAATTAGGCCAGGTGCGGTGGCTCACAACTGTAATCCCTGCACTTTGGGAGGCCAAGGCGGGCAGATCATGAAGTCAGGAGTTTGAAACCAGCCAGACCAACATGGTGAAACTCCATCTCTACTAAAAATACAAAAAAATAGCTGGGCGTGGTGAATTTTCACTATCAATCATTAAAATGTACCTTTATTTTAAAAATTTTAGGCCGGGAGTGATGGCTCACGCCTGTAATCCCAGCACTTTGGGAGGCTGAGCAGGGCGGATCATGAGGTCAGGAGTTTGAGACCAGCCTGGATAACACAGTGAACCCCGTCTCTACTGAAAATACAAAAAATTAGCTGGGCATAGTGGCACACGCCTGTGCTCCCAGCAACTCAGGAGGCTAAAGCAGGAGAATCGCTTGAACCTGAGAGGCAGAGGTTGCACTGAGCTGAGATTGCACCATTGCACTCCAGCCTGGGTGACAGAGCAAGACTCTGTCTCAAAAAAAAAAAATAGTTAAATTAAACTCTATAAACAAAAAAAGTATAATCAGAAGATTACACTAAAAGAACAAAAAATCAAGATTCAAAGTCGGATAAAATATTATCAGTCCTTACATATAAAAATATTTGTATCTGGAATATATACAGCATCCCTCAAAATCAATAAGAAAATGATAGACTAGCAAAGAGAAAAACTGACAAATGTATTTTTTCAAAGAGAATAACCAAATGGCCATTAAAAACATGAAAAGTTACTGTTAGTCTGCATGAAAATGTAAAATGATTCCACTGGGCAACTATTAGAATTTTTTTAAGTGAAAAATGTTGGCCAGGATAAGAAACAACTATTCCTCTTATTCATTTCTGGTTTGGTCATAATTTAGTGTAACCGCTTGGAAACCATTGAATGTATATACTTACACTGTGTACATACCTATGCTAAGAATCCCATTTCAATGTTTATCTTCAAAAGAAATATATACACATTTTCACCAAGAGATATTGACAAGTCAACTCTTAACCATGGTAACTATTCTCCATAGCTCCAAAGTGAACATTACCAAGATGTCATTTGACTAAACAGAGATACATAAAAGTAAATTATTGTATATTCACAAACTGGAATAATATATAGAAATGAGAATGAACAGACTACTATGAGTTAATATGGACAAATCTAATAAGCATTCTACTGATAGAAAGAAGCCAGGTACACAACAGTACATCTAAGATATGTTACATAAATTTAATTAACATTCAATAATAAAATATGGTGTTGGAAGTCAGGCTAGGGATTCCATTTGGGTATGGATCACTAGTGACTGGAAAAAAGTGCCAGATGGACTCTGGGGTTTTAGTAATATCCTGTTTCCTAATCCAGATGCTGGTTACATGACTATTCAATTTATGGAATTGTTTAACTTCTTACACTTACACATTAATAATTTTTTTTTTTTTTTTGAGACAGAGTCTCGCTCTGTCGCCCAGGCTAAAGTGCAGTGACATGATCTCGGCTCACTGCAACCTCCGCCTCCTGGGTTCAAGCAATTCTCCTGCCTCAGCCTCCTGAGTAGCTGGGACTACAGGCACCCACCACCACGTCCAGCTAATTTTTTGTATTTTTAGTAAAGATGGAGTTTCACCGTGTTAGCCAGGCTTGTCTCAAACTCCTGACCTCACGATCTGCCCACCTCGGCCTCCCAAAGTGCTGGGATTACAGGCGTGAGCCGCCGCGCCCAGCCTAACATCTTTAAAATAAAGGTACATTTTAATGACTGATAGTGAAAATTCACTCCCCGTGAATGGCAGCTCTTTGCTTTTTTTCCTCTGTATTGTCTAATTTCTTCAGCTTTACAGGTTTATGGTAGTAGCCAGGCCACTGATTTTACAGAATTTTTAGCCTGTACTAGAATCTAGAATGTATATCAACTGCTTCTATCTCCCAAAATAATTCCCAATGAATTGAATTCTTCATTTTTTTTGAATGAGGAGGAGTTGCCAGAATGGAGTCAGTTTCTGACCCACTTTTTTCATGGTTGTTAAAACAATTATGTGGTACTTGTCTTTAAAACTCTGTATGTAATTACAAAGCATTAATGAGTTCTTATGAAGGACAATAGATTTTCAAAATATTGAAAAATTAGACTTTTTTTCTACTTACATGTTAAAAATGTTGTGTATGTATATGTGTTATGATTTGTAATTTCTGTTCCCTTAATCTAACATAAACAGACTATAAAAGTTGACATGAGCTTTCATGTAGCATTCCTTACTATTACATTTCTAAGTACTTCCCATTCATTTTTTTGCAGATCTTGATAGTTGAAACTCATAACTTTTAATTAAATAAAGGAATATGTCTTCTTGCTGTCCTTTAAAAAGTGATTGCTTCTTTTATTGCATGCTGAGTATTTGTGGTTTAATGGAGATGGGACCTGTATTTTATTTCCCTATAAGCTAGTAAATATTGTGAATATTCTTCATATTCTTTAGGTTGCTTTTAAATCATATGCCCCTTAATGTCAGCAAGCATGTGAGTAAAAAGAGGTTGACATCCAATTAACACAGGCTTTTACAAGTTTAAAGAGGAGTGATAAATTTAAATTCTTTCTTGGGCACTTTTAAAGAAAGCGTAATAACAAGTGCAATGAACTAGAGGGAATGTTGCTCTATTGATTCATAATAAATTCTTTCTAAATTATTTGTTTGGAGACATGAGAAATCTGCTTTGCAATGAAAGCCATAGGTTATTTAAACATTTCTGTCTGCTGTAAAGCCAAATAATAAACTTCAAATCCTTATACTATGTAAGAAAATCACACTTAAGCTTACTATTTTATTTGATTTTACTTTTAGGCATTCAATTTGTAGGTGTTTTTTGATTTCCCTTTATTATTTCACTGCCAGTATGCAGAATGTTCTGTGTTGTCAAGGTAACATCAGAGATTTCTATAAAATGCAACATTAATTTTTTAATTAGCAAGTAAAACTTTTGCATATCAATTGACCATCTCAATATTTTATTCCTATTAAAAACGACCATCTCAATTTAGTATTCCTAGACATTTTTGCTGCTGTGGACTGATATAAATTATTGAAAGTAATTCCAATATAACAATAATTAATTCAGTTTTTATGTGCACAATGTAACATTTCAAAATGATAATAACCAATCACACTCATTTTATATACAATTGACTGAAAGTCACCTAATATTTGATTGTAGCAAGACTGTTTTCATAATTGATTATTAACATTTTCTCAGAGAGATGTCTAACAATTGAGTTTTAATCATTTTATTATCTTTTCCATTTTAAAAATGCATCTTGCATAGATACATTGCAGGAAAAATTTGTTCCTTGACTTTTAGTCCAGTTTTGTTTAGGAATTGACAATTAAAGATGTACCATGTGCAAAGCAAAGTTTTCTATATATACATGTACACACAGGCATATATATGACTACCTTGTGAAATGAATACCATGAACCAGCTAATTTATAGGTGGCTTTGATGAATAGGTTTATCCATCACCTCACGTAGTAATCTTTTGTGTGTGTATTTTAAGAACATTTAAGATCCACAGTCTTAACACATTTTAATTAATTATAGTCACTATGCTGCATATTAGATTTCCAGAACTTATTCATCTTACAAATGAAAGTGTTTACCCTTTGACCAACATCTCCTCATTTCCCCCACCTCACAGCCTCTGATAACCACCATTTTACTCTCTGCTTCTGAGCTCAACATTTTTAGATGCCACACATAAATGAGGTCACATGGCATTTGTCCTTCTTTGTCTGACTTAATTCATCAAGCATAAGGATCATCCCTGTTGTTGCAAATGGCAAGACTTTCTTTGTGTGGATGAATATTACTTTGTGTGTGTGTGTGTGTGTGTATATATATATATATATATATATATATATATATATATATATATGTGTGTATCAATCACAATTTCTGTTTCAAAACACAGAGAGAAAATTCCTGAACTTTAACACTTCTATAAAAGCTCAAATTTTCCTCACTTTTGAGAAGGTAAAGAATTATGCCACATGTCTAACAAAACAAATCTACTTTCTAAGCTTTCTATAAGGTGATAGTCTAACTTATTTTCAAAAACACTAGCAGCAGAGATAAGATATTCTCATATAAACCTACTCCATATTTACTGAGCATCATAAAAGTTAGTTTTATAAATAGTGTGCTGTATGATGTTTCACCCAGAGAGGGCTTGTTTCAAATGCAGACATTTCACTTATAGGCACTGTGGAACAACCACAGTCTATCTAAATTGAGTATAAATTATGTTTTGTTCATCATTATCTATGTAATTGCCTCAAATGAGGTTGATGCCCATTAAGTGTTTTAGCAAACGAAAGAAAATCTTTGACTCCTATCTCACTTACGGGCAAAATGAATTATATGAGGATGATATCTATAAGTGAGAAAATAAAACAATAGAATAAAATATAGAAATTTTCATAGTGACCTTTGAATAGGCAAAAACCAAAAGCTCAAAGGATATAAAAAGAACTATAACTAAAAAATAAATAATTAATACATTAGATTTCATTAAGAATATCTGTTCTCAGGTAAAACATGCTGAGAAAAGGGAGAAATCTCTCTAGATAAACAGATAGATTAGAGGGATATAGATTAGATAGATATAGATAGGTATAGGTTTATCAAGCACTAATTTATTATATGTGGAATTTAAAAAGACTGCCTACAAATCATTAACTAAAAGAGAAACACTCCAATTTAAAATTGGCAAAATACATACTAAGAATGAAGCAGCCATGGTAAGTTGACAGCTCTCCATTGGTGGGGATCTCAGCACTATTAGCTAAGTTTCTCCTGTGAAACATAAACAACTGCACCTAACATAATATCACATGAGTTCACTCTATGACAGCAATGAAGTGGAACAAAAACAAGCCTCTCCATAATCATATCTAAGCACAGAGAGAAGCAATAAAGCAAGGCAAACCACGAAAACTAAAAAGTACTCTCCTCCGTAAGCTGCTATGAACGCCTGATGATATTTTACCAATTAAAGGTTTAGCCACACTCCACTGTTCTCATGTCCTGCATAAAAATTTTCAGCAGACCAGACAGTTAAGTTGGCCTTGCTTTCTGATAACACCTAATCCAGGGCAAACCCTATTTTCTTAAACACAAACTCGTCCAAGCCCTGTGGTGAAACTCTCCTCACACTCTTTTATTGAGAAGCCTCATGATTTCCCATGATGTTTGGCCCCTTACTACAGCAAGTAAAAAACTCAAGTATGATGAATGACAGATGTGCTCCTGGCTATCTTTAGCTGGTGGGCATAGTAAATGGGTAGTTAAAAAGAATAAACATATGACAATAGCATAGGAATGCATGCTAAATAACATTGTTTTGCAAGGAGATTAAAATACAGCCTGAATGAGAGTACATAAAATGTAAAACTCAACAATATCAAATGCTGGAAGGGATGTAGAGTAACTGGAAATCTTCCACATTATTGATGTAAATGAAACTTTTTATTTTAATAGTATTTTGAAGTAATTAACACAATAAACCACACACACATAAATGTGTATGGCTTCATATATTTTGACAATGCACACACCTGTGAAATCATCAACAAATTCAAGGAAATTAAGATATCCACAGGCTTTTTTTCCTCTCTTCCTCTCCTCTCTGCTCCTCATACACCAATGACTGTTATTTTATGATACAATATGTATAGATTGAATTTCCTTAAATGTTATATAAATGGAATTATGCAGTATGCACAAATTTTGTTCCAGCTTCTTTCAGTCAGCATAATTATTTGGACATTAATCAATATTGTGAGTGTATTAATAGTCCATCACTTTTCATTGCTGCATAATATGCCACTGTATGCATACACAACAGTTTGTTTTTCCAACCACCTATTGATTGGAATTTAGTTTGTTTCAAATTTTTGGCTATCACAAATTGTTATTTTCATTCATATAAAAGTCTGCATGGACATCTGCTTTCATTTATCTACTTAAGAATGGAATGGCTGAATCATATAGTAGATGTATATTTAAGTTTTAAGAATCTTCTAAAATGTTTTTCAAAGTTATTTTACCAATTTCCATTTTCAGCAGCAGTTCATCTGAGTTTCAATTGCTCTACATCCTTGCTCATATTTGGTGTAGTCATTTCATTTTAGCCATTCTAACAGATGTATGTGGTATCGTTATGTTATTTAAATTACATTTTTCTAATAAATGATGTTGTTGACATATTTTTTGTGCTTATGTGTCATCCATATATTTTCTTTCATAAACTGTCCATTAAAAACTAGCAACAGCCCAAATATCTATCAGTGGGAAAATGAAAAATAATGAGCAACACATTAACTCAATGGAAAGTGACACAATAATAAAGAATGGACTACCGATACACATAACAATATGATATAGCTCACAGACATTTTGTTTAACAATAACAAGCTTAACGCAAAGAAGAACATATGTGTTGATTCCATTTTGTGAAGTTCAAAAATAGGCAGAATAAACTACAGTGACAGAAGTCAGAATAATGGCTCCAGGGTTATTTGAAACATTTGAAATAGGGAACCAGGGTTTCTGAAATACTGTATATAATGATTTGAGTAGCATATGTGGAAATTCATCAAACTACACTCATAAAATTGTTGAATTTTGCTGTATGAAATATAGGCCTCAATTTAAAAAATTGTTTTAGGAAATATTCACCTCTGATCCACCAAGGCAAGATAAGATTTTGCTTGGCTATGTATTAATGGGTCACTAGAACTAAAGCAATGTAACTTCATATTTTATCTAATATCAAATATCTCAAACTATATAGGCATATATTTAAATAGGCAGGAGACACTGTGAGATTTACATAAATTGCATTTTATATTTTATATTATCATATATACTATTTTATTATCTATATTACTAGTGTGTAGATTAAATACATTAAAATAAAACCTTTTAATTTTGTCTGGCCATTGAAGCATTTTTTTTACTTGTTCATATTTTTTACTTGTCTGACAGCTGTTACCTGGGAATACTTGTCACTTTCTAGATTACTATATATGATGACAGTGCACTGCCTATTTGCAATTATTTTAAAAGAGGCAGGGACAAAAACACCCAAAGACCTAAAAATGTGTCAATCAACTGCTTTGGGGTATGTGAAGTTAAATCCAATGACTGCCTAGTGTTTACGTGGCTGTTGTGTTTCACATTGGTATCTGCACTTGATGAGTGTGATACATGTATATATGTAAGAGAAAGACAAATGCATTAGGTTATGCGTAAAAATTGAGTCATTCCAAATAGAATTAAAGCTTTATTTTCCACATTCAGATCTCAAGGAATTCTTGTTTATTGATTTCCCTCCACATGTTTCAAAAGTTCAGAAATGAATTATTTATTATTATGGTCTGAAATCCTTGCATAGCAATTCACACCTATCATTTTTCAGAGTTCTTGTCTTAGCATAGGTGCATACTGTCGTTCCAGTCTTGTGCTTTATCATTCCCACACCACTGCCTGCCTTTTATCCCAACTACAAATTCATCTGCAAGTTTCTAGGCTTAAAAGTCCAATACTGTTTGTTTTCCTCTTATATATTTTTGACAATTTTAAATGTTTTCATGAATTTTGCCACTTTTTGTGACAGTGTTCCAGACTGTGTCTCCCTTTCATCTACTGGTATTTCTTTTTTTTTTTTTGAGACGGAGTCTTGCTCTGTTGCCCAGGCTGGAATGCAGTGGTGCAATCTCGGCTCACTGCAAGCTCTGCCTCCCGGGTTCACCCCATTCTCCTGCCTCAGCCTCCTGAGTAGCTGGGACTACAGGCTCCCACCACCACGCCCGCCTAATTTTTTTGTATTTTTAGTAGAGACGGGGTTTCACCGTGTTAGCCAGGATGGTCTCGATCTCCTATATCTATTGGTATTTCTTATACTCTATGAAGCAGGATTGATTGCATTATATGAAGCTCTTACACCTTAGTGGTTTAGCTCTATTTCATATATAAATTAATTTTATTTTAGTTATTAAAACAATTTATGGATGAGTAGAAACACACACTTATCTTTAAAAAAGAAGTTATTTAAAATGAACTAAGCTGTGCAGTATTTCTAGTAATCTTGTATTTTATTTGCATACAATATTTGATTAAGGAGTGACGTTCTGATCTGAAATTTCATTCAGTAAATATATCTTTGCTTCTTGGCGTTCTAATTTTGAGAAAACACATTTAAGATAAGCATTTACATCATTCTCTGATTTAGTTATTAGAATGTGCTTCTAAAGGTCTTTTTTGGCAGAATTTCAACTTTGTTTTGCAATTGTATATTCAAATAGAAATTATTTTGCTTTACATTAAAAAAAGAAAGAAAGTTTAATTTGAATGGTATGATATTATTGCTCCCCTTGTTCATTATGGAAAAGGTTCCAGATGGACCTGAGCTGCATGATGTCAAAAATGTAATAAAAAGAGAGTGAGTATAGTACTTCTATTTTTTTCTTTGTCTCCTTTTAATTTCTGCTTTGTTTTAAATGAGATAAGATGCTGTATATAATTGGTTCAACGAAAGAAATAAATACGTGAAAAATAGACTGAGGTGAGCCTAAGAAGATCCAGTAGCCATTATTTGTTACTGTTTTAACTTGGGACTTCTCATTTTAATTTAAGAGCATCATAACCTCATCTTTGAAACACTCTCTTTATTTTATCTGTGTTTGGTTAAAGACAGCTACAAAATCTGTCACTACACTACCAAGAAGCAGAGTTTATTTTTCTTTTTCTACCCTCTTGAATCTGGACTGGCCTGTGTCATCTTTGAACAATAGAATATGGCAGGCTTAACACTACGCCTCTTTCATCCCCAGGCATTATGATTACTAGAAGTTTCTGCTCACTTTCACAGAATGCTCACTCTTGTGATATTCTTTTCTTCACTCCAAGTGTAGTATAATGACTGAAAGATTTAACAGCTTTGAGAAAACAGCCAAATTTAACTGTCAGCCAAGTTAGTGAGCAGTCAAGCCCTTGGGTGTCTTCAGCCCCAGCTGCCATCTGACTCAACCCACATGAGAGGTGCCAGGCAAATACCTCCTAGCTAGCCTCAATCAATTCATAGAACTATGATTAAAAAAATAAGTGTAATTTTAGGCCACTAAATTCTTTCAAGATGGTTTCTACAGCACACAAAAAAAATCTATATAAAATAGTTTAACCATAGAGTTAAAAGCAAAACATTAACTAGGTAGCTTTTTATCATATATTTGGCTTTCCTTCACTAATATCATTTATGTGCTTATCTACAATGTTCAGCTAATAAATGCTGGAGGTCTCTAATAATCAGCTGTTGTTATCTTCTATTTTCAGTTCATGTTCTACCCTTTGGCAACTTCATCCTTATTTGTAGTTTAATGATTATCTACATGTTGATAACAGACCTACTTACCCCTGTAAACTCTAGATTCAAGTATCTGCTTACTTGATATTCAAATAATATTTCTTAAAATACTGCCTAATCAGTATTGCTGTCTACAACTATATTTTTTACTCTTCAAGTTGGGTTTTCTCTCAGTATTTCACAAGTTAGTGAATATTTTCACAATTATTCAAGGAACAAAAAACTCAAAGTCATGCTAGAGGGTCCCTTCTAATCTTACCAGCAATTCAGCACCGAATATCATTAATGCTACCTCAGTTCCTGACTGTGTCCTGATTCTACCACTATCCCTGTACAAGTAACCATTATCTTTCACATGAAGCATTCCAGTGGTCTCTCTAATGGTCTGTCCACATCCATTCTTGCATCACTGAAAACTCTTCTCCATACTGCATTTGGGGTGATCATTTCAAGGCACAGATCATTTTAAGAACTCTTCATGAATAAACCATTCAGTATATACTACTTGCTGCAATGATATCTATTTCTGTTTTCTATCGATTCCCTAGCCCCTAGTCCAGGGCTTGAAGAGCAGTAAATATATGCTGAAAAAAATTAAATAAGTTTAGTTTTACAATTATGGATATACTGTTTAAGAAATAAAAACAAACAAACAAAAAAAACAATTTTCTCATGCTGGGAGTCCGAGGCGGGCGGATCACGAGGTCAGGAGATCGAGACCATCCTGGCTAACACAGTGAAACCCCGTCTCTACTTAAAAAAATACAAAAGATTAGCCGGGCATGGTGGAAGGCGCCTGCAGTCGCAGCTACTATTAGGTAGGCTGAGGCAGGAAAATGGCGTGAACCCGGGAGGCGGAGCTTGCGGTGAGCCGAGATCGCACCACTGCACTCCAGCCTGGGCGACAGAGAGACTCCGTCTCAAAAAAAAAAAAAAAAATTATTTATCTAGAAGGTCTCCCGTTTTGTATTTGTTTTGTATAATGATATAAGTAATGAAGTAACGCATGTTATTAAAATATATATACTCAGATAAGTGTGCATGTTTATGAAGTGAAATGAGATCAGCCCATAAATTGACTTACAGTTTACACATATACTATCTTGCGTCTCTGTATGTATAATTACTTATAGATGAGATTACAATCGTATTTTGTTGTATTGACAAATCATCATCTAGCTCTCTAATTGGTGAATGTTTGTGTTTTTCTGATTTTCTTCTTAGATTTCTTTACCTAATGTTGGTTTTTTTTGTTCTCCTACATACCCATCATTTCTCTCTCTCTCTCTCTCTCTCTCTCTCTCTCTCTCTCTCTCTCTCTCTCTTCTCTCTCTCTGTCTCTCAGATTCTGTTCTAATGAAAACTTTTAGGCAACTTCCATATCTCTCCCTTCAAAATATGTTTTCTTCTCCTATCTACCATAAAATTAAAGCTTGAAAAATTCAGATTATAAAACCAGAAACACTTCCTCTGGCTTTGTAGAAGCTTGATTTGAAGAGTAACAAAGCCTGTGGAGTTTCCAAGTGCAGCTGACTACCAAGGAGGCTTCCCTGTGTAGTACTATGACAGAGGGATTAATGGTCTAGAATTGACAGATTTGTGAAAAGAAAAGGCGGATTTTTTTTGTTTGTTTCTAGAGAATGAATCAAATTCTCATGAGTTAAGCACTATAAGCAAAACATACAGAGAGATATGCACAGAACGCTATTTTTCTTATTTTATATACATAACTTTATATGCGTATATGCATTTATATGCGTTACTTTAGCTAGCTCTTTCACTTTTGTAGTTATGTGTTTGTGGAAAAAAATTAAAATTTGACACTTGCTTGGCTGGCAGTGAGTCATAATAAGGAGAATAAGTTAAATAATTTGGTTGAAGAAATCTATCTAATTCATTATTTTCCGTACTAGGATGGTCTGGCCAACAGGATGATAATATTTTAAATCATGACTCAAGCTACTGACTGCTCTGGACATGCTTGGAAGGACTCACTGCTACAATTTATCTATACTGTTTCTTGAATGTTAAAATATTAGATCAAACCTCCTCTGAAGTAAGAGCCATTTGCCTTCGCAAAGCCCTGCTTCCCAAACTGGGGTAGAAGCCTTATAATAAACTATTTGTGTCCCTGAGTCAAAAATTTTACATGATGGAGCAGAAGGATATATAACATTACTATGTTTACATAAATACATCATAGGATAAAATGCAAATTTCAAACACATTTCTAAAACCTGAGACTCCAAAAATATGTTACATGCATCAAACTCTTTTTGTCCAGATCTTGAGGACCAATCCTTCTCTTGAACTGAGGTTGCTTTGATGAAACAGTTTGCGAAGCACTGAAGTTTTTAATATTTTTTCTGCCTCTACATTCAGTGATTGTAATTTGCCTCTAATAAGATAAATCTTATTTAACTTATTTCCAAATCTTTGAGAAGTGTCTCCAGATTCCTCTCACATAATCTCTATGACTGTTTGACCTCATACTCTGATGATTAGTTGATTTTTACACTGTATAATTTCTAAAGTAATGGAAAACTATACAGTGAAATCCTGCTACATTTATCATTTATTTTCTTTGATAATGAAACATACATACATGTACTTTCAAAAATAAATAAATTGTTTATTTTGGAAACTATACACAATGATATTTAAATATGTGATTATATTCATTTCATGTGTATATTATATATATATAGTAGTACATGTATAAGTTTGTGTGTATATATATATATCTTGCTTTCCCTTTGTTTTTGTTGTCTGTGGTTCCACCTTGTCATGTTTAATTCTAATCTCAATTTTATCCATTTCTCCTTGGCATATTTTTCTCCTGAAACTGAGCCTTTTCTTAAGCTGTTGTTATTATCTAACACAAAGTTCACTTTTATATCCAGTATCTTAAAATATTATTATGATTTTTGCTATTTTTAAAAAAATCCGCTGCTGCTGCTGCTGCTGCTGCTGCAGTGAAACCTTTGTAGACACTGATAAGCAGATATAAGATGAACAGGAGAAACAAAGAGGGAGGTGAGGCTAATATAATCAACAATCAACAAATCTTCTTTACTCTTTAATTAAAATAATTGCGGTAATTATAGATTCATATAAAGTTGTAAGAAAGAATACAGAGATGTTCTGTGTATACTTTGTCTTGGCTTCCCCAATAGCAATATTTTGAAAAACTATGATGTAATATGACAACCCAAATATAGATATTGACATGAATAGAATCTACTGGTCCTGTGCGGTCCTTTCCAGATTTCTGCTTGCCTACGCACATGCACGCATATATGTATATATGTGTGTGTATATATACATGTATATATGTGTATATGTACATGTATATATGTGTATATGTACATGTATATGTATGTGTATATGTACATGTATATGTATGTATATATGTATATACGTATATAGGTATATGTATATATGTATATACGTATATAGGTATATGTATATATGTATATATGTATATATGTGTATATATGTATATATGTGTATATATGTATATATGTATATATATGCATGCATGTACACTAATTATGACATCATTTTACTACCTGTGTAGGTTAATGTATCCACCACTGCAGTCAAGATGGAAGAGTTTCAAAGCCACAAGGATCACTTGTGTTTCTTGTTATAACCACACCTACCTTCTTCAAGCTCTCCTCACTACTCTCACAGCCTTAATTATTTAAAGTGCTAAACTGTCATCCATTTCTAAAATTTGTCGTTTCATAAAAGCTTTATCAATGGAATAATCTTGTAATGTAAGTCCTTTTAGATTTGATTTTTGTCATTCAGCACAATTCACAGAAGATACATCCACATTGTGTATATCAAAGGATAATCCTTTCCACTGCTGATTGGTGTTCTGCCAGATGTATATGCTTTCGTTTGTGAAACCATTCACTTGTTAAGACAATTGAGCTATTTCCAATGAAAATTATGAATTAAGCTGCTGTACACACTCACATACAGGTTTCTGTGTGAGAATACATCTTTCTTTCTCTTAAACACCTGAGTTCAAACGTTGAGGTTTATAACAATTACATGTATAGTTTTATAAGAAGCTACCAAAACTTTTTCCAGAGTAGCAGTGCCATTTTAAATCCCTGCCAGGAATAATTCAGTTTCTCCACATAATCACTAGCATTTGGTATTGTCACAATTTTTTACTTTATTCATTCATATAGGTGTGTATTGACGTATCATTGTGGTCTTACATGACATTAAGATCTTACATTAGATGGTTCCATGGATTAAGCATTTATGAAATGAAAAATTTTAGAAATGGAGGACAAATTAGTGATTTAAGTAATTAAGGGGGTGAGAGTAGTGGGTAGAGCATGAAGTAGGCAGTTGTGATTATAAGAAACAAAACAAAGTATCCTCGTGGCTTTGAAAGTCATTCATCAGGACTGCAGCGGTGGATACATAAACCTACACAGGTAATAAAATGGTGCCAAACTTGGTCCACATGCGCACACATACACACATTATGGTCTTAATTTGAATTTTCCTTATGATTAATTATGTTGAACATCTTTTCACACACATATAATTGATATATTCTCATCAGTGAAATATATGTTAGTGGTTTTTTGCTCATTTTTAAGTGATTGTTTTATTAATACTCAGATTTGGAGGTTCTTTGTATACATTCCTTCATTATGATTTTCAAATGCTTTTCTCCAGGTCTGTAGCTTGTCTTTTTATTCAGCTAACAGTTTTTTATTTGTTTTTGAGGTTTTGTTTTTTTTTTTTGTGCACAGAAAATATTACCTGTTTTGGTAATGTTTGATTTATCAAAATTTTCTACTATGGGTCACTATTCTACTATTAAATCTAAGAATTCTTTATACAGACATAGAACTGAAAGATTTTCTCCTAAAGTTTTTTAAACATATTACAGTTTTACATTTAAGTATGCACTCCATTTTGAGTTAGTGTTTGTATAATGTATGAGGTTTAGGCCAATGTTATTTATTTATTTATTGCCCATAGATGTTTAATTGTTTCAGCACTATTTGTTTAGAAGCCTATTACTTCCTCTATTGATGTCTTTTATACTTTTGCCAAAAATAATTTAGGCATACTTTTGTGAGTCCATTTCTGGACAACAAGCATATGAAAAAACGCTCAATATCATCAGAGAAATGCAAATTAATACCACAATGAGATACCATCTTACTTCAGTTAGAATGGCTATTATTAAAAAGTGAATGTTTACATACTGTTGATGGGAATGTAAATTAGTACAACCCTTATTGAAAACAGTACGGAGGTTTCTCAAAGAACTAAAAATAAAACTACCATTCAATCTAGCAATTCTACCAGTTGGTATTTACTCAAAGGAAAATAAATGATTACATTAAAACTCAAAAAGATGCCTACACTCATATGTTTATCACAGCATGATTCACAATAGCAAAGACATGAAATTAACTTAAGTATTCATCAATGGAATGTATGGGTCTATATGAAATGGAATGTGTGCATATATACACAAATGAGATATATACATATACACATATATATACATATACACATATATAAATGTGGCATATCACGTTCTCACTCATAAGCGGGAGTTGAACAATGAGAACACATGGACAAAGGGAGGGGAACATCACATGCTGGGCCCTGTCAGGGGATGGGGGGGCTAAGGGAGGGATAACATTAGGAGAAATACCTAACGTAGGTGACGGTTTAATGGGTACAGCAAACCACCAGCGCACATGTATACCTATGGAACAAAACTTCACATTCTGCACATGTAACCCAGAACTTAAAGTATAATTTTAAAAAAGTAAAAAAAATGAAAAGATAAATGTGATATATACCAAAAGATAAGTGTATATACCACACTTTCTTTATGAAATGGAATACTATTTACCCAAAAAAGAATGAATTCATGTGTTTTACAGCAACATGAATTGAACTGGAGACCATACCTTAAGTAAAATAACTCAGAAGCAGAAAGTCAAATATTGCATGTTCAGACTTATAAGTGGGAGCTAAATTACATGTACATATGGATATAGAGTGAAGAATAATAGACACTAGAGACTCATAAGGGTGGAAGGGTAAAAGGGGAGTAAGAAATGAGAAATTACTTAATAGTTACGATGTACACTATATAGGTGACTAATTTTTCTGAAGGCCAGCTTTTTATTTCATTGATTTTCTCTATTTTTATATTCACAATTTTATTTTTTCCTACCCTGATCTTTCTACCTTCTTTGAGTTTTATTTGTTCTTCCTTTTCTAGGTCCTTGAGATAGAAACTTAGATTTAAGACCTTTCCTGGTTGTACTGTATTCATGTAGTGCCACCATTTTCCTCTCAGCCCTACTTTACCCATATTGTATATATTGATACAGTATATTTTTATTTTTCTTTAGTTCTAGGGGTTTTTCTTGAGACTTTCTCTTGGATTCATAGCTTATTTAGAAGTATAATATTTACAGCCAGGCACGGTGGCTCATGCCCTTAATCCCTGCACTTTGGGAGGCTGAGGCGGATGGATCACCTGAGATCAGGAGTTCAAGACCAGCCGGGCCAACATGATGAAACCCTGTCTTCACTAAAAATACACAAAATTAGCTGGGCGTGGTGATGTGGTGCATGCCTATAATCCCAGCTACTCAAGAGGCTGAGGCAGGAGAATCGCTTGAACCCGGGAGGTGGAGATTGCAGTGAGCCAAGATCGTGCCACTGCACTCCAGCCTGGGCATCAAGAGCAAAACTCCCGACTCCAAAAAAAAAAAAAAAAAAAAAAAGTGTAATATTTACTTTACACATGTTTAAAGATATCACTATTTATATTTATTTAATGAATTTTTGGTTGATGTCACTGGGCCTGGAGGACAAACTCTGAATGATTTCAATTAAAACAGATTTGTTGAGATTTGTATTATAACCCAGAATATAGTCTCTTCGTGAATGTTCTGCAGGAACTTGAAAAAACTTATCTGTTGCTTTTTGGGGTGAAGTGCTCTACATGTGCCAATTAGACCCTGTTGATTGATTGTGTTGCTCTGATCTTCTGTCTCTTTGCCATTTTTTCCATTTAGTGCATCTATCAGTTGCCGAGAGAGGGGTATTAAAGCCCTCAATTATAATTGTGGGTTTTTCTATTTCTCCTTTCAGCACTGTAAAGTTTTGCTTCATGTATTTTCAGACCGTGTTGTTTAATGAATCCACACTTAAGATTGTTATGTCTTTCTGATGGATTGATCCTTTCTTCATTATGAATTTCTCTGTTAATAGTAATTTTCTTGACTCTAATGTCTACTTCTCCAGACATAAATATAACTAATTCTTCTATTTATTGGTTAATCTTTTCATGGTATATATTTTTCATACTTTTACTTAACATCTTTATGTTATTGAGTACAAAGTGAGTTTGTTGCAAATAGCATATAGCTGGGTCACATGTTTTTTTTTTTTTTACTAAATCTGTCAGACTGTCGTTGATTGATGTATTTACATTAAAGGTAATTATTGATATTATAGTACTTAAGTCTAACACTGTATTATTTGTTTTCTATTTGTTTGTCTTTGTTTGTGGAACTATCTGTTTATCCTTCTTGACATTGATGCCAAACCGCTTTGTATTGTTAGAAGAATTTCTGCTAGTCTGAAGCAGGAATCAGCTTCTGTGGGCTGTGTTCCATTGTTTGGTTGGAAATTGGCAAATGCAAGGTATGGATAACTTTGTTCTGTTGAGTGGCAGAATGTAAGACACCCAGCTGCCGTGATGGTCTTCTGGTCCTGGGGTTTCAAGCCAGTTAATCTCCCTCTTTCTACCTTCTCAAGTTCTTATTTGGCTGCCTCTTGCACTGTTTCCAGGACTTATCGTTGTACTTAACATGAAGAGTAAGAGCAAGAACCATATTATCTACACAAAAAGTTCTCATTATTTTTAAATTTACTTTTGGGACAAGTATTTCTTGAAAAATCTATTACAGGTTATATTATTTGTTAAACATTAAGGATACATAGATTAAACCAACTGTCTTTAAAGAATTCACAAATCTCTAAAGGAAGAATTTCTAATGTAAACCAATACTTATAATCAATGTAAAGAGACCCAGTGATAATATAGTCAATCCTCTCGTATTCAGAGGAAGAAATCGCAAAGTCACCCTGACCAGGCCAAAGTATTTTTCACAGATGATTTGATACTTAGACCTATGTAAGCCCTTACAAGTTTAATATAATGTTAAAGTGAATAAATAGTCTAAGTTGAGAAAAAAAAATAGTGCCCAAATAGGTCAGTCCTTGGAAGAGCTTGACATATTTGAGGTATTGTGAGCTTAGGATGCCAAGTATAAAAAGCAAGTGAGACACTCTGCTAATTGAGGGTGAGCAGATGTTAGAGCCTGGGTTATGAAGAGCCCGTGGGATATTTTAAACAGGAAAGTAGCATTGATTCATTAGTAGTATAATGTTGTTGAGCACTTTATAATGATGAATGCATATTCAGTCATATTAAGCTGGTTTCCATCCCTACACCCTCTTCATCATTTTGACCTGAGTATTTTAATATGTGCACTGCTAGCATTTTGGGAAAGGCAGTCTTTTTGGGTGGGAACAATCTTATTACTAAACAATGAATTATATTCTTGGACACTGCATAAAGATACCAGTATTTTGTACCAGTTTCTATGACAACTCAAAAGCCTTCTCACATTATCGAATGCCCCCTAGAGAGATGATACTGCTCTGATTGAGAATGGTGATTTAGGATAAGTCATAGGCCTGGAATCAGAAAGAGTAGAAGTTTAGGGAAATCCCTACACAGCAGAAAGAATGAAAAAATAATAACGAGAATAATTATGAGGCCATCATTGAGGGCTCAGGAAATGGAAGAGATGACCAGAAATAATTTAGAAAATCGGTAATGACTCGTAAGTGTTTCATACCTTCTACCTCAAATTCAAGTCCTAGAGATTGTTTAAAAGGAATTTGGTGAGAAAGAGGCTTTGTATGCCTTTCAGTTTTAAATTCTGAGCGGAAACTTCTTACATAGGCTTCTGTTAAGTCCACATGTTTTATGAAAGTAATAGTGGGAGTCAGGACAATTATCTGCTATTTTATTCTCCCAAGTTGCCTTCCTGCAGGAAGGGGCCTAAAAATTCCATCACGACCAAGAGGAGAGATTTAAAAACTTAATTTATTTTCTGACTTAGGAGCTTATCAGAGGAGGAAAGTTACTTTCAAATCCAAACTATTTTATAAGGATTAAATGTATGAATAACTAAACATCTTGAAAACTGTGCCTTATAGTGTATATAATACATACTATTATTACGATTGAATATCTACTTTGTGTCTTACATTTTTGTATGTATCAAACTAAAAACCTTTTTTAGAATATTAAATATATGCTGACTTTGGTTTAAGCTACTTTAAGGAGGGAACATCCCCTTCCTTTCAACTATATAAATAATTCACTGCTTATATATAGCTATCAAGCTAGATATTTGCCTCCATTTCAGTTAATATCCTAGAGACTTGGTCTTATAGTTAATTAATGGCTATAGTCACATAATCTATCTATTAGATAAATTATCATCCTCATATGTGGCAGCATCCATATTCCAGACAACAGAACAATGAAATAGAAGAGGGACAAGGAACTGGCCAAATGAATCTTAGGAAAGGTTCAAAAAAGATGTCACAGAAGACTCTATTGACCAAGATGTAGTCACATGGACATAGTAATCTGAGACAGAGGCTTTAAAGTGTAGTTTTTATGCTGTGTGGGCATGTGTCAAGCTAAAGATATTACTCCTATAGTAAAAAATTTTAAAAAGACATCAAAAGACAATAAGAAATTTCTGCAACATATATCATAGTTTTCACTGAAACAAAAGCAAAATGTGAAGAGTAAACCTTTAACTTACTACACGTTATGCATTTCAAAATTGTAAAGCATAAACTTAAAATATTACTCCCAAAGTTGTATGTAAAGTGCATATTTCTGAGGCAGCAGATCACTTCAGGTCAGGAGTTCAAGATCAGCCTTACCAACATGGTGAAACTCCATCTCTACTAAAAATACAAAAATTAGTTGAGCCTGGTGGCATACGCCTGTAGTCACAACTACTCGGAAGGCTTAGGCAGGAGAATTGCTTGAACCCAGGAGGCAGAATTTGCAGTAAGCCAAGATCATGCCACTGTCCTCCATCCTGGGAGACAGAGCCAGACTTCGTCTCAATAAATAAATAAAGTGTATATTTCCCAGATTTTTGCATTTGATTTTTAATTTTGGTCAAGGGACCTTGGTACTCAGAAGACATTTCAAAATAAGTTCAAGATTCGAACTGTCCTTTAATTACCTTTTTCTGGTGACTTTATCTCTCAACAATTATGGTAGGTAGATAAAGTGCAAATTGGGCTTCATTGGAGTAATTTTATATATTAGCTACAAAAGTCAATCCTTACATATAATTTCATTCAACAAAAAGTGAGAACTTTATACATGTGATCTGATTTGAATAAAGTTATGAAATAAAGTAAATTAAATTGCTTTTAATTAACACATGGGAATTAGTCAATGTCTGCTCTTAATAAAATCATGGACTGAAGATCTTTAATACTAGAAATGTACGTATTAGTCAGGGTTCCCTACAGGGACAGAACCGATAGGAGATATATATATATATTATATTATATATATATATGAGTTTATTAACTATTAACTTATATGATCACAAGATCCCATAATAGTCTGTCCTCAAGCTTGAGGAGCAAGGAGAGCCAGTTCAGGTTTCAAAACTGGAGAATTTCGACTCCGATGTTTGAGGGCAGGAAGCATCCAGCATCCAGCACGGGAGAAAGATGTAGGTTGGGAGGCTGGGCCAGTCTCGCCTTTTCACATTTTTCTGCCTGCTTTTATATTCGCTGGCAGCTGATTAGATTGTGCCCACAGATTAAGGGTGGGCACAGCCCACTGACTCAAATGTTAATCTCCTTTGGCAACACCCTCACAGGCACACCCAGTATCAATACTTTGCATCTTTCAATCCAATCAAGTCGACACTCAATATTAACCATCAAAATGTATTTTAGTGCACATGTAGAATCTTTGAACCAAATCACTTTGTTAATTATTGCATGCAAGAAGGACACTTCAACTTAATAACCTTTCAGTACTGAAGGGAAATAATGTCTTTATGGCAAAAATTTTGTCTTTCTAAAAATAATAATACCCATGAAACAATTTCTAAAATAAATTGTTAATCATTAAATCATTAAAAGAACAATGTTTGGGGTTAAATATTGGAGCTGGGGAACTAGTCCTTGTTAACATTCCACATGAATAAAGCAAAGATTTTATGTAAGATACAAAAATATTGATAATATGAAAATGGTATTGATGAGCTGACATCTATAGTAGATGTAGTACCCTTAGATAATTATTGGCTGTTGTTCCAGGAAGATTTCCTCTGAAAATCTGAGTCCATGAAGACAATTGACTGAAAAACAGCAGTTTGGTAAGATTACAGCTGTTAAATCAAATATATATTATGTACAATGGAGATATTATGGCAGGTAATATAACGCACAAATTGGTCACTCAGAACATAAATGGGATTAACTGCCCAGTAAAGAAGTTTCTCAACCATTTGAAAGACCAAAATCATCTAGATGCAGATCGATTACAGCTGCAAAAAGTACATTTAGGAAAGATGAATATTTTCAGTGACTATATAATTTTATATGAAAAAGGCTTACTGTGATGCATGAAAAATAATAAAGAGCTGTCATGCCCAGGATAATTGTTTTTTACTTTGTTAATGAGTAGTATCCAATAGAGAGGGGTTTAGAGTGTTGAATATTTGGCGGTTCAGCACAGATTTCAGCAGTAATAATACATTCCCTTTGATGCGTCTGCACATAAAAGAGTAAAAGGAAGGATTCAATCTGGAGAAAGCTCTCGAGCCACATTATTATTAATGGTCAGGGGAATTAGAGTCTCCTGCACTTTCTTTTCCCTCTCTTAAAATTCACTCTGGTGAAGGGGAAAGTGCATGTATTATACAACCAGATTAAAGTTTTAATCTTACCCATGTGTCAGCTGTATGGAAACTAGCAAGTACATAATTTAGGATCTATCAAGAAGTAGAACTACTATGAGTGATGTGGAATTAGAAATTTATTAGTGAGATTTGATCCTACATAATTATGAGTGCCAATGCCGATGTCTATGAAAAGTTGTTACCTCTGTGTCTTTAGCAGTTCTGCAGTCAGTGTAGGTCAGCAGTGCTAGCAATTAGAAAAACTGAATTTGAAGTGGGAAGAGCAAAGACAACCGGCACTCATGGGGAGAAACCAAGACTCACAAAGACAAAGTGAACCCTGCCTCTATCTTTCACTGTCTCTAACCTCTGTGACCTACAGAATAAACTGTTGACCTTCATCCTGAACCTGCACAAATGCCTGTCCTAGGACTTAGCATGAAGAAAGACACTTGAATGCAGAGCTGGAGTTGCCGTGAGCTTGCCCTATGCTTACAAAGTGAGCCAGCAGAGCAGGGAAAACGTGTTTTCAGCTGTGGCAGCACCTGAACCCTATGCTGAATTTCAGAGAGTGGGGGCTGCTGCTTCAGTCCCATCTTCTAAATCTGAAATTCATCTCTTCTGGTAGCCAAGCCTGAACTAGAACTACACAAGGAAGGAATACTGGAAAATGTAGTTTCACCTGGCAAGGTTCAAACAGTACAAAACTACCACAGCAAGTTACTTAAATTCCCTGATCTGCTGTTATATCTTTTCTAAAATGGAAGAAAAAATATCTCCTAGAGTTTGTGTGAGTTTGAAAATATGCAAATTGAAAAGTGTGCTAGCTCCACTCAACAGCAAAGACAGCTGTGTGTATCCCTTCCTCTTTCGACAATTATCTCACCTGTAAAGAGCAGGATCTGTAACTACAAAGATCATGAGAACCACGAGATCCTCAAATCCTTCTCCTGCCTCTTTCATGGATATATCAATTTGGGACTCTGTCTTGAAGAAACAGCCACATGGAGGCATCAGAAATAGGTTTTTAATCTTCCAGATTGTGCATTCAAACAACACTATACAATATAGATAGAAGCAAAATCATAGATTTTTTAGTCAGAAAAACTTGAAAAGAGATTACTTCTTAAAGTGTCACACCCACCCACGCAACCACCTACACACACATGTGCACACATATACAAGTGATAAATAATAATTATTGCCACTTGCAGGGTTTTTCTGAGTATAGAAATCTAGAAATCTCTGAGTACCTCACACAATGCCATGTATATATTATGCTCTTAACAACCATTTTCTCTTTCCACTTCTCCTTTTAATTCATAAGTTTTGGTAGCCTCTACCATTTATTGCATTGCTCTCTCTCTCTCTCTCTTTTTTTTTTTTTTTTTTGTTGTTGTTGTTGAGTTGGAGTTTCGCTCTCGTTGCCCAGGCTGGAGTGCCATGGTGCGATCTCTGCTCACTGCAACCTCTGACTCCCAGGTTCAAGCCATTCTCCTGCCTCAGCCTCCCGAGTAGCTGGGACTACAGGCACGTACCACCATGCCTGGTTAACTTTTGCATTTTTAGTAGAGACGGAGGTTTCTCCATGTTGGCCAGGCTGGTCTCAAACTCCTGCCCTCAGGTGATCCACCTGCCTCGACCTCCCAAAGTGCTGGGATTAAAGGCATGAGCCACCGTGCCTGGCCGCATCACTCTTTCAAAATGGATATTGACTGAGTTGAGTTAAAAATAGCCCATGATCAAATAAACTTTTAGAGATAAAAGTAAAGTAAATACTGCCTATTTTTTAATGGTAAAGAAAGCACAAAGAAAATAGAACAAACCCCTGCCAAAGATGCCAATAAGGTTAGACAGCAGAAAAGGAGTATTTGTAGGTCAAATAATTCACTCTTGTGATTGTCAAGAAAGAGTCTCAGGCTTTGAGATAATTCGTTTATCTCACATCAAGTTTCCATTTGTACAGTTATAATTAGAACTTGAATTCCTCATTCTTTTTTTCAAAATGGGGACCAAGTGAATGATTTTACAATAAGCTATCAGGTATTAGAGGTAAGCACTGAGAGCAAGACAATAGATAAGACTTCATGGAATGTTACAAAATCATTTTTAACAGAAAACTAATTATTTTAGCTAGTATTTATAAAGATTTAGACAAGAGCAGATAGTATATCTCTTAAATTAAGTACAAGAAGTGAAATTTTATGCTAATAGGCCATTAAGTGGAGCTAGCCTAGAATACTTACATGTAAAGAAATGAATTTAGGAGCAGACAAACCTTGTAGAATTTTTTTTAAAAGACGAAGTTTATAGGCCAAGAAAGATAAATGAAGAGTTATAGAGTAGATTTTGTATAATCAAATAATTATTGAAAATTATTATTAAAAATCATATATTCAGACGATAAAGCTGGATCACAGCAAAATTAATTGTATACTATTTTTTAAGTTACCTTATCTCAGTGCCTCCTCCAGAATCACCTGACATGCTTTTCCATAACAGAAACCCATTTTCTCAATTGTATCATAACCTTTTTTAAGCCACGACCTAGGATTATTGACACAACCTTGTGGTTTTAAATCAAAATTTTAAAGCTTTGCTTACTGTTATTTATAGTTTATGCTTTATTTGACTTGTTAAACAGTTTTGTCTTCTGAGTTACAAGTTTATTTATTTACCTTTTTGTCATAATGGTTTCCTATGGTTAAATATACAGTGTTATGTCCAGTTAAGAGGTTGGTATTCAAAAAGTACTCTAGGCCGGGCATGGTGGCTCACACCTGTAATCCCAGCACTTTGGGAGGCTGAGGCAGGTGGATCACAATTTCAGGAGTTCAAGACCAGCCTGGCCAAGATGCTGAAACCCCCTCTCTACTAAAAATATAAAAATTAGCCGGACATGGTGGCAGGTACCTGTAGTCCCAGCTATTTGGGAGGCTGAGGCTGGAGAATTGCTTGAACCTAGGAGGTGGAGGTTGCAGTGAGCCGAAATTGTGCCACTGCACTCCAGCCTGGGCAACAGAGCAAGACTCCCTCTCAAATAAAATAATAATAATAAAAATAATAATAAAAAGTACTCTACCACTTTCAAACTATGAGACCTGGGGTGCGTCATTTAACCTTTATCACCCACAAAATTGGGATGATAATACTTACTTATGAGATCATTTCAAAGTTTCAACAACATAAAGTACAAAAGAACATATAGCACAATTCCTGGTGTATATCAAGTTGTGATGATGATTATTATCATTTTCAGATTTCATGAAATTCCAACATTTTAGATACTATCATTTTGACTTGCAAAATCAACCCTGTTTAAAATATATATACATCTTTGAAAAAGATGTTCTGTTTACCTATAACTTGTTTCTTCAGCAGACTGGTAGAGGATGATGCTTTGTATCCTCTTCAAAGCTTTCTTTCTTGTTGCACTTAGTCTAGAAATAAGTCTGCCTGTAACATGTCTTGCCCATCATGGGAATTCAAAACTGTTATCCAAATGACTGCTGACTGTTATTCTACCCCCCCTTATACTCATCTTTATGGTCCAGTACTACCTGGAAATAACCAACACTTGTATAAACTACCAGGCAAGAAAACTCGCAATCATTTTCTTCACCTCATCATACCCCAAGTTCATTGCACTAATATTCCTTCCTAATATATCTTGAAAAGAATATTGAAAAGATTCTTAATATATGTTTTATACCTAATATATCTTATAAGAATCTTGAAAATAAATAAAGGTGTTTGGCACATTAGTGAAATCTGGAAGGAGGGAAATTATTGAAGCTTTATTTAAATCAGTATATTCAAGATATATCAGGTAAGATGTCAGCAGCACTGTGGTTATTCAATATTCCCAAATCCACCCACAAAATCTAACAAAGCAACTAAATCAAGAAATGTACCAAAAACATTTGAAACAAAACTAAGTGACAAAGTGTCACTGTGAAACTTAAAGTATGACAAACTACCAATAGCAACAACACTGTATGCTCTCAGAAAGTGTGTAGGAAGGGTAAAAAACAAAACAAAACAAAAAAACAAATAGGAAGACAAAGGAAGACAAAGGAAAAAAACCCCGAAAACCTGAGAACACCAAAACTGCCAAAATTACTAACAAGAATGGTCAACAGGACAATCTGAGATGAACAGCTGAAATTAAGAGAAGCCTTTTAAGGCATAAACTTGTAAGTAAGAGCAAATGTACTTCTATAATGTTTTATTGTATTGGAGGGTTGCACACCTTGTGAATTCTTGGAATTAACTACCTGTAATCTTTATTAGGCTAAAGCTAGATTTTGGCTAGTGGAATCCCAGGTAATAGGACAGAAACTCTAGGCGGAAAGAAAGGAGAATTTCCAACAAAAATTGGAGAAGAGAATACTCAAAAGATGTGAAAAAGCTCAAAGCCACTCGTGTTAGAAAAAAATAATGTGGCTCATAGTAGATATTAGCTCAGAACGGTGGAGCTATGAATAGTAACCTGGCAGATCTTTTTCTCCAAGAATTATGGGAAAATTCATCCCAATTTAACATAAGCAATAGAAAATATTGCAGTTAAATCACATAAAAAAGCTACCTCTTAAGTGTAGAGTAAAGGTAATAACATTCCTACAGAGATTATTTCTGGAGGAACCCCAGAAAGACTTATCCACACATAGTTTAAAAACTCTTATCTAATATTTCAAAAAGAAAAAGAAATAAAAAACTAAAAGTAGAGAATACTGGAGGCTATGAAAGAATAGCAAGAATCCAACTTAGATGAATTCAGAAATGAGATATTTGAGGAAAAGGAAACTGTGAAGAGACTAGACAGAACTCATAAAAGAATTAGAAATAAAATTTCAAAACCAACATTTCAGAAATAAAGACTAACTAAAAGAAAGCCAAAAATGAATGAATGAATGAACTTAATACCTTCATTTAATAAAAAACGGAAAAGATGAATATTAAAAATAATATAAAGATGAGATATTAAAAATAATTTTAGAGAAAGTGATAAGTATGAAGCCTAGCCAGGAAAGAATAGCACAGGGCACAGAAGGTCAAATGCAGCGAATAATAGATATAATATAGAATCTGAAGTAAACTGGCCTGAAATAAGAGTAGGCTTAATTTGATTCTGTGTACTTATATGAATTGTTCTCCAAGATATGTTACTAAGATAAAAGACCTAGGTGTAAAAACAAATCTGTGTGTGTATATATTATAAATTATACATATACTATTTATGTATACATGCAAATATGTATGCCATATATATATATACACACACACATATATATATGTATGCTTGAATTACATGTAAAATGTAACGAAGCAGATTAGTAAAATGTTACAGATAGAATTGGAAAAGACTGGAAAAAAAGTATAGAAAATAGACATTTCTTAGTATATTTCCTTTTGCAAATTTGACATCAGAAATATAAAAATATTTCAAATAATTATTTAAAAAATGATAAAAATGGAAGAAAGCAAACCCTGAACCCAGAAAGCAACATGAAATGAATCTAACTAAAATTTGAGTTGATTCCAAAATGATGCAGAAAAGATAATTATACATGTGTTTAAAACAAAACAACTTAATAATACCCTAAGTATAAAAATAACTGCACTGGACTCAATAATTATAAGCCACAATATGTATATTATTATTTTGAAGTAGTAGGTATATATGCATAAACAAAATGATCTATCTATCTACCTACCTATATATATATATAATGTATATATGGGGGTAATATTTTCATGGTTTATACATTTCAGTTTGCATTAAAAGAAACAAGATTTACATGAGAAACTTGATTCCATGGCTGGGATAGAAAACATAAGAGGTAAATTTGGAACTTTTTATTCCACCATAGAGCTAAGAAACTACCTATATAAGAGTGCTCAGATTATATCAAAAACAATCTAGAGCTCATTTGAATAACCTCCCATTGCCCAAACATAAAAGAATAATGGTTTCAATGGATTACAGCACATCAAATTTATTGAAGTCTGAGTACAAAAGGAAACATCACTACCAACAAAAATGTATTTATAATTTTAAAAATAACACTTTTTTTTTTACTTTTAAGTAATGTTAAGGAAAAGAAATCATTATTTTAAAACTTGGAAAATGCTAATAATTGAAGAATGAGTAAGTATTTGAAGCTATTAGAAAACAACTTATTTACACAGTTCTTATGAAATAATAGATTTGGGTCTGTATAATTAGTGG
Organism: Homo sapiens; assembly: GCF_000001405.40. Classification (NCBI taxonomy): domain Eukaryota; kingdom Metazoa; phylum Chordata; class Mammalia; order Primates; family Hominidae; genus Homo; species Homo sapiens. The sequence continues at coordinate 170,898,242 of NC_000004.12, read as the reverse complement.
GTGATAACATTCCAAAAGGAAAGAGAGGAAGAAAAATAGGGAGGGACGAAACATATGGAACATAGAAAAAGCAATTATAAGAGGGAAGTCTACAGCAACATACATCAATATTGACAAAGAAAAAAGACCTCAATTAAACAACATAACATTTCATCTTAAGGAACTAGAAAGCCAAGAACAAACTATGCTCAAAGTTAGTAGAGGAAGAAAATAATGAAGATGAGAGCAGAAATAAATGAAATAGAGAACAGAAAAGCAATAGAAAATATCAATAAAACTGAGTTAATTTTTAAAAGATAAATAAAAATAACAAATTTTAGACAGAATAGCTATAAAGAGAGAACACCCATATTAATAAAACCAGAAATAAAACAGAAAACATTACAACTGATATGACAAAAATGCAGAAGATCATAAGAGATGATTATAAATAATTATAGGCCAACAAATTGGATGAGTTAGAAGAAATAGATAAATTATCTGATGCATACAACCTACCAAGACAGAATTAAAAAGATATAGAAAATCTAAATGAACCAATGACAAGTAAGAAAACTCAATCAGTAATAAGAAAACATTGATAGAATTAAGCAGTGAAGCCATCAGGTTCTAGGCTTTTTGTTGTTGGTAAATTTTATATTTTTATATACAGAAAGGAATATAATTCAGGCACTTAAATAAGGCTAAGCTCTCATTTATGATAACATAGATGAACATGGAGGACATTCTGTTAAGTGAAAGACAAATACACTCATAGATGGAATCTAAAGACGTTATCTCGTGGAAGAGTGGAATGGTGGTCACCAGGGGCTGCGGTGGTGTGGTTGACAGGGAGATGTTCTTCAAAGGATACCAAATTTGTCTTTGTCTAACAATAAGAGGAGTACATTCAAGAGTTCTATTGTACTGCATAGTAACTATAGGTAATACTGTACCATATTATTGGAAAATGCTTCGAGAGCGGATTAGAGTGTTCTCTCAAAAAATGTGATAATTATGTGATTTGATGCTTATGTTAATTAGCTAGATTTAGTCATCATGCAATGTATATATACACTTCAAAACATATTGTGCATAATAAATACATACAATTCTCTCTGTAAATGTAAAAAATAAATTTTAAAATACTATATTTAAATTACTAAAATGGTGAGTCATTTTCAGGACATCTGACTTCCTTCTAGATTTTCGTTTCACTTGTATCTTTTATTATTATTATTATATTTTAAAAAGTGACATAAAGATCTAAACCTATTAAATTTAAACTAAATTTTATAAACAAGTTTTATTCTCTTTCCTATTCTATAAGCAAAATAATTTCTGATGACAGACTGAGAGCGAAATTTATACAGGATATTTTTATCTTACATATTTTCTTCCTTTCCTCATACTGATATTCTGCTGATTCTTAGTCCTAAATCTTTGATTTTTGGAATAGCAGGTGTCGTAAATCTCTGTTTCAAGCCATATCAATCATGTTTCAACATTCAGATGAAAGCGACAGAGAAATTTCAGTTCATGTTTTTTACCATTTTATAATTGCAGAAAATATTTTTATATTCTCAAATATTATTTTTCTGAATGTATTGATCAAAACTATAAATCATTGATCTGCTTGAAAAACTGTATCAAATTTTCTGCTACTAATGAGAAAATTTAATTAAGACAGATACAGAACAATATAGAGTTTAGACATTTTAGAGCTTTATTATCAGTGCTGTTGATCTTAATTTATTTGTATTTTAATATTTGATTACACAAAATATTTTAAAATATAAACAAACATCATTTAATATAGTTACAGAAAATATCATGAAAAACTGTTAATTTTTTATATTATGTACCATTTTTTGCACTTCAGAAGAGTTTTGGTGTTAAGGCTGAACTGGGGCGAGTAAAAATGAGATGGGGGTGTTTATATTATAATTCTTTCTCCTTTATAAGATTTTGTATCTGCTGGAATGATGTATTCTTCAGTGTTTGTAAGAACTCACCTATCAAATCATCAGAGTTGATTTATTTGTAGGATGACTTATAATAAATGATTCAATATATTTCATTATTATAGGTTATTTTAGAATGTCTTCTCATGTCAATTTTTGTCAATTTTAGGATGTCTTCTTATGTCAATTTTTGTAAATTAAGTATTTCCTAGGAATCTGTTCATGTAAAATTTTACATTTATATTAAATTCTTAATGAATTTTATTAACTATGGTGATTATACAGTTAATAAAATAGTTTAAGAAATTTAAATATTATACCTTCCTTTTAAATTCCTTATTTTTTCATTTTTCAATCTAACCAGAATTTTTTTAATTTAATAACTCTTCAATTTAGTTTTTTTCTCTCTTTATATTGTTTCCTATTTTATATAATTCTACTCTGATCCTTATTATTATTTTATTCTAATTTGGATTTATTCTGAGTTTTTTTTTATCATTTTCTAATTCATGAGTAGAGAAATGTGACATCGATTATCTGGCTTTTTGTTCTTAAAAATGTATAGACATATATTTTTTGAAAATATCGTTTTGCTGCAGTCTACAAATTTGATGTAAAGTTCTCTCATTCTTTTTAAATCTTAAAATTTTGAAATTATATCATAGTTTTTAAAAGTGAGATATTTAAACTAGTATTCAATGTATAACTATAATTAATTTAACTTTTAAATTTAATTACTTTCTGATTAAAATGTGCTCAAATATTAAAATATATTGAGAGATTTTAGGGCTGAATTTGTAAATGGTCTTTGAAAACAATTTTAAAATTTTTATTAGTAGTGTTAATATACGTCAATTAAGGTAAACCAGTTAATTATGCAGAACAAATATTTTCTGCCTTTAAAAGTTTTTGTGCTGCTTATGACAAATCAATCAATACAAGAGGCATTTTGAAATGCACTATGATGGTGGATTTGGCAATCTCACCCTGTAGTTCTATCAATTTTTAGGTCACCATTTTATCCAGTTTTAGACATCACCTGTTATAATATAGATCATTTTATGTACCATTTTGAGTAAGTGAACACTATTAGTTATTATGTTAGTTACCAATTATTAACTGATAATTGCTATCAATTAATAATTATATATCACACTTATGTATACATAAAAATGATAACATAAACCAAATAAATTAAGCATAACTAATTGTTAAATACTTTGAACTTTTTCACATCATCAATGTTGATTTTTCCATTTCATATTCACCTTCTGTGAAGTATTGCATAATATTTTGGAATATGGTAATGAAGTATTTATTAGAATAGTACAACATTAATATCTGAAGGAACATTTCAAACCACTGGCACTCATTCTTCCAGTTGGGATAATGACAATTTACTGTGACAACTGGAGGTTTTCAGACAATTGTGACTTGTGTTACTTCTTCAAATGATTCTTAGAGGGCTTCTGAACTGGAACCTTAAGGGGTTTCAAGGTGCCCATTTATGCCAAAAGGATAAAAGATTGATAGAGTTTTGGCTGTGTCCCCACCCAAATCTCTTCTTGAATTCTCACATCTTATAGGAGGGAACTGGTGGGAGGTATTCGAATCATTGTAACACATCTTTCCTGTGCTGTTCTCATGATAGTGAATAAGTCTCATGAGATCTGATGGTTTTAAAAAGAGAGGTCCCCTGCATATGCTCTTTTATCCTGTCTGTAGCCATGTAGCCATGTGAGATGTGCCTTTCACCTTCTGCCATGATTGTGAGGCCTCCCCGCCACGTGAAACTGTGAGTCCATTAAAACTTTTTCTTTTGTAAATTGCCCAGTCTTGGGTATGTCTTTAACAGCAATGTGAAAACAGATTAATACCGTAAATTGGTACCAGGAGAGTGGGGTGCTGCGGAAAAGATACCCGAAAATGTGGAAGCAACTTTGTAACTGGGTAACAGGCAGAGGTTAGAACAGTTCGGAGGGCTCAGAAGAAGACAGAAAAATGTGGGAAACTTTGGAAATCCCTAGAGACTTGTTGAATGGCTTTGACCAAAATGCTGATAATAATATGGACAAAGAAATCCAGGCTGAGGTCGTCTCAGATGGAGATGAGGAACTTGTTGGAAACTGGAGCAAAGGTGACTCCTGTTATGTTTTGGCAGAGACACTGGTGGCATTTTGCCCCTGCCCTAGAGATTCGTGGAACTTTGAACTGGAGAGAGATGAATTAGAGTATCTGGTGGAAGAAATTTCTAGGCAGCAAAGCACTCAAGATGTGACTTGGGTGCTGTTAAAGGCATTTAGTTTTATAAGGGAAGCAAAGCATAAAAGTTTGGAAAATTTGCAGCCTGACAATGTGATAGAAAAGAAAATCCAATTTTCTGAGGAGAAATTCAAGCTGGCTGTAGAAATTTGCATAAGTAACAAGGAGGTGAAGGAATGTTAATCGCCAAGACAATGGGGAAAATGTCTCCAGGGCATGTCAGAGGTCTTCACAGCAGTCCCTTCCATCACAAGCCCGGTGGCCTAGGAGGAGAAAGTGGTTTTGTGGGCCGGGCCCAGCGTCTTTGTGCTGTGTGCAGCCCTGGGACTTGGTGCCCTGCATCCCAGCCACTCCAGCCGTGGCTGAAAGGGGCCAATGTAGAGCTCAGGCCATGGCTTCAGAGAGTGTAAGCCCCAAGCCTTGGCTGTTTCCACATGGTGTTGAACCTGTGAATCCACAGAAGTCCAGAATTAGGGTTTGCGAACCTCCACCTGGATTTCAGAGTATATATGAAAACTCCTGGATGCCCAGGTAGAAGTTTGCTGCAAGGGTGGGGCCCTCATGGAGAACCTTCGCTAGGGCAGTGCAGAAGGAAATGTGGGGTTGGTGCCCCCACACAGAATCCCTACTGGGTCACTGCCTAGTGGAGCTCTGAGAAGAGGGCCACCCTCCTCCAGACCCTAGAATCATAGATCCACTGACAGCTTGCCCCGTGTGCCTGGAAAAGCCTCAGACACTCAGCACCAGCCCATGAAAGCAGCTGGGAGGGAGGCTGAACCCTACAAAGCCACAGGAGCAGAGCTGCTCAAGACCATGCAAACCCACCTTTTGCATCAGCATGACCTGGATGTGAGACTTGGAGTCAAAGGAGATCATTGTGGAGCTTTAAGATTTGACTGCCCTGCTGGATTTCAGACTTGCATGGGATCTGTAGTCCCTTTGTTTTGGCCAATTTCTCCCATTTGGAATGGCTGTATTTACCCAATGCCTGTACCCCCATTGTATCTAGAAAGTAATTAACTTTGCTTTTGATTTTACAAACTCATAGGCAGAAGAGACTTCCTTTTCTCAGATGAGACTTTGGACTGTGGACTTTTGAGTTAATGCTAAAGTGGGTTAAGACTTTGGGGGACTATTGTGAAGTCATGATTGGTTTTGAAATGTTAGGACATGAGATTTGGAAGGGCCAGGGGCAGAATGATGTGGTTTGGTTGTGTTCCTGCCCAAATCTCATCTTGAATACCTATGCGTTGTGGCAGGGACCCAGTGGGAGGTAACTCAGTCATGGGGCTGAGTCTTTCCTGTGCTGTTCTCATGATAGTGAATACATCTCATGAAATCTGATGGTTTTAAAAAGGAAAGATTCCCTGCACAAGCTCATTTTTCTTCTCTGCTGCCATGTGAGATGTGCCTTTCACTTTCTGCCATAAATGTGAGGCCTCCTTAGCCAAATGGAATTGTAAGTCCCTTAAACCTCTTTATTGTGTAAATTGCCCAATCTCAGGTTTGTTTTATCAGCCGTGTGAAAACATACTAATACAAGGATTAAGTTTACACACAGTCTAACAATGACATCTTTGTCATGATTGCTGCCTGGTCACCAGTAATTATGAAATGCCATAAATACTGAAATTCATCCTTATTGTAGAGATGTTAAAGTGTGTACTAATATGTATCTTTTAAGTTATTGAAATATTGAAATATGCTGTTTAAGGCTAGTCTATTAGATATGTTCAAGTATATAAATGTATATTCCTGGTGGTTTTAAAATTTTATTGTAAGAATTGATCCCTTTGTCTCTATCTTGAGCTTTCTTTTGGACAATATTGACTTGTTATATGTTTTCCCTCCATTATTGTGAAAATTTCTCTCTATATCTTAGGATAGAGGTTGTGAACTATGGCCTACAGGCCAACTTTGGCCCATCTCCTGTGCTGTTAAATGAAATATTATTGAGACATAGCCATCTCATTCATGTGTTTATGGTCTACGTTTGCTTTCATGCTCCAGCAACCAAGTTGAATAGTTGCTGCTGAAACCACATGGCCCATAAAGCCAAAAATATTTATTATTAGACCGTTTACATAAAAACTTTGCCATCCTCTGTCTTTGGCCTATCTTTATATTTTAGATGTAAATAGCATTTGTAAAAATATAATTTATTTATTTAAAGATCCATAGACAATTTTTTTATGTTATTGAATACCTCAAACTGCAGTTAGTTACAGTGTACTGCTTATACATCTATTAATTCATATGTATGTTTTTAATGTATAAACTATTAGTGCATTTCCATTTCTATAGTAGGAAAATACTTTTTCTGTAGGGAATATATCATAAGAGTGATTCTTTATATTTTAAGAGCTCTTTTTATTTTTTATTTTTAAGTTATTACCTTATTTGATACTTGAAGTACTGCTTAGAAACACCTAAAGTTGTGAAAAAATTGAGGCTCAGAGAGGTTAAGTGGTTTTCCTTAAGCTACACAATATTTAAGACCCAAGATAAGCCCAAGAGCCTCTTCTAGGTTTGTCAAGGGGAATGCTAACCTTCTTTCCTTTCATGCGACAAAACATATCATTTTAAATGAAGTTCTAGAAGCTCTCACTTTGTTTTTGTCTATTTCTGTTTATTAGGATATATTTGCCCTGATTTTTACCATTATACTTTGAAATTCCTATTTGTCTCAATTAAAATATTTCTTTTCCTTCCTGATTTGCTTATTTGATGAGTTTTTCTATTTGTCAGTTTTTTTTCTTACTAAGTATTTTCTCCTTTGCTATTTAGAACATTATTTCTATTCTTTCCATGTTTGCTATTAAATTTTTTAATTGCAAACTTAACTTTTTAAATGCAAAGCAATATTTAAATCTCTCTCCTGTTATATACAAGGACACTAGAACACTTAATTCTGATAATTCTGTTCCTCTTTAATAACCTAATAATCTCCAATGTTTTAAGGCTAATTTCTATTTAATACCTTAATTTAGAAATTATCTGCATAACATTTAATACAGATGCTGTTTGTTCAGATTTATCTACACGTTAACTGTTTCATTATCTTTTTGCTTATGTTTTGTTTGTTTCCATTTTAGGATTTACTTCTAGGGTAATTTCTCATCTTGTCTGAGAAGCTAGAAGTTGGTTTAGCAAAGATATGTTAGTAATATGTTTTTTCAAAGTTTTTCTTTTGTTTTGTTTTTACTCATATTTGCTTTCTATTTTATACTAGTATATAAATTAGAAATTACATACTAGTATATAAATATATGCTAAATATATATACTAGCAAATAAATATACTGGCATATTTTATATACTAGTATATAAAATAGATATTAGTATGTACTAGTATATACTAATAAGTTTATATCTGCTGTATATACTAGTATATACTTATAAGGTTATATCTGCTGTATACCCAGTCCTCAGCTGACACCTGTTTCTTTAACCATCTTAAGATATTTTTGTTGTTGCTTCAGAGAAGTATCCTGTCAACCATTCGTTGATTTGTAAATTTTCTATCTGTCCTTGCCATCTGCTTTTAAAACTTTGTCTGTATCCCTGGTGATGGGGCATTTCACTCCAATGTACATATATTTAATTATTTTTGTTTTACTTAGCTTGGTTAGTATATATTGAACTTGCTGTATCTATGGGGTCACTCTTTTATCAACTCTAAAATTTGTAGTTATTATTTTTGCATGTATTATTTCTCCAAAATATTCTGTAACCCATCTTCTTGGAATTTAAAGTAGACATATGTTAGAACTTTTCATTTTAGCTATCATATTACGTACTTTTTCTTTCAAATGTTTAACTTTTTGAATCTCTCTTTTACGTGATTATTGTCTACAGATCTAATTTTATTTTTTATTTTTATTTTTATTTTTCGAGACAGAGTCCCACTCTGTCACCCAGGCTGGAGTGCAGTGGTGTGATCTCAGCTCACTGCAACTTCTGCCTCCTGGGTTCAAGCAATTCTCTGTCTCAGCCTCTCGAGTAGCTGGGATTACAGGTGCCCGTCACCACGCTCGGCTAATTTTTTTGTATTTTTAGTAGAGACGGGGTTTCAGCATCTTGGCCAGGCTGGTCTTGAACTCCTGACCTCGTGATCCACCTGCCTTGGCCTCCCAAAGTGCTGGGATTACAGGCAGGAGCCACCGCTGCCAGCCGTACAGATCTAATTTTAGTCCAGTAATTCTCTCATAATTCTCTAATCAGCTGTTGAGAAAAAAGTTCATCATTCAATTTTTAAGAATAAAAGATATATTTTCCTGTTAAAAATTCTTTATTGTCTGTTTGAAAACAATTTCATGATTAATACCTTTTTTATGAAATTAACCATGCTGTCTAGTTCAGACATGTTATTCTATATTATGTATCAAATAATTCTAATATATAAAAACTTTTGTAGTCCAAATACATTCGATGCTTATACTGACTTTGATTCATAGTAGCTCATTTCCTTATGTTTTAGTTATCCTTGATTATGATGTTTTTTTTTTTTAATTTTACTCCTTAGAAATTCAGAGAAGCAGAATTGTGGATTTTTTTTTTCCAGAATGAAATTTGATGTGCGATAAACGTATTATCGCAAACTTGGGGCTACTAGACACCTACGGGACAGTTTTGCTTTCAAGGTTTATGGTTCAATATGAAATGTAAAAGTAAACTGTTCAAACCTGCTGCTAGTTCAAGAATTAATTTCAGGATCTTTGTGTGAATTGGGACATTTGCATTCAAAGTTTGTATATCAGGTTTGTTATTGACAATGATAGAGAGTAAGTCCAAAAATTCATTACAAAGTGAATTTTCTTCAGGATTTAGGTAACGATCTTTAGTGCATGTGTTCCACGCTGCCACTAGAATTAGGAATTTCTATGTACATTCAGAAAGCTATATTTCTCTGATCACCAAGACAAAAAATAACAGTATCCATAATCCTCTTTTACATAAGAAGATACATTTTTTATAGCACCTCACTGCATCCCATCCCCACATGCATTCCCACAATCATGGTGTATAAACTATAAGACCTCTGCCAGTTGTCATGAGGTGGAATAATACCAGGCCAAAGACTTCTTGCTATTTGCCTTTATTTCAGTTGTAGTTCCCAGTACCTCAGAAAGATGAATGGAGAGGATGGAAAACAGCTGAACCTGAAAGATGCAGTGCCTGAGCAGTGGAGAATCACATTCAGTGGTTGTTTTGCTTTCAGTTTTTCTTTCATTTATTTTAAAAATTGATCATTAACCATGGTTTATAATAATAGGTTTATAACTTATTGTGATAACAATAGGGAGAGATTTTAAGAAAGTAGGCAGGGCTAATACATCAGCTAAGATGAATTCTTAATGTATTAGAGAATCTTTTCTTAATCTATTTTACTTAGTTTTGTTTAGATGATATTTAACACGTGTTTAACAAACTCGTTGTACCAATACCTCCATGAGTGTTTCTGGTGGTATAAATGTTCTTATTTTCTGTGATACCACATTTGAGCTGTCCTTCAATGCCAAGTATAATTTTATCCAATGTATTATCTCAATTAATTTGATCTCTTTTCTACATGTAAAATCTGTTTGACCATTAGACTTGGAATACTAATCAAGAGATATTATCTACAGGATTCCATTGTATATAAACTGATAAAACCTAAGTGTGAATTAGAGAAGGCTCCACACATGAATTATCTGTAAGTCTCTGATTTCTTTAATTTTTTTAAATAGGAAGTGTGGAAGTAACTCACTCATTTGATTGATTTTATAATGTCACCTGCAATAGTTTAATCTTTTTTTCTTCCTCTGATGAAAGCTTTAATAAGCAGCGAAGAGATGAAAAAAAATTTGGAGAAAGTAAGGGTCTTATTCCTGGGATGATTGGCATTTTTAATTTATATCTTTAGGCATATGCTCATTTTAGAATATTATACTTGAAAATAAATAGTCGGAATAAAAAATGATCTTAGTCATTTATGTAGATGAGTCAAAATGACTGTACGTTTTATTTTATTGATTAATTTGAGTATTGAATTGACTTTTTGTTTTACTCTTGTTAAAGAGGAACACATAATTATTTTAAATAATAATGGCCCACTATTTATTAAAGTTAAGTGAATTACTCTAGTGTTTAGAATATTAAGCTAGTGGGAGTGTGTTTTCCTGTTTGTCAGATTGGTCAAGATTAATGCAATACTACCCAAAAATACACTTGCTTTTCTTTTTTTTTTTTTTTTCTGCAAGTAATTTTAAATTTTCTAGAATATCTGCAGCTTTTTTTCTAGTTTTGTCTCAAGGTTTCTCTCCAGAGAGTGGTCATAAGTGGTAGCCATGACATGACCAAGAATCTAAGGAATTTTGTTTTGGATGTTTACAATAAGCCTTTCACAGGCTACTTCTTTAGCCTAAATGTCTAATCTGTGACAGCTGTCCTCTCACAGGAAACTTGTTTATATTGGCAGATGTCCTTGTAACTCTTGTCTGACCTGAATCCAGTTTGTTCCTACGAAGACGGCCACTCTCTTAAGACAGCCCCAACTGGGACGGTAGTTAGGTTCAGGTCTAGGTCAGGCAAGACACAAAAGAGGCAGCTCCCCAAAATACATGAAATAACAGAAGCAGTGTATTACCTATGGACCCCTGAGAGAAGAGGGATACCAGTGAGTTAAAGATAACTCTTTGTTTCCTCTTTAAAAGAGTCCGTTTTGGATTAATTCAGGTATTAGGGTAAATACCAATTTATTTTTAAAGTTTCTACTTCCTGTCAGAGCTTTCTCTGTCCTCTCTCAAATGGCCTTCTCTCCTCTCTCTCTCTCTCTTTCCATGATGTTATCTGTCTTCAGGAGCAAAGTAATTTATGCCTATATTGGGATTCTCTATAGTTCTGGTCTTTTGCTGCATGCTTTAAGCTGTCTGCCATGTGTGGCTCATCCGGTCTGCTCTTGAGCATCCTGTGCTGGTGTGTTCTGTGGTGTCACTGGCTCTCTGTGTTTCCTTGGATTTTATAAATTTGATATTTGCCACACTCTGGAGGTGTAGAATGCATCTGAACTGCAACATCCAGAGTTCTATCCAGGCTTCTTCTTCTCACTTGTCAATAAGCACTTCCAGGTGGCTAGGGGAATCTGGTCACTTCCTTCTCACCATACTACAGTGTATAGGGAAGTTTCTTTCCTGGGTCTCCACTAGTTATGGCTATCCTGTTATCCACTAGTCATGGCTATCCTGTTATAGCAGTCTGTCTGCAATATTGGATATGGCACCATGTGAAAAGTGTGCGGTCATTGACTATTACATCCTCCCATAATCGATGACCAGTGGCACACTAGCCATGATGTTCTTGGAATCCTTCAAATTATTATGTCTTTTCTATTAGAGAGTCTGTCTTTCATTCCAAAACCTGAGCTGTGATGCAAGGAAATAGGAAGTGCTGGGTTTATTAAAAGGGCATCAGTTTTGGGAGGATGAGGCAGGTGGATCACAAGGTCAAGAGATCAAGAGCATCCTGGTCAACATGGTGAAACCCCAGCTCTACTAAAAAAAAAAAAAAAAAAAAAAAAAAAGGCACCAGACAACAGCTATGAATATCCTTTCTACATCTAATTCCTCTCTGATTTGTCAGAGGGATATTTTTCCTAAATAAGAACTTTTTTTATTGATGTTGTTGTTCCAATACTTCCCCTCATTTCTGAGGTGATAAACTGCAAATGAAAGAAAAATTAAATGAACAAACATTACAGAAAACTCATGAGTTATTTTTAAAATATTATTTCTTTTTTCCTTGTCGTACTCTTGAGTGCATTCACTGTCTATTCATTTGTTCAGTTTTGGCCTTAATTAAACTATTTTGCCAGATGAAGGCAAAATAGTAAAGCAGTTAAGATCATGAACTCTGGAATCAGGTAGAATTAGAAATCAAGACCAACCCTGTATGATTTAGCTATGTGACCTTGGAAAATCTGTTTAAATTATTTTAGACTGATACTTCAATGGAAAATTAAAATAATAATTCTTACCTCATAAATTTATTGTGAGAATTAAATAAAATTATCTAATGTCATTAGCTTAGCAGAGTTCCAGGCTTACAGTAAATATTAAGTGAATCATTGAAGGATTGCTGTCATTATTATAATAATGGATAGTAGTTATTACAGTAATCATAGTAAAAGAAAGAGGAAGAGGAAGAATAGAAGGGGGTAAGGAGGAAGAATACAAATAGAAGAAAATGGCTAAGATGACAAAGTACATATGTCAACTGCCTTTATCAAATCACAGATTAATTTATAAAACAAAGTTATAGAGATCTTTCTATTTTACTTACAAAAATTTACATATTTTTAGATTCATATATTACATTGTCCTTTGTTTTATTTCATTTATTACTTACTATCTCTGATGTGTTTATAGCTTTTTCAATGTGAATAAAATGTGAAAATTAATCACAAAATATCATTTTTTTAAATTAGCAAATCAGCATATAGTTTATATCTTTTATCTATGGCTTATTAAAATCATCCTCTTCAAGGAGTGCATATAAATCATCAGAAGTCAGTGCCACAGTTTTGTGTCTTTCTATATATTATTCATCAGGAAATTTACATGCCTTTTGAGTATGCAGAGTTGGTTAACCTAAAACATTGCACAATAGTTTTGCTAATGATATGGAAAGAATTATCATGAGCCCTGTCTTGCCTGAAAACTTTATTTAAATAGTAGAGAGACTTGGGGCTCTGATGAGTCACTTACATACATTTAACCTGTATATTGTTAGTCTGAATCAGACACCCACAGATTTCGACCAAAAGTCAGTTTCATTTGACAGCTGTTCAATGGCCTTTGCAAAATAATTTGGTTTGTTTAGTAGAAAATTTCCCACATTGTAATGAGATACTTATGCTAATTTCCCCCATCAGAAAGACTGAGGATTTATTAACATAATAATTGAAGCATGACAATTACATATGTATTTTATGTAAATGGTTGTTGAATGTTCATGCATTGACAACAGCTTTATGGGAGAAAAGTTTTAGGAATAATGTGTTACCTGTAAAATATATAAACATGATTTATGTGTATTATTTTAACTCTTTAAATTTTAATTTATATCAGTGAGGCTAAAGTACTTGTGTGTAATATTTAGTACAATTTATTTTCTTTTTCCTCTCTCTCTCTTGCTTACTCTTGTCTTCTTTTCGACCTAGATATGAAATAACTGTTTTTATTAAAATTGTGTTTAGATTTTCTTATTTGATGCTGAAGATTTTAACAGAGCTTTCATTTATTTTTCTAAATATGGTCTCTATAGTTAATATCTACAGTGATACTAACGCAAGACACAAATGAGGGATAAAGCAGAAGTTAAGTTTCATATTTGGTTTCTCATCTCTAATTCAATCTCCACATTGCAGTCAGAATGATCTTAACAAAATGCCAGTATATTTAAAATAAAACTCTTTAGCAGATTCTCATTGCCTATGAAATAAAAACCAAACCAGTGATCTTGTCTTATAACATTCTTCTCCAGTTCATTCTTCATTATTTTGTCAGTCCCTTGGTTTGCTAGACCTATCCCCATATTCCATTTGTATTATATTTTTTCAGTTCCTGAGATTAATCAAGCCCTTCCCCCAATCCAAGCCTTTATATATATTTTACCCAATTGCTATACAAACTCTTTCTCTACAGTTGCAAATGACTAACTTCAATTCATCCATCTGATTTCAGCTAAAGCTGTATTAAGTCTTCCTATTGTTTCTGTTCTCAATACATTTCGCTAGCTCCATTTTAATCATATTTTTTTGTAGTGACCTGGGACATTGTTTTTTTATGATAAATTTTAAGCTCCATAAAAGAATAGGCCTTGTCTATTTATTTTATTGTTATATTTGTTGTTTAATTATTGTAGTACTTTGGACACATTAGATTCTCAATAATTTGTTCTCAGTTGCTGAATTATTAGATTGGTAAATGTATGTGTAGAATTAAGACTGCTGGGTACATACTCAAACATCAGCTGAATTCATTTCCAACTGAATTGATACAAAAGTTTTAATATTAGTAACTTTAAAACCATGAAGCTGTTTAACATTAATTTGCTTTCTCATTCAACAGTTATTGCTGAGTCTCAAATAGTGTTTACAGCATTGTAATATGCTTAGCCATTTAAGAAATTAATAAACATAAAATCTCTTGAAGTTCACAGGTTAGTTGACAAACACGTCATATGCTAGTTGTAAACATGATAAGAGTGGTATGTTTTCATCAGATGCATTTTAATAATATGGATACAATAAAGTACTCTTCTCTGGGTTTTAATTTTTTTTTTCATGCTTTACTTGTCATAGTCTTTTCTATAAATTTCCCTATGTCATTTGTATTCCAGGGAAATTCTGTTAAAAAGCCAGGGAAAATTCATTTATTGTTTTTAGTATCAAATCTTGAGATTAATTTAGTGGTTGGTTAATGGGGAAGATTTAGGAGAAAATAAGGTCCTTGGAAGATTTCTTTTCTTTAAGAATATATTGATTTTATAACTGACCATCTTATCATTCTAGCTTACTACTTTTTTTTTCCCTCAGCTTTTATTTTAAGTTCAAGGGTGCATGTACAGGATATGCAGGATTGTTACATAGGCAAATGTGTGCCATGGTGGTTTGCTGTAATATCCACCCATCACCTAGGTATTAAGCTCACCATCCATTAGCTACTCTTCCTGATGCTCTTCCTCCCCCTGCCCCACCTGACAGGCCCCAGTGTGTGTTCGTCCCCTGATGTGTCCATGTGTTCTCATCGTTCAGCTCCCACTTACAAATGAGAAAATGTGGTGTTTGGTTTTCCGTTTCTGTGTTAGTTTGCTGAGGATAACGGCTTTCAGCTCCATCCATGTGCCTGCAAAGGATATGATCTCATTCCTTTTTATGGGTGCATAGTAATCCATGGTGTATATGTACCACATTTTCTTTATCCAGTCTATCATTGATGGGCATTTGGGTTGATTCTATGTCTTCCCTATTGGGACTAGTGCTGCAATGAACATACGTATGCACCTATCTTTGTAACAGAATGATTTATATTCCTTTGAGTATATGCCCAGTAATGTGATTGCTGGATCAAATGGTATTTCTGCTTCTAGATCTTTGAGAAATTGCCACACTACCTTCCACAATGGTTGAACTAATTTGCCTTCCCACCAACAGTGTAAAAGCAGTCCTTTTTCTCCACATCCTCGCCAGCATCTGTTGTTCCCTGACTTTTTAATAATCACCATTCTCACTGGAATGAAATGGTATCTCATTGTGGTTTTGACTTGCATTTCTCTAATGATGAGTGATGTTGAGCTCTTTTTCATATATTTGTTGGCCATATAAATGTCTTCTTTTGAGAAGTGTTTTCATGTCCTTTGCCCACTTTTTAATAGGGCTGTTTTTCTTTTTCTTATAAACTTGTTTAAGTTTCTTGTAGACTCTGGATATTAGACCTTGGTCAGAAGAATAGATTGCAAAATTTTTCTTCCATTCTGTAGGTTATCTGTTCACCCTGATGATAGTTTCTTTTGCTGTGCAGAAGCTCTTTAGTTCAATTAGATGCCATTTGTCAATTTTTGATTTTGTGGTAATTGCTTTTGTTATTTTCATCATGAAGTCTTTACCTGTGCCTATGTCCTGAATGGTATTGCCTAGATTTTCTCCCAGGGCTTTTATAGTTTCGAATTTTACATTTAAGTCTTTAATCCATCTTCACATAATTTGTGTAAAATGTGTAAGGAAGGGGTCCAGTTTCAATT
This sequence comes from Homo sapiens, assembly GCF_000001405.40. Lineage (NCBI taxonomy): Eukaryota > Metazoa > Chordata > Mammalia > Primates > Hominidae > Homo > Homo sapiens. The sequence continues at coordinate 170,882,254 of NC_000004.12, read as the reverse complement.
TTCTGCATATGGCTAGCCAGTTCTCCCAGCACTATTTATTAAATAGAAAATCCTTTCCCCTTTGCTTATTTTTGTCAGGTTTGTCAAAGGTCAGATTTCTGTAGGTGTGTGGTCTTATTTCTGAGTTCTCTATTGTTTTCCATTGGTTTATGTGTCTGTTTTTGTACTGGTACCATGCTGTTTTGGTTACTGTAGCCTTGTAGTATAGTATGAAGTCAGGTAGCATGAATGTTCTAAGCATTCCCCTTGAAAATCACCAGAATAGAAGGATGCCATCTCTCACCACTCCTATTCAACATAGTATTGGAAGTTCTGGCCAGGGCAATCAGGCAAGATAAAAATAAATGGTATTCAAATAGGAAAAGAGGAAGTTAAATTATCTTTGTTTGTAGATGACATGATCCTATATCTAGAAAACCCCACACATCCTCTCAGCCCAAAAGCTTCTTAAGCTGATAAGCAACTTAAGCTGTCTCAGGATACAAAATCAATGTGCAGAAATTGCTAGCATTCCTATACACCAACAATAGACAAACAGAGAGCCAAATCATGAATGAACTCCCATTCACAATTGCTACAAAGAAAATAAAATACCTAGGAATACAGCTAACAAGGCAAGTAAAGGACCTCTTCAAAGAGAACCACAAACCACTGCTCAAGGAAATCAGAGAGACAACAAACAAATGAAAAAACATTCCATGGTCGTGTATATGAAGAATCAATGTCATGAAAATGCCTATAATGCCCAAATAATTTACAAATTCAATTCTATTTTTAATAAACCACCGTTGACATTCTTCACATAATTAGAAAACACTTTTAAAATTCATATGGAACCAAAAAAAGATTCCATATAGCCAAGACAATCCCAAACAAAAATAACAAAGCTGGAGGCATCACACTACCCTTGGAGGGTTTTCATGATGTCCTGTGGTGGCAGCTACATTCCAGTTGTCTTGTGATATTATGACTTGATGTGGCTTGATTTCCCTCTTCCAAAAGGCCATTTACAAACATTGAGTGTGAAAATCAATCTTTTCCTCGAAATGCTTTCAAACCTCATTGCTTAGGAAGCACCATTCACTTTATATCCTTCAGTAAAAACAGACTGAACACTTTATATTGCCTTATGGTTTTGACTAGCTGTATTTTTCTCTACAATTTTAGCTTTATTTGGCCTATAGATAAAAATTAATCTCTGCGAAGTTTTATTCCTTTAAATGTGTATGATTTTATATTTTAATGTTATATTATTTTGAAGAATAGAAAGCAATGATGCAAAGAACTAGTTTTTTGAACAGCTCATGAGCAAAAAGAAAAGTCAAATCTTCATCTGCCATTGTTTATTCCTTGGGAATTTTCTTAGCAACCTCAAGCAGATCATCCAAACACAGATTTCTTGAAGAAGTATTAAAAGCAGAGTAACCAAAAAGGAGCGGGACAGTATAGCAATATCTTTCATAGAAACTCTAGAGATTATTAGTGAGGAAATATAGTACAGACAGCTTTCTAAATACATAATTTAAATCAAATTAACTGTTTATAATTCTTATTTCATATAATAATTTGTGATATTTTCCATGAATCATTTCTTCTGGCTTTATAAAATCATTACTTTAAAATAGCTTTGGATATTATTATGGATAATTGAACCTAGTGACACTAACTGAGCATTGCATTTAAAAGATTAGCATTAAAAGTAGACAGATCAAGTGGATACAACATCTTCCAGAAACAGTGGAATAATAAGGTCTAATCACACAGGTATGTTTCAGGCACTTAGAGTTCTTTTTTTCATGTTTCTTATTGCTGCATTATATTAAGCTGTATAGCATTCAGTTTGGAAGGATCTGTGGCTTATTCATTATTGAATTATCAGTTTCTTTTAGTGAAAATGTTAGAAAGTGGGCAGTAAGAACGTATATCTTGAATTAATTAACTCAGAGAAAGCATCCTGTAGAAAACAAATGCAGCATGATTTAGGAATATTATATTCCCTCCTACATAATGACTGGAGTGAATATTTAGGTAACCCTGAAAATTTCAGGTCTTAATTTTTCTCTGTCAATCTCTATGTCTTTTTCTGTCTTTTTCTATCATACACACACACAGACACACATATACACACTCATATTGTATGTTGGACTCTAGCTCTGCACTGTGTTAATGAGATTTCAAGTCTACAATATGGGTGGTCTGTTTTTGGTTTGTTAAAATAAGAACTTTGTGTTTAGGCAAATGAGGAAAATAAGACCTAACTATAATTATACCACAAATGTCTCAAAACTAAATTAAATTAATGCACATAAACGGGGCCAATCTATTTGAGAATAGTTAAATTGTATAGGACACAGAAGAAATATATCATTCTTCTTAAGAATAGTGTATATTACAAAGTATTTCACACATGTTTTGCTGAGATTCTAAATTTTAATGACATTTTGATAAGAAAATACATTATTATGCTAAAAAAATTATGTAGACTTGGTACCATGGCTTGTCAAAAATTATCTGAAAATACCCCATGTGTTACATTTCATTTTGTAAAGAAATGTATCATTCAGATGAGTTTGTGAAAAGGACAACCTAAATTACTTACTTGATTTGACATTTTGGTGGCTATTACCCAATCCTCCTTATTTTAATATGGAAAAAAAGCTCAACACTTACAAAGACATTTTGTGCTACTTTTGAAACTGAGCTCAAATAAAAATATCTGCATAGGTTTCAGATTTATTGAATTAGAAGAAAGCAAGTCCACCTAAAACAAATTTGCTTAATGCCAGTTAATTAATGATCAATTTGCCTAATGATCTGTTCGCTCAAAAGTTCTATTAATCATATTTACATCTCATACATAGAAGAAAGGTTTTTTCCTTTTGTAACTGTTAACGTATCTTTCAATTTTTGAACCTTTCATATATTTTAGGCCACTTTATACTAACTAACTCATTAACTTTATTTTCTACAATTTCTAACTCACATAGAAAGAAGTATTTACATTCTTTAAACACAAGATTATCCCAGATGAAGAAAATATTTTTCCTTGCCTTTTAAGCCTCCTCTGAATCTTGAAGTTGCTCTTCTTGACTTTTTAGAAGCTGAGCTCTTCTAGCTCTGGGTCCTAGCATAGCACAGAGTCTGGAAGAGTAGCAAATGAATTCATCAACAGGAAAGGCGTACTAATATATATTTGTTCTCCTAATTATAAATGAATGACTGTTTCTTTTTTTGCACATGTCCAATTTTTGATAGCCTCATTTTCCTGTTAGATCACAGTAGCTCAAAATTTGATTTTTCTTAAAATTAAGAGAGAAGTGTTATTAGATTAATTATCTGAAAAAAAATGCATTACTATTTAAAACAGTCCTATCTAATCATTTGGCTTCCCTGGGCCACATTGGAAGAATAATTATCTTGGGCTACACATAAACTACACTAACAATAACAATAGCTGATGAGCTAAAAAAAAAATCACACAAAAACATCTCATAATGTTTTAAGAAAGTTTATGAATTTGTGTTAGGCAACATTCAAAGCCGTCCTGGGCCACACGTGGCCTGCGGGCAACAGGTTGGACAAGCTTGTTTTAAAGGATAGAAAAATACAGTAAAATATAAAAACTTCCAAATATAAATATGTTAACATATAGAATAAAAACAATTTAATTTATACAAGTTTAGACTCATGATTCTAGCTCATCTGAGATTTATTCATATAGACTTTAGTTTATTTGGTTTAGGCAAAAATTTATATTAGTTAATCATGTCTGTAAGATTTCCAAATGGAAATTTTCAATAGGCTTTGGATATATTGGTGTTTCTATGTTAGGTGTGTATGTATATATCTATACACACACACATATATATATGAACCGTTATATTATATAGATGGAATTTGAAGCAAATATTTTAGTATATTTCATTATCCAAAGAGAGTATATAGAACTAAATTGTCACAGTTTACAAGAGGCAGATTTTTATGATTGTGGATCTTCAGAAGTTCAATAGTGACTTAAGAAAAGACACACCACATTTGACAGGAGAACCTTCAGATTATTAACCCTATGATGTCCTTCAGATTCTGAGAGCTAAGAAAATAACCTGACTCTAATTTGAGCTTGAAAGATCCTTTTTCAAATATTGTTTAAGCTACAAATTATAATTAAATCTAGTCAGCTCTGAGTGGTCACCATCATTAGCAATCTATACAACAAAATGGACAAGGGAAGTTTGTGGTTCTATATTTCTGAGGGATTTATTGTATCCTCTGTTATTTTGGTATTTACAGTACCTAGAAATTTGGGATTGTGTTTTAAAAATCACTATGTAATTTCTTACTCTTATTTTTTTCAGGTTACATAAAATTCCAAGAGAAGGTGCTTTGTCTGTCAAGTTTTTTATGTTTAAAGAGTCATAGAAAGACAAGGGAAATAAGAGTTCTAAGTTTTTACTTTGTGTTCTTATTTAAGAAATTATTACTGTAATATACTTATTCATATCATTTCTAAACAAGGTGGACTATAAACCTGTAAGTAATATTTAAGGGGGAAATGACAACCTTTTGACTCAGTGTTATGGCATAAGCTTTTATATATACTATGTATAAGAAGCATCAGTATAAAAGTTTTTCTGTCCGATATACAAAATTTTATAGGAATAAATTACTTCATGTATTTTCTGTGCCTTATTTGTCTTTATATTGAAACACATGGAACAAATTTTTCTTTCCTCTTTGTTCCCAGGAAATTTTTAAAAATATTCTTTCATATATCTTTACATATATAAAAAAGAGAAATAAATGTTGACTTCTAATTAATTCACCCAAAACACCATATGATAACTACTTACCTTAAGTCTTTTTGGTGGTCTCCTATATTATTTTAATTAAAAAATTTAGTATTATTATTAATATTAAGCTGCCTGAAATAATTTTTAAGAAGCTGATCATACTTTCTAAAAGGCTCATAACTAGGAGACATGTATCATAGATCATTAAATGTAAAAATATTTTTGGAAATATTCTTTAGCTTATAAAATAAAAATTTTCCCCAAGTAATTGAGTTATAGACTATTGTCTATATTATTTCGATTAGATAACAAGCTGAAACATTGAATCCATAAGGTCTATTATTAATCACATTTCTATATTAATTTGAATTTGACATAACTTTTTGTTAAAATGATAAATGCACATTGGCTAAACTACAGAATCATCCCAAATCCTACCTTCCAGAAGAAATTAAAATTAACATTATCTAAAAACCAGTATATAGAAATAAATGCTTAGATAAAATTAAGATGTTAACATATAATGATTAAAAGCTTTTTAAAGTGTCAGTTATCTTCATTTAAAATTTTTAAAGTATGTGACATAAAAATGAAGGAATTGTTGAACCTCAATAAAGATGTAAAACCATAACTTAAGCTTCCACTTTAAGAAATGGGATAAAGAGCAACTGAAACCCAAAGCAAGTGTAAGGAAGAATTTTTTTTTTAATTACAGTTGCCATCAGTGAAGTAGAAAAGTAATAGAGATAATCAATAAAACCAAACGTTGGCTTTTTGCAACCTAGTGTCTCTGCTAAGGGGTGAAAAGAGGGGTTATTTATCAGAAGTGTAGAAACAGAAAACAACCTCATGTTGGGTAGTGAAAGTGTTAGAATACCCGGTTGGGTATGGGGGATATTAATATGGGAGCACTCATACATGACTCAAGGTTTTTACCTTGCAAGATTTCCAGGAACTTGTAAAACAACAGTGGCATACATAAAATAAAGTGGACATACCAGCACTCGTTTGGCAGAGGGTTGAGAAATAAATTGAATGACACATAGAAGTGAACATTTAAAAAAAAAACAAAACTGATGTTTTATATAAGACCAAGAACCCACCAGTCGCTTTTCTGCCTTGGCTTGTGGGATCCATTGGGTCCAGAGACTCTCCTGTCACTCAGATCATAACATATGAAAGGGCCACCCAGAATAAAATTTACCTTACATTTTATAACTTCAAGACAAGAGAGCTGAGATTTTCCATTCTTCCCCAACTCATCAGCCATTGGCTAAAAACTGCACCCTGAAGGAATATACATTTCCAGGCACTTCTAGCTTTCTGTAAATAAGGAGGAAGCATCTCAGCCTGAGGATAGACCTCTGAAAAAGAGTTGCATGTCCAAGCCACTAGAGAGCAATGCAGAGGCTTTCAGAAACCAGGAAGCACACAGAAATTATGAAAGGACATTGAGTAGATCTGGGCAGAGCTCTGCATTGGACAGAGCTCCGCATGTTCACTATGAGGATTCAAATATTAATGAATTAAATAAATGACAAATGTCCATCCTTTTCAATAACCTGGAGCACTTCTCCAATTCTGCAATTAAACTTTGGGATATAGGGTGATGTAAACAATGTAGCTTCTAATTCACAAAAACTAGCTTTTGAATACCAAATGGCCACCTAAAAGCAATGTAACCTCGGCGAGTCATTTAATCTTTCTGATTCTCAGTTTAGTTATCTGTTAAATACAACTATTGGTGTCTGTTTTATTCAATCCCTTAGTGAAGCTATGTGACATAATACTTCTAAATGATATTTGCATTTATTGAATCAAAATAGAAAATTAATAAAGATTTTCTTTCTTTCATAGCCTTTCTTTTACATCTATTCACTGAATGAGTGAGAACAGTAAAGTTGATATTTGCTCCTCTTGAAAATGTTGGAGAACTGTTGTGACATATAAATAATATTTAATGAGATAGTATCATAAATTGTTTCATGCCAACGGCCTTTCCTTTGCAATCCAGAATCTAAAACAGAGTAGAGTAAGCACCCAAAAAGCACTTTATCACTGACTTTGCTGTAGTTCTTCCTGTGGTTCTGAGTGGATCAACTCAAATGTTTTCTACTGAAGGAATTCTGAATTATGTTTTCCACTGTTTCCCTTATATATAACTTGTGACAAATGAAGAACTCCAGAAAGAGGTTAGTTCATTAGTGAATAATAGTTGAGTGGCCAAAATGAGCAAGAGAATATTTGTAAAGTAGATAAACTTACAGTGGGTACATTTTAGTTACCGAGCCACTGTAATACTCAAAGATTGATTAATGAGTGCACCTTCATGACATTCCACATAGGGTTGTCTTCTGCTTTGCCTTGTTGAACCGTTTGGTCAGTGACTTGAGGGAAGATAAATAGCCATGTTTATCACATCTATCAAAGTCCCATGCTATGTAATGACAAGATAAATACTCAAATAGAAGCTAGGTAGTACCCCCTCAGAATTATTTTAAATGAATTGTTCAAGCCCTTTCCGTCTAAGTTAAATTATTCACTTAACTAGCTATCATTTTCAGTATCATTTTATTCTAAAAAAAAAAGCCTCCTCCTCACAACTAACCATTTATAAACACACTTTCTCTCTTTTATTTTTTTCTAAGACATTTTTCTTTTTTTATTATACTTTCAGTTTTAGAGTACATGTGCACAATGTGCAGATTAGTTACATATGTATACATGTGCCATGTTGCTGTGCTGCACCCATTAACTCGTCATTTAACATTAGGTATATCTCCTAATGCTATCCCTCCCCCCTCCCCCCACCCCACAACAGGCCCCGGTGTGTGATGTTCCCCTTCCTGTGTCCATGTGTTCTCATTGTTCAATTCCCACCTATGAGTGAGAACATGCGGTGTTTGGTTTTTTGTCCTTGCGATAGTTTGCTGAGAGTGATGGTTTCCAGCTTCATCCATGTCCCTATAAAGGACATGAACTCATCATTTTTTATGGCTGCATAGTATTCCATGGTGTATATGTGCCACATTTTCTTAATCCAATCTATCATTGTTGGACATTTGGGTTGGTTCCAAGTCTTTGCTATTGTGAATAGTGCCACAATAAACATACGTGTGCATGTGTCTTTATAGCAGCATGATTTATAATCCTTTCGGTATATACCCAGTAATGGGATGGCTGGGACAAATGGTATTTCTAGTTCTAGATCCCTGAGGAATCGCCACACTGACTTCCACAATGGTTAAAGTAGTTTACAGTCCCACCAACAGTGTAAAAGTGTTCCTATTTCTCCACATCCTCTCCAGCACCTGTTGTTTCCTGACTTTTTAATGATCACCATTCTAACTGATGTGAGATGGTATCTCATTGTGGTTTTGATTTGCATTTCTCTGATGGCCAGTGATGATGAGCATTTTTTCATGTGTCTTTTGGCTGCATAAATGTCTTCTTTTGAGAAGTGTCTGTTCATATACTAAGACATTTTTCTTCTCTTCTACCTGTATTATCTATTCTGTACAGGCTCTAGAGGGATCTTTTTATAGACAAATCCTTTTTTTTTCTTTTTTCTCAATTCAGTGCCATAAACCACTTATCTACTATTTTCAGCAGAAAAACTAAAAACTTTAGGCAGTTTAAATCCCTCAGGTAAGTCTTATTTATCTGGGATATCTTATTTAGAGTGGAGCTACCATTAAAATATTTTATGTGAATTTATGGATAACTCACTTTCTATATAAATCTGTGAGTCTCTCAAGAAGAGGCAGTATATATTTTATCTCTAGTATGATAATATTAATAATAACAGCTATCTTATATTAAGCACTTACTAACGTGTGGTAACTCATTTTTATCCACAGCTCTATAAAGTATGTGCTGTTATTATCCACAGTGTATAGATGAGGAAATTGAGTGAGTATTCAATAAATGTTTGTTTAAATCATCATCTAATCTTATGTCATTAAGGAAGACAGGCCTATTTATGACTTAATTTGAAAGCAACTTGGAACGTATTTCTCACTAGTCTATGGCTGTCACGATTTGGCAATGTATTTCTTATAATATCACTCAGCCAGATTTATTTTTAAAAAGAAAATACTCATTGATTTAGATAATTATCTGTCAGAATTTACTAATGGGCCTCAGTTATAGCAGATAAAATTATGTTATAATAGCTCTTGTTCATCAAAAAGAAGGAAAAGTGGGTTTGATAGAAGGTAAAAAGGCATGATTTTCAGAAACATGTAATTTTTTATGTAGAAAGAAAACTGAATTTTGCTAACTATAGAAAAGGCTTCTTTTTAATAAAAGGAAAAATATAGAGACTTCTGTTCATTTTCTAGAACTTTCCTTTTAGATGGCACTGACTCAGATTCTCTGGGAATTTCCACTTGATGACTGATATTCACAGGGACATGTCTGTCTCTTGCTGAAAGTGTTACAGTAATTACCCATTCCAATATGATTCCAGCTGGAAAGGAAACTGACAGCTTCCACAGCAGCTGAGTCATATGTCTCTGACATTTTAGGCATTCATTTCAGACACCTGCATTTCTAAGGTATCCACCTGCATCCTCATTATTAACACAGAAGCTCATTTTTATTTGATTATAAGTAAGTAGACCATCAAAGAAAAGCCAAATTGAGTAAATACATTTACCTGACTATCTAAACAAAAGAAATGCATTTTGAAAATAAAAGAATAGTTACGTGTGATTTTGCTTTGTATCTTTGATTCTTTGTATTCCTACTGCTTTAATCTTGGTCTAGAGAAGTAGTATAGAGAGTTTGATTTTGAAGGTTAATAGCATGATGGTGTAATTATTCAAATTTGGTTTATTATTGGAATTTAAGTATTACACTTCTATATTGTGAATGGAATATTTGTTGTTTGTGTTTACAATATAACCGACATCAAGTATTTACCATATAATTGACATATAATTAATCAGAGTGCTTTGTTCTTCTTTACCCTTTGGTTGGGGTTAACTTATCTATGTATTTTAAATAATTCTTCATAATTTATTTTAATACTGTTGGTGCTTTACTGCATCTCTTTCTTTACTCTTTTTTTGGAAACATTTGTGAGAAAACTGCTAACTTGGTGTTGCATCATCCCCAAATGCTCCAGTGTGAACCTTCCAAGGACAAGAACATTGGCCCAGATAATCATCATACAGTCCTCCAAAGCTGGAAATCAAAGCTGATACCACACTACCATCCAACCAAGAAATGCCATGCAAATCCATCAATCCTTGCAACACTGGCTCTTTTCCTTTTCTTGTTGAGAGTCCTGTTCATGAGCATGTGCTGCAGTCATTTGTTTTGTCTCTTCAGGTTCCATTAGTCTGTAAAGCTTCTCAGTTCTTCCATATCCCTCCTGTTCTTATAATTTTAAAAGGTTTGGCCTTCAATCTGTGACCACCTGATATTTCCTTCTGACCAGACTCAGGTCATGCATTCTTGTTGTGTTGTTGTCTGCCAAACATCACCACAACTCATCATTTTTTAAAAAATTACGATCAACGAAGCACAATGTGATAACAGGTTCAAAAACATTGCAAATATTCTGTCCCTCATCAAATGTCCAGCATTGGCATTCATTGATGGCAACTACCTCAATCAGTCACCATTCTGATGTTTAACATTGATGACTCTCTGTTTTGTGGCTGGCTGAAAGCAAAGCCTTCCCTTATTTACCATTTATACTTACTCATCTATTTATTTATGTATTGATTTCATATGGATACATGAATTTCTATTTAATGTAATATTTTCCTTGATGCTCTAATTGTCCAAATGTTGTCATTAGGAATCTCTTCTTGATAACTTCTGTATCTTTCTGATAAATTGCCATGATTCTTTGAGCATTTCTTAGTTTTGGCATAACAAGATGCTGCAGACTCAATTTGACTTTTTCTTGCTTTAGTGCTGGAATTATTCATTTCTCCAAGGAACTCTAGTTCATATTACATATGTTATATATCCATATGTTATATATTCATATGTAATATGAATATTATAGGTACACACATATATAATGAACCAAGAATAAACACATTTATATAGAAAGTATAGCTATTAACATGATTACATGTATTTATATATGTATATATAGTCTTATATTTATTTATTCCTCTACACAGTGAGAAACCTGTCACCTTGACCTATTTACTTGTTTGTTTAATACAACCAATATTTCAACCATGGCAGAATGACAGCTATCTCTACCAGCCTCAGGTGCACTCTACCCCCTACCAGGGCTACCTGACAATACCTTCACAGCCTTCTCTGCGTGTCCCAAACTCCCACTTCACACCCTTCCCTGCATGTCCCAGACTTCCACTTCACACCCTTCCCTGCGTGCCCCAGACTCCCAGTTCACAGCCTTCCCTGCACGTCCAAAACTCCCTCAATTTTTGTGGCCACCAGACATGCTGCTACCCAACAAAAAGGAAAGGGCAAAATATATTTCTAAAATAAGGGGAAGCAGAAAAGACCACATAAGTGGGAAGAGATATTCATATTCTATGTGTATTTTTAACAAAGATGACAGAATTTGCTGATAAATTAAATGTATGTTGAAAGAATAGTCAAGAATGACTCAGAGACTTTGGCTTGAGTAAGTAGTTGACTACATTGCCATTGATTATAACTGGAAATATTGTCAAAGAAAAATATCTGGATGAATTGGAAATTAAAAACTCTTTTTTGGACATATTGAGATTAAAATGCCAAAACAGAATAAGAGAGCAAGCAGTCAGGTAAGTGAGTCTGAACTTTAGATAGGAGGTCAAGATAAAAGATACAAACTGGGACCCAATATTATGCAGATGGTATTTAACAACAAGGATTAGATCATTTTACCAAAGGAAGAATTGATCACAGACGGAAAAATATTTAAAACCCTATTAAATATTAGTGAAAGGACAATTAAGATCTATTTTTTTGTGGTTACAATGAGAGTTTTTTAAGTGGTAGCAAGAGGGAATATAATGGGAAGAATTTAAAACAGTAAGTATAAACAAGTCATATCCAGTATTTTACTGTAATGAGGAGCAGTGTGTGAGCTGCAAATAATATGGGTGTTTTTTAATAAGAATGAATACTGTTATAGCGACACTGATGGTGGTGAGTCAATAGAGCCACTCAAATGTAGAAAACTGATGCAACTGGAGAAATAAAATGTGGAGTTAAGCCCTTTCATAGGAAGGAGAGAATGGCACTTAGATTTTTTTTTCTTTTTCTTTTTCTTTTTTTTGAGATGGAGTCTCGCTCTTTGCCCAAGCTGGAGACATGGAAAGTGTATCTTTTGGTAAAAAAGGAGCCCGACAGAGGACATGTATCTAAATGCAGGTAAGTTAATAGATTTGGAGGTATGGTGATAAAATTCTCCTTTTTTTTTAAAATGTTCTTAGAGTCAAAAATCAGCTGACAGTAGGGAAAGGAAATGTTTTGGATTAATATTAATAAAGACATGAGAAATTTAAAGTAACCGTCTCAGAGAGGGTGAGCAAATGATCTATGAAAACACAACAGTATTTTAGGATGAGGCTGAAAGCACACTTGAAGTTGTGATGAATTTAAAGTCAGAAAAGCATTACATATGCATCCAGGTTGAAAGGCAGGGAAGGCAGAAAGTTGTATAGAACTAGGGCTGGGGGTTATGACACATTAAATTCTTCAGAAAGAAAGGTATGGAGACTGATAATTTGTTCAAGGCTCTAATTTTAATTTTGAACTCTAAGTCAGGTAAAAATGGATTTTACTATTTGTAGTACATAGTAGACCACAGGAAGTGTAAGGTTCAGTATATGAGAGTGCCCAGTGGGGTTGAAAATTGTGGGACTATGAGTTCTAGAACATTGGGCTAAGAAGATAGTAGAAACTAGTAAGAGAAATAGTTTGAAATTTATATTTTTGAGGTGGCACAATCATTGATAATATTCAATATGGTTGTGACCCCAGGGGTGTGGCAGAGAAGGCATAGAGGAAATGTTCTTTGGAGAGGACAGAACAAGGCCAAATAACTGAGGCACTAAATTGAGTCAGGTTCTGAGACAGTGTGAAGGATGACTTAGATCCAGTTCAAAGCTGATTTTTCTTCATTTCAATATATATTCTGCGAGCAATAAATACAAGGGATAAGAAAGTAACTGAGTAAACACACCTCCCTGATAATCTTTTATTTCTTTAAGGTAATGACCTAAAATGTGTTAGACATTTTGCTTGATAATTTAGATGAGTCCAAATCTGCTACCTTTTATAGAAATAGAATAAGGACTGGCTTTGTCAATACTTGAGAATATTTTATAAACAAAGATATAGATTCCTTTATGTTCTCTACATACATATAGGCATACTTTGTAATGTTTTCATAGCAGATGTATACATGTCTAGCAGGAAGGGGCCAGGTAAACACTGAAACTAACAGGGATTTTGATATGAATAATCATGGACAGGAAGATGGATTTAAAAGCTAAAATTCTCAACTGAATGGAAAAGAGTGGTTTCATGCAAATAGATGACTGCAATAAGAAATTGTAGCAGATGGCAATATTTAATTGCTTGTGTTTTGAAGGTGCTGGGAAATAGTGGTGGTGATAAGGATCTGTGAGGACACCTGTCCCACATTCAACCTTAGGGGTAGAAGGGGATTGGGAAGAAAATGTAGCCATAACTTCATAGTCCTGCAGGAAGAATAATGCCTTCAGGATAAAAACAAAAACAAAACAAAAATTTTAAAACATGTTTAGTTTTAACTGGAGGAATTTTAGGGAAGTGGTCATTTTTCTGATACAATGCTAATTTCCATCAATGGAGTTGGAGTTACCAGAGAAAGATAAGAGTTTGGATCAAATTAGAGGATTTATAGAGTCTTATAGGGGGTGAGGACACAGATGTGGAGGAATAAGTTTTTTTGTACAGGTAAGTACAAATATAAATTATTGTGAAATTAAAACTTGTTTAGAAAGAGGTGGATAATTGGACCTATTTGTGTCTTCCTACTTAGGAATAGTCATCTCTCTAGGAAGTGGTTATAATGAGATGATTAATGCTGGGTTGGAATCTCAGCCAGAACAAGGAGGGGCCGTTGGGCCTCCTTTTTCTTTCTGCTATGACTATGACTATACCACACTCCATTTATTCCTTGTCATACCCCCAGGCTTTATTTTCTCTTTTTAATTATCCTGAGAAGTTACATGTTTAATGCCATGTTGACCTTTAATTAGCATGAATATGGCAACACTGTGTAGTCTCAGAGATATTTTTCTAAGTGACTTGAGTAACCCTTCCATAGAATTCAAGGTTTGATTACTATTTCTACCACAGGCAGATTGCCTTGTAACATAGAAAATAGGAGTGCTGAAATCATTTAAAATACAGACTTAGAAACCACCGTATATTAAGGAACTAAAGGAGAAGGGGCAAAAACATTCATTTTAAATTATCTATGTTCACTTTCTAGCATTTGCTATAAAGTATAAGACTTTCTATCTTTAGCTTTTATAAATAGAAACTTTAAGGAATTATGTTCTGCATACGAAGTGATACATTGCAAAACGATAGAGCACCACTGAGCCATAACAAATAGTATTTGGCAAAGCAAAACGTACCTAGAATCATTAGCTTTCTTCTCAGTCAAGGTAGTGTTTTGATGAGAGATTTAAATATGTATTTAATGTATAATTTTCAATTTAGGGGATGCATCTTTTCATCTTTATTGATGATAATTGAACTTTAAAACATATTCAAAGCACATTGTCATATACAAAACACTGACAATAAAAATAAATACCCCATTAGTTATACAGTTTTCTTATATAAACATAGTTTATAATCCAAGAAAATTGCAGTTTGCTCTGCAGATTCAGGAGAAAGTCACATGGAAATTATCATGTCCTTGTGTAAGTGAATGTAACATAAAAATCACGTTATTTTACCTTGTTGTATAAATAGACTTCATAACCATGTCCAGTTTGTTGGCCTCCTTAGTCATATCTTTGCTCAAAAATGCTTTCCTATGTTGAAACTTATATTTTAAATTTACCAGGTTTATTATCTTCTGCCAACTTTTCTAATCTTTTGAAATCCTGTTTCATCTAGAATTATATTTTTAATCTAAATAACAGCAATGTGTTGTGGCAAGATTTGCAAAAAAAAGTTTTTCTTTCAATCTTATCAGTTTAAAAAGTTGAGTTGATCCTATTTTTTGCAGTAATTGCAACAGGTATTTTGGTATACTTTTTGAAGCTGAGTGGAACATTTAAATTTTTTTACTATAAAAATTCCTTTTTATTGAAAATGAGCAAGAAGCAATGTTGGGAACTAAAATTACACAGTTCTGATGCTATCTGTTTATAATAGAGCTGGAGAACATATAAGAGTGTATGTGTGTGTGTGGAGGTGATATTAGACAGTTATCAAATAAGTAACAACACAGACAAAGGCATATGCCACAAGAAAGGAACAGAGTTTCACTGGGTTTACCACCCAAATTTTAACCTCGTAAAATGGTTTTTGCATTTGTTTTATCCTCATTTTGACATGTCAGTCTAGATTAGATTTTCTGACCTCTTTTCTTATGCACGGTAATATTAATCATTGCTGAAAATATTTTGCCAAATCAGTGGAAGGAGAATTTCAATAAAATTAGTAAGGAAAATAATAGACTGAATGGAGCCAAATTAGTTGCTTTTAGTGAAATGACAGGTAAGACATCTTTCTTCAATTAGTTCTATTTCTTGGAATCATTCAGAACAGTGTACTGGCGAAGCAGGTCCAACAATGTACAGCATGGCAGTGCCACTTACTTGATACAGTCCAATATGCTGCTTTGTCTTAGGGTAGATATAAGGTTGCATGATATGCATATTATATGAAGTAATATGGAAGAAAAATGCTGCTGATTTTTAAAATTATGCACTAAAAAATGGAAGGGGTTGTTTCAGCTTTACACTAGAATGTAGAAAGCTACAAAGAGCTTGGTTTCCATTCTAACTAGAAAAGTCTGTATAATATACAAAATCATAACTCATTTTGAACCTATCACAGAGATGCTCATAGGACTACTTGCTAGCCTGAAATCTAAACAAAGAAACATAAACAGATGCCTCTTAGGAGATAAAAGACACAAGCACCAGTAATTTGTAGCAGCATTGAAAGATGGGAAGATGGTGTCTCAATATGAGCAGGCAAGAAGAATTTAGGTAAAACGTCAATGAATTGCTGAAGAATAAGTGCAGGCCTGGGTGACAGTATAGAGCTTTGGGAGGCACAGACCACTTGGGAGGAATTCACACCCAGTTACAGATTCTCCCATATGGGAATAACTGAGGGCAAGGGGAGAGATTGGAGACACTCTTCCTTTGCATGGAGAGCCAGATGGGAATGGCCAGTACTAGGGGAAAGGCATGAAGCCCCATCAGGTTTCCTCTCCTCTAAGGAACAAAAAGCCTTCAGAGCCCAGGGAAAGGACAGCAAAGGCTTGTTGCCAGCTAGAGCACAAGGGTGACACTCTGCCTGAGAAAAATGTAATGGTAAACACAAAATACCTAGTTGGAGATTTTCCACTGCTGGGAGAGGAGCAGAGTTATTGAGGAAGCACTTTCCTGAGAACAAAGGAGGAGGTTCTGCCTAAGCCTGAGGCTGAACCAGGGCAAGAGAGACAGCTCTGTTCCCTCCACTCAGGCTAGTAGGTGCTGAGTAACAAACAACACCTGGTAATACATTGAGGATACAGCATCTCTGAACCTCAGAAACACAGGGAGCAAGGAGCTGGAACATTCAGAAAAGCCTTTTAGCAAACTGACCCTTACCAAAAACACAAGGTAAGTTCAGAGTAATTCGAAGCCAGCGGTAACCAAAGACCAACAAAAGTGAATCCAACTCAATTCCTGATTGAACTGACTCATCTCCCCCACACTAAAGAGCAGACATGCCTGTTTTTAGAAATAAATACTATTTACCCCAGACTCTACTGCTCAACAAATGGCTCTGACAATCAATCAAATATCATAAGACACACATACAAAAGCAAGAAATAACAACACACTGTCAAGAGACAAATCAATCAATAACATTAGAATCAGATATGACTCAGGCATCCAAACTACAAGAAAGGGATTATAAAATAATTATGATTGATATGTTAAATGCTCCAGTTGAAAAAATGGACAACTATACACTGTCAGGGAATCTTAGCAGAGATGAAAACTAAAATAAATTGTCCTATCTGGAATAGAAAAGTTTATAGACAAAGAATGCTATTGATGGGCTTATCAGTAGTCAAAAAAAGAACCAATGAACTTGAAGATAAGTCAATAAAAACTGCTCAAATTAAAACACAAAGTGAAAAAAACAGTGTAAAAAAGCAGGGTATACCACTGCAGATCTATCAAAAGGTCTAACCTATCTGTGACTGGAATCTGAGAAGATTCAAGACAGAAGAAATAGTTGAAGAGGCAGTGACCAAGAATTTTTCAAAAATAAAGCAAGACACCAAACCACGACAAAAGAAGCTCAAATAACACCAAGCAGGAGAAATCCACCTCTTACCACCAAGCTCCCCAATTCAGATACTTAGAACAAATATATTCAAACTGATGAAAACCAAGATAACTAGAAAATCTTAAAAACAGCCAGAGGTGGAAAAATAATTACATTCAGTGGAACAAATGTAAAAGTTACAAATGACATCTTATCAGAAACATCTTTAAAGTTCTTGAAAACAAGGATCAACCCAGAATTCTATACTGTTAAAATATTTTTCAGAAATGAAGGAAAAATTAAGACTACTTTTTAAACAAACAGAAAATGAGAGGATTGATTACTAGACAAGAAAAGCAAGTTCCTCAGGCAGAAAGAATATGATAGAAGATATAAATTTCAGTAGATAGATAGATGATAGATAGATAGACAGATAATAGGTACATGATAGATGCACACACACATACATATATGGATGTAAACAAGGTAATAAAGATCACTATTAACAGTTAAAATGAATATAAGTATAAATATTTTGATATATTAATTTATCTAATAGAAAATTGAGCACTGATTTAAAAAAAGTAGTATTGTGAGTTTATAAATAAAAGCAAAAATGTAATTTAAAAAGTAACCCAAAACATGGGAGATGAGGATTAGGAATATTTAGTTATAAGATTCTCATACTACATACAAAGCAGTGCAACATTTTTGGAGCCATTAGTTACCAAGTAAAGAATGAAAGATATAATATAAGCCCTACACAATTAGAAGTATTTGAAAAAAGTATTTCCCGAGTATAATAGAATTGTGTTAGAAATCAGTAACAGAAAATGATAGATCTGTAAACAATTAAAAATTAGGCAACACATTTCTAAAAAACATATAGGCCTGATGACACACATTTAAAAAAAACCATATAAGAGAAAATTATAAAGAAATTATGAAATATTTTGAATTAAGTTGAAATGCCATGAATTAAAATTTATGATATGCAAATAAAGTAGCATTTTTGGGGAAATTTATAGCAATCAATTATATTATTTTTTAAAAAACTTCTAATTAACTAAACTTTTACATTCAGGAAGTAGAAAAATAAAAGTAAATTAAGCCCAAAGCAAGCAGAAAGAATAAAATTATAAAGATAAGATTTTAAAAATAAATCACGTTTCAAAGAGGAAAACACTAGAGAAAAATCAATGATAACATCAGGAAACTCCTTCTAGACATTGGCTTAGGCAAAGAATTCAAGACCAAGAGACCAAAAGCAAATGCAATAAAAACAAAGAAAAATAGGTTGGACTTAATTAAACTAAAGAGTTTTTGCATGGCAAAAGGCACAGTCAGCAGTCACAGAGTGGGAGAAAATCTTTACAATCTATACAACCAATAAAGGACTAATATCCAGAACCTATAATGAACTCAAACAACTTAGCAAGAAAAAAGCAAACAATTCCATCAAAAAGCAGGCTAAGGACATGAATAGACAATTCTCAAAACAAGATATACAAATGGCCAATAAACATATGAAAAAATGCTCAGCACCACTAATGATCAGGGAAATGCAAATCAAAACCACAATCTGATGATACCACCTTACTCTTGTAAGAATGGCCATAATCAAAAAATCAAAAAATAATAGATGTTGGTGTGGATGCAGCGAATAAGAAACACTTCTATACTGCTGGTGGAAATGTAAACTAGTGCAACCGCTATGGCAAACAGTGTGAAGATTTGTTAAAGAACTAAAAGTAGAATTACTATTTGATCTAGCAATCCTACTACTGGATATCTACCAGAGAAAAAGAAGTCATTGTAGAAAAAAAAAAATACTTGCACGCACATGTTTATAGCAGCACTATTCACAATTGCAAAAATGATATATGTGATAGAATATTATTCAGCCATAAAATGGAATGAGTTAATGGCATTCACAGCAACCTGCATGAGATTGGAGACTATCATTCTAAGTGAAGTAACTCAGGAATGGAAGACCAAACATCATATGTTCTCACTTATAAGTAGGAGCTAAGCTATAAGAATGTAAAGTTATAAGAATTATACAATGGGCTTTGCAGACTCTGGATGAAAGGGTGGAAAGAAGGTGAGGGATAAAAGACTACAAACTGAGTTCAGTGTATACTGCTCAGGTGATGAGTGCACCAAAATCTCACAAATCATCACTAAAGAATTTATGTAACTAAATGCCACCTGTTCTTCAAAAACCTATGGAAATTATTTTTTTTAAAAAAGTACTTTCAACATTGCCTGAAACTGGTGCTCAAGTATTTATTGAATTATAAATGAATATCTTATCCATTCCAAAATTTACATTCTAAGTTAAATTTAAATTATCTTAGAGTACTGCAGAATTACATGGAAGTCTAAGCAAATTATTTCAACAGTAACCATTTGTCTGCATACTTTCTTCCGCAATAAAAACATCTGTCATTAATTAGGTATTATTTTATTCTATGGAAAAATTTGCATTTATTCCAATGTTTCATGATATTTTTATTTTCTACAAATTTTGTCAATTTTCCAAGCATAGGAAATATAGTTCAGCTACACATGAAGAAAATGTGCTTTGGAATAATGCTATAGTTATAAGATGTAGTGCATTTGAATGGCATCTATAAATTATAGTTTCAGTTCTCCATATCTAATTTCGATGTATTTGGAATGTGCATGGGTAACTTGTTGAATATCTACTCTACCAGGTAAAATATTTGGTTCTTTTATACTTCTTTCTCTAGTCTGCTTTTCTTCAGGCAACTAAAAAAATATATTTTCAAGCTACTCTTATTGGCACATAGAAAGGAATGACCTGTCTGCATGATTTCAGTGTAAAATAATCAGCTAATATCTTATTATATCTTCCAACAATGGAAATCATAGAAAACAAGGCAGTTCATTTTATTTATATCTGCTAATTTTATTTGCTTTATTACTTTTTCAAATGTTTAATTTCAGCATAGTCATAGCAGAGTGTCTAACCAAAATTTAATTTTTTTTGAAATTTATGACCAAAAGCCAAAATTTCAATGAAAATATTGTGCTGTGATTAATAAAATTCAATCAATCACTGTGGAATTACATACTTATGAAAAAGTTCTGGTACACTTATCTATGCAATGATGCCATTACATCCAAATCATTATCATTGTTATCATTGTTGTCATTAGAGTAGGAATGAAATGTTTGAAATTATTAATTACTTTAGATTATATGTACGCTTTATCATTTATGATATATTGGCTTGGTCCTGTGTAAAACGTATCAAATAAGAATTAATATTTCAGTGGTATCATAACTTAAGCTAAGTTTATATCACTTGCCAACTTTTACTGCTCTGATTACAATAGTATAAAATAATTTATTTTATGGGACTTAAATAATTTATATAAACACACTAATTTCATATTTTTTGTTATAATACACCATTGCTTATATTCATAGAGTAGTTCAGGGTCTCAAAGTCTGTATTTCTTTCATCACAGTTGCAGCAAATGGGTTTCAGTAAAAACTGTAAGCCTGTAAAACATAGTTACTCTTTTCTAGCCTAATTATTTTTTGTCACCTGTAAACCCACATTACGCCATGTGAATGATGAATTGTGTGGATGGAAGTTGAATTTATGGTGCAGTTTACTGGTAAACTAGAATAAAGTAAAATGTTCATTACCATTTCATAAACTACCCGACAACTAAGTGATATATTGGCCAACAGACAAAAAGAACACGACTAAATTTTCTGTATTTCTGGCAATTATTTCAACTTTTCCAGAAATAAAGTAATGTAAAGGGAAAATTGCATTGTTAATATGTACATGATAAAATGATATGTTAATGTTGTGAATTCATGTACGAAATATAGATAAATTTGTATTCATTTGAAAATCCTAAGATTTATTATTTTATCATAAACTAAGATAATATTCACCTAAAAAACCACTTCTGATCAGTTACATATTTAAAAGAAAGGCATTCTTAAATTTAAAAAAGGGGGGAAATTTTAAATATTTCCTTGGACTCTCTTTCAAACATCACCCTAAGAGAATAAACTCACAATATAAATGAAAGCTCATTCTATTAATGTCAGCAAGTACCTTTGCTTGTAAAGTTTTTATTTTTATTATGGTGATTCGATATTAATCTATTATAGTAAAGGTAACATTTTAACTAAAGTCAAATCATCAGTCACATTAACAGTGATTTTCAAAGTTTATTATTTTATCTCTATTTTTGTAGAAACTGTTATTCAAAAAATGATAGACTAAACAGAATAAATAATCTCATAAAATCCTAAATTCACTGTTTAGTGAATCTGACCACATTTTTTTATTTCTTTTTTTTTTTTTTTGCTACACTTCTAAAAAATAATTGTTTTTTTTAAAAGACAGCTATTGAACATAACATAAATCTGAAATAGTGGTTTTTGAAGGAATATTTCCAGCACTCTTTGTATAACCTATTTGCTGGTGAGCACACTAATTTTTAATGATTACAAAATATTAGTAATTAAAAATGATCCTTAGAAGGATATATGCATAAATCAAGACATGGCAAGCCAATCACACATATTTTTTTGGATCGATGTAATATACTGAGGTTTTGGAAACCAGATAGATAAAATTTCTTAGTTCATTCTGGCTGCTATAACAACATACCACAGACTGGATGGCTTATAAAAACAGAAATTTATTTTTTGTAGTTCTGGAGGCCAAAAGTCTGAAATCAGGGTGCCAGCATGATTGGGTTCTGGTGAGGGCACCCTTCCTGGTTGCAGACTGCCAACTTGACATGTACTCATGTGGTAGAAAAGACTACTAGATTGCTGTCTGGGATCTAATTCATAAGGGCACTAATTCTATGTATGAGGGCTCTACCCTCGTGACCTAACTACCTTCTAAAGTCCTCATCTCCTAATACTATCACTTTGAGGGGTTGGGATTTCAACATATGAATTTTGAGGAAACACAAGCCCTCAGTCCACTGTATATAATATCCATGCATTTTAACAGAAATGTTTACAAATTACTGTATCTAACAAAAGAATACTAGCTAGAAAATAAGTAGAACATAAGTACTATAGATTCTATTTAGCTAAATGGCCATACAAAGGATATTCATTTTAAAATATTTTATCTTTGTATCCAAGTAATTACGATGACTCGTGAAAAAAAGGAGAAAAAGTTGATCATGTTTAGCTATAGAACATTATACAAAGTGTCTTACTTTTCAGGCTTATATCAGTCTATTAGCAGTTCTTATAAATATCAAAATATGTTTAATTTTCAGACATCACAAATCTGAGATGAATAATTCATGTAATATATGTAATCAAACATAATTATTGATATTAATGATAATTTATAGAATTTAGTTTTATAAAATAAATTGCTATAAACCTTATGAATAATTGACTAAAAACTCTTTGCAGATCAGCTTAAAAGTAAAAGAAATCTTGGGGCTGTATTCATGAAAACAGAGTTTACAGATCAAGGAAAATAGTAGTATAATTCTACTGCTTTCTGTAATAACCAAATTCAAGAGTTTCTGCTTGATCTGAATATGTTACATAAACAGATAAATATTAGTGTATTTCCAGCTCAGGTGACTAGGATTGTGAACTATCTGGTTAGGAAATTCTTTGCAGAATTGTTCAAGAAAAGTTGAACAATTCCAAGGAGAGGAAAGAACAAAACTATAAGCTGACTTTGGATACTTGAATTTCAAATATGCAGATGAGGAATTACATAAATTCCAGGTTTTCCAGAATAATCAAAATAAAGTATTGGTTCAAAGAGGTTTTCCACGATCCACCAAACCAAATAATTCACCCGTTATTTTCTGCCATGAAAATCTATGATTTTCCTCACAGAATGTATAATTATTTGTAATTATGAGTCTTATATGGGTATGAGAAGTTAAATTTTATTTTAACTGGTGGCTCTAGCATTAGCTTAGAGAGTGGTTTGGCTTAGTTTGGTTTGGTTTGGTAAGGTGTAGGGAAAGACCTAAGCCAGGTGATCCTAAGGGCCTGGCTGGAACTCATCTTGAAAGAAGACTCACACACGACTCTTCACGGATCAAGGAAAGGAATTTACTTCGGCAACCAAGGGAGGAAGAAGACTCAATGATGATGGAAGCCTAAGACCGGATGTGTGAAGGGTCAGTGAGAAAGACCAACGACAGTAGACAAAAGGATACATGTGGACTTTCTTTCATTTCTTGAAAAATGGTGAGCTATATGGTGAGAGTGACCCAACACACAACACATTAATATATATTAATTATTAATACAGTTTTTTAAAAATTATTTTTAAACATGGCCAAGATAGTAGCAAGACCACAGGAGTTATGCAGAGGTTACATAAGGCAAGAAAACAAAAATCACAAAGGTAAATTAGAAGGAAGATGTATTCTCTCTAGGAGTATCTGCCGTTATCTGGCATTCAAGAGGTTGTGTGTTAAAGACCTTCTGATCAATTGCATAGGCCTCAGCCGAATGTGAGACTGGGCAAAAATCCCTGCCTGAATTCAAGACCCCTCAAAGGAGAACTTTAGTGGCTGAAACAGGCAAAGCAAAAACATGAACAACCATCTCAATTAGACAGAGGATGGCTTGGCTGTTGACCCTCATGAAGAATAACATGACGAAACAGAAACGTCCCTCATGGAAATTGCCAGATGTAAATTAACAGTCACTTGAGCTAGGAGTGATTGCTCATATTACCTGCATCAACCAAATAACCCCAAACAAAATTTTAGATAAAGGTTCTCATAGATTGGCCATGCTGTTTATAAAAGTTTCAGAACACAAAAGCAAAAACAAAAACTCTAAACTTGAATGCTGCTAGTAGCCTACCACAAAATGTATAAAGACAATATTGAGAAAAATACCAGGAGAAACCTGTACCACTATCATTTTAAAATGTAATTTTGACATTTTATTATTATAATTCAAATGTATACATAAAATACATCTTCTTTTGTGTGTACATTATTTTCAATTACATTTTAGTGATAACTAACAAACACCTCCACACACCCCCTCGTGCAGACATTATGCACACACATACATAACAGAGGCTGCTGAGCAAGAGACGCTTTGGTACCGTCCAGCTCTGCCCCGTTCTCTCTGAAATTTCAGTCAAGTTAAAAAGTCGTAAGACAATTCTGTAAATAATGCTTCATTTGAAGAAATTTTCCAAGGTGCACTGCAAAATTACCCTTTGCCTTTCTTAAAATTCTTCTTTAGAATCTTTCTCAAATAGAGAGGTGCTTTGTGAGTTTTATTTTTCTGTAAGTGAGAATTAAGGAAAAGCGTTATCTGTCCCATCTGCATCATTTACTGCAGAGCAGTAGGAGAGAAAGTAGGAGCTCAATTCTAGGGACAAAATGCCACAAAGGCATCCGCAATGTGCCGCAATCTAGGGGGAGATTCTGGACATCACCCTTGGAGAGTGGAATAAGATTCGAGCCCAGTCCTTCTCAAGGAACGTGAAGCCCCAGTTGACATCTGGGTTAGTTATTTTTCTGAGTGTTTTGTTTAATGCCTTCCTCTTCCTCTAAATTGTAAGCTCTATGAAGGCAAGAACTATGTTTGATTTGTTCACACCAGTATATTCAATGCCTTTTAATGTCTCCAGAAGATCATTAACAAAAGATTGAAGACCAGAAGAAGTTAAAAGAAGGCAATTTCTAGCCATTAGAACTGCCCCAAGATGGTAGCCACTGCTTTGAGAAAACAGCAAATACCTCCTTGCTAGTATTTCCAAGAAAAATTTTATAAATATTTCTCAGGAATATTAGGGAAGAAATTGTTTAATTGAAGTGATAGATCTTTATTCTTATGTTTTCTTACACAAATTATTTAAGAAAATCTTGAATAATTAATTTTTTTTTCCTGTCTAATCTTCCACGGACCCCTAGCTAAGGGAGAGACAGCAGGTGAACTAAGTCACCGTTAATACAAAGAGACATTTGCAAGTAGTGGGGGATATAGGAGAAACACCACCATAATTAGAGGGGAAAATTATAAAAGTGTGATCCCCAGGGTGGTGTGTCTCTTGAGAAAAGCTCTACTAGAGGGACCTCTAAAATTTCCAACACTTCCAAAATTCTGAATATAACAGAGACAATTTTTTGATGTAAAAAAAAAAACTATAACACTTTTTTCTTTAAGTTGTAGAACTGTTTCCTCAATTTGTCTGACCTGAAAAAAATCAGCCTTCTCAGGAAGGTGAGCAACTCCAGCTAAAGATGAATAGAAACTGTTCTCGTTATTTACTTTTGCACTCCACAATAATGGCCTCTATTGTAACATCACCAGTGATTTACTGTCTGGTCTTATGGTAAAGAATATTTTTATTTATTTATTTTTATTTTTAATTTTTTTTTGGAGACGGAGTGTCGCTCTGTCGCCCACGGTGGAGTGCAATGGCACGATCTCGGCTCACTGCAACCTCTGTCTCCCGGGTTTAAGCGATTCTACTGCCTCAGCCTCCCGAGTAGCTGGGACCACAGGCGCACGTCGCCACATCTGGCTAATTTTTTGTATTTTAGTAGAGACGGCGTTTCACCGTGTTGCCCAGGCTGGTCTCAAACTCCTGAGCTCACAGAATCCGCCCACTTCGGCTTCCCAAAGTGCTAGGATTGCAGGCATGAGCCACCGCGTCTGGCATTGTTTTTGGAAGAGACGCTACGGGTTTAGTGGTGAGTCGTAAATATTGCTTCCATAAGTTACTTCTGTTTCCTTTAGGATTTCTGTGCACTGTCCAGTCCTGCCATTTCTCTTTTAATTTCTTTGTCTCGTGGAACTTCATTGTGTAGGCGGTAGTGATGGTCCTTCTCCTGCCTTGCAGGCTGAGGCCACTTGAGGCATTTCTAGGAATACCCTTTTATATTATCTCTTTTTGAAATTGCTAAGGTCACATTTTTGACACTATCATCTAAAACTTCTGTGCTTTGCTCTTTTCGACAGTGTTACTAGCATTTGCTCTTCCATCACATTTAACCTAGTTCTCTGAAGCTAGTAACCCTCTGCCTTTTTCCTATGTTTTCCATCCTTGACTTGTTCTGCTTCTTGACATTTTGGAATGTGCACTTTTGCTTTCCAAACAATAGGTGCTGTTGATATGTGATGCAAATCAAGAGTTTCTTTTTATCACATGGAAGTCCATTTTTTTTTCAGGTTTCATATTTTCCCCAATCCATTTCAATGTAAAGTGCACGGTGAGGACACTTCCTCTACTTTCTAATAACACTCAAACTATAGTGAACTCAAAAGTAAAATTTTACAGGTAACATAGAATGAGATATTTTTAGAAACCCATAAAAATTCCCAAAATGCCATTTGGTGATACTCAATAATACTGAGAAAAATTATACTTTGCTAGTTTTATTTAGTGGTTTGGAAGTCAACATTCTCAAATATTAATAAATATCACTATATTTTTATTACACACATATATACGTATGTAAGTGTATATGTACATACATATATACACATACAGGAGGCTTGGTAAATAATTCTTTAATATATACTTTTTGAAAATATTAACGACACTTAGATGTTGTTGTGTGGCATTCTAATCAATCTTTAAAAAGCTAAAACAGAATTACAAACATATTTATGAATTTGCCATAGTCCATGACCTAGAGACTTGTACACTAATGATAATATAGTTTGCCAGCTTTTTAAAATTAAAATGTGACATAAATGAGTAGGGGACATTATTACTCAACTTAGATTCTGTTATTATTTAATAAATTGCATTAAAATGATACTTTTGGGAATAAAAGTGATTTATAATTTGGAACTCTTTAGAATTTATGCAAAAACGCTTTATAATATTGTTCAGTTTATTCTCTAGGGAGTTCAAGGCAGTGGATGAAATTGATTATATTCATAATTTAATATATTTTACTGTAATTCACATATGTAAAATGACAATATTTATAATTTCAAAAACAAAAACACAATAAATATCAATCTAGGTTAACCACTTTTATATTACAAATAAACAAATAAAAATCTAAATAATATATAGCTAAACAACCTGCCAAGGACTAGAATTTCAATACTTTAAATGCAATAACTTGATGTTTTATCATTTAAATAACACTATATAAATAAATATTTTTCATTACAATACTGCTTGTATTCTTTTTCATTTATTGAATCCATAAAAATATATGCTTGCAGCTGTGCATAAAGAATAAGTATACTAAAGCAAATTAATACATTTGATTGTTAAATGTACAGAATTGCGATTAGGGAACTGTATTCAGTTTGCCCTTGTTCTACTCTTTGTAGCACAATGCAGTGAGCTGTTACAATTTTTTTCTTTACCAAAATTAGAAAACCTTTAACTATTTGAATTTAATTTCAATGATTTCTTATTTACCTTGTAAACTGGAAAATTTAATAAAAGGCAAGGATAATATTCCAGATCTTGTATTATAGTTTAACATAGTTTTAAAGTGATGTTCTGAAAACTAATAAAAAGTTAAATTCTGTGGACGTAGCCTAACTTCACAGCCAAGGACAGAAAAGACATATAATTCTTTGCAGTGAACTCTGCACACCCTAGTAACAATCTATTACTGTCAATCTGAGGTTGAGTGAATATCAGACAATGCTAGTGCAAACTCCATCTTTCATTCCTAAAGCTATCCTTCTGTTGATTTGAGCTGCATCAAGGATTACAATAAAAATTGAAGCACTCATAAGTAATACCTCTTCAGACAGGAAAATGTGAACTGTCCTTCTGGGAATATTTAATGTCAAAATCTAATACAATGCTTCTCATCTTCTTTGACTATGACTAAACCTATATGCTGAGTGGACTGACCACTTGCTGTTACACCTGCTTTGTGGCAACTCACTCAAAAAAGAAATCAACAAAAAGCCATGGAACAAAAAGTGATAAATTTAAAGTTTCTTCTAGTAGTAAAATTCAGGTCAAGATCCAACGTTTAATTTTAAAATGGGTTATGACCTCGTTGCTACAGGATCAGACAACCAAGTGGAAAGATAAAATATAATTGGCAGTTTGAAAGGACGTATATTTTCTTATCTCTGCCAAAATACTAACAAAACAAAAAGAAAGAAAAATATATTTTGAGAAATCATTAATTGCCACAGACAATAAGAGATAAATTAAGCAAAGTGATCATATCTTGTCTTCTGTGATGGCACTGGCTCCTAGAACACTACTTCCTGGCACTAGCGTAGATCTTACAGGGCTGACTTTGAAAGTCTCAGACTCCAAGAGCTATTCATGATAAGCCTAGGGAGAAGCAGCAGAAAATAAAATGTTGCCTGTGGAAGTGGTGCACTCTCCCAGTCGGCAGGGGGCGTACCCGTGCCGGGAGCAATCTCAAGGAAGACTATTCACATATTTCTAAAATTCACTGTACCATGACAACTTTCACAGTGATTGATAGAAACAGAATTTTTCATGCTACTTAATTATTTAAATACACAATGTTAAGTGTGAAAACTCAGAGAAAAAGAAAAAGATTCCTCCATTTTTGACATGAAGGTAAAAATATCATCTTACAAGTTTAGATTCAGTCTTTTGTGGCATTCAGATAGGAAATCTTAGTAAGATTCTTAGTAAGGCTTATTCTAGCTAGCTTGCCACGTGTAAGTGGGTAGCACTGAAATATTATTGATCTTGTTTGGGTTTCTGTTTCTGTATGTTGTTAAAAAATTATACAGTTTGGATTGGTAATCTTTGTGTTTCCTTTCCTCAATAAAACTATACGACTTCATGTTCATTTATATTTGTATTATCCAAACAGAAGAGAGACTACGATAATGTCAGTTTCAAAAAGGAAGTCTTTGATCCCTTTAGATTTATTTTTTTATTTTATGTTACTTTATTTTAGTAGATACGAGGTCTCCCTATGATTCCTAAGCTGGTCTTGAACTCAAGCAATCCCCCCTCCTCAGCCTCCAAAAGTGTTGAGGTTTCAGACATGAGGCACCATGCTCAGACTCCATTTTTTATTTAGATCAAATTATGACAGATATTATAGATACCCTTGCTTCACACTCATTCAAACCATTTCTAGCTTTCTTTCCTGTACTATTGAATTGAGAAAGCAAATATACACTTTCTTTGCTCCCTTGCAGGTGGTGCACTATGTGAGATTACGTTTTACAAAATGGGAACACCAAAGTAAGGCTTAGATAAATACACGAGCAATCTGAGGCAGTGACTGGGAGATGGAAATCAGAAGCTTCTAGAAGCATAATGATAGAAGTATTTGGTTTTTCTAAGACCACTGTGATTGAGTTCTTAGTATCTGTTTTCTAGCACCACTGAGACTAAGCAGCAATGATTTTTCAGCAGAATGGATTCTTAAGATGGTGGATCATGTTCTTTCATATGTCTCCTTGCTGGTTCTCTGTCTCTGCAGGCTATTCCCTAAGCTTCCCTATACTCATGAAGTCTTCCTGTTGAAATCAGAGTTTCCATTGCCTTCAGCAAAGGACCCCCATTAGCACTCTGAAAGGTAAGAGGTGGTTTATTTCATAATTGTTACAGATGATGCAATATATGGTGGTTGCTTGAGTTTTTGGTTTTCCCATTTGTTCTTTGGCCTGGTTTTGTGTGATAGTCCAGAGGGATTTAAATCTTTCTGCTGTCATCATTTTTCCTTAATTCTCTAAAAGTTATTTAAAGTCATACTAAGACACAATATGACATTGTAGCTAGGAAAGAAAAACAGAAAAAAATGAACACATTAAGGAAGCCCAGGAACTGATAGGCATCTATCATTGAGATGTAAGGGTTACAGAGATTGCTACTTGCCTCTCACTTCTCAACAAGTAAATGTCTTCTTTCTTCCAATCATTCATTTTGACATGACTTACAAAAACTTTTCAAGAATGGAGCACAGAACTTCCATATAATGTCAAGATGTAATCTTTAGTTTCTTCAGGGGAACTAAACATTCTTGTGGCTAACTTCCCTGGCTACGGTTTTAAGTTATTATCACCTTCTTGCTTAGCAAGTTGCTCATTGACTTTTTAAGGCTAGCGAGGTGCCTGGAATTTCCCTTGAAGGAACTCAATTTTTTTAAAAAAAATCTGGGGATACGGGGTTCCACAGGCCCCAAAGAGGAGTTCCAGCTCCCTCCCAACGGCATTAATTCAAATTTCCCCAGTGCTAGTATTTTACCACATTCTCTCTTTATCTCCCACTTTCCTCCTCCCTCCACTTATATATGCATGTAGGTATAAGTACCTGTGTGTACATATGTGTATATATATGGCTCTTAATGATTTTTAAATTTTGTCTATATGGGGGATGATATCCCATTACTCTTAAACAAGTCAGCAATGCCTTTAAAACGTATTTTTTCCTTCTGGTCCAGGATCTGATTTAGATTCACTTACTACATATGGTGCTGTTCCTGTTTAATACCCTTTAATATGAAATAGTTCCTATTTTTCCTTTATTTAATACTGACTTATAAAAACACAGATTAGCTCTTTCACAGAATGCACTCAAATTCGGTTTTTCTGATGTTTTCTTATCATTGGATTCAGGTTGTATATTTTTGGCTATGATATCACAGACACAATGCTTTGGTTTTCTCATTGGATGGCATCAAGGGGCACATAATTTCTATTTTCCTCATGGCTGTTATTAGCTTTAATCATGTAGTAAAGGTAGTTTCTCACAGGTTTCTCCATTATAAATTTATTGCAACCTCCTTTGTAATTAATACGTAACTTGGGGGAGATAATTCTGCCCACTAGTATTGGCATCCCTTGATGATTCTCATGAGCTGATTATTCCTATGATGGCTACTAAATGGTGATTTTCTAATTTCCTCATTCATTCTAAATTTATGAGTTGGCATCCTACTGCAATGAAAAGCTTTTTCTTAATTTATTTTTTATTCATTTGCCATATATCTCTTTGTGTATATATGTGCCTCTACCTGTATCTATTGATCCATTAATATATCTGTATAGATATCCCAAACCATGTATTTATACAAATACGTCTAATTCCAACTGAACTCAAGAGGGTTCATTCTAGCTGTTTTCCATCTCATATTTTTACCTCATTCCCTGGTGATGAGAAACTTTCATCCCATTACTCTCACTATATGTACTTAAGTGCTCATACTCCCTTATGTAATCAAACTCCTGATCACACAAGCTACCTCCACAGTCCTGACAACCTCCTCAACACCATGCCCACTGGCTCCAAACACCTCCTATCTCCTCAACCCAAATCCCTCCACTTTGGCCCCATTAGGCCTGCTGGCCTCGTAAGCCTCAGCTGCCCTCTCAATTCTGATCACTTCAGCCCTGCATGTCCTCTCTCCCTCCTCAGCCCCTAACCACTTTTTCTGGTCTGATGTAGGCTTCCTCTCTATCTTGACCATATTCTCTGCCCTAGCGTGACATTACCACAAATCCTTGCATTTCAAGGGAAGGGAAAGAAAGAGTAAGATGAAGAGAAAGAGGGAGTTTTTAGATATTTAAGGAGTCAAATTACTACTTAGATAAAAGAACATATAATCATTAGTTTTCTTTGAAGCTAGACGTGGCCATGTGAGTGAATATTGTTGGTTTATTTTAAAATGTCATTTAGAATTTATAAGTCTACCTAAAATGTATTTTATAAACTCTGTGTTTAGATTGCCTTCCAATTGCCCTTTCAAATTTATATCCACCTTCTTCCAATCCATTCTGTGAGCCAGGTAGTGAACTTTCATTCTTTCTTTTAGTTTCTATTTGATAACAGGAAACCACAGACAATGAGGAGAATGATGTCATTATTTTAATTCTCTCAACCATCTCTCTGTGCCATTGCCTCTTATTGACTGTGTCTCCTGACTGAAAGTCACTGCTCTCCAAGCTATCTCCATATATCTCGCTCCTTCCACTTTTCAAGACTCTTTCCTCTCCCTCATTCTTTCAGGCAAGGGATACTAAGTATCTCTGCTTTACAAGTCCTGGCATGTTAGACTTTAGTTTGTGTTTTACCTAAATCCTTCCTATATATTTGTTAAAGTTCCTTTAATAAATGTAATTACCTTAATTTGAGAGCACCATCTGTTCCTACTGGGACCCTTACTGATACGTTAGTTGATATTAAAGTGGCCACAGAAAACAGATTATCAAAATAAGATCATTGAATTTTGTTGCTTATGTATTGGAGAAACATGAGAATGACCTGTTTGCTAAGGGGATCTGGCTAATGCATAAGATCAGGTGGCATCATGTTTTCTGAAGTTATCACAAATCTTAGCACAAGGTGTATTGCTATGACACAGTTGCAGTGGCCACAACAGTGGAAGTGAAGAACGTGTAGTCATTGTGCTTCTTACTATAGCTTTAGAGATAATCTATAGGGGAAAAGAAAACTTACTACCTATAAATATACAAGAATATGGGTTGAGAGCCCAAAGACATAATGAAATTTTCGTAATCACAGGGAAGTTAGGGCTTGAAACCATTCCTAAAGCATGATTAGCTGGACAAGAGGAATCCTATGAAATATTTAATTCAAGGATGCCACTTATGCCAAGGTAAGAGTATTGGTGAGAAAGAAGTGATATCCATAGATATGGGATAAGTAGACATAAATAATGTATAAAATCTGATCCTCCAAATTCCCCTCAAATTCTATTACTGGTAGATGCAGCCCTGTCACTCCCAATGTGGTCTGAAAGATTCATCCATCATCAACATAAAAGCTTTTGGTGATGATATTTTGGGGCACTAACCTTACAAGCTGATTCCATTTCTCCTCAGGTTCCATCCCCAACAACATCTCATTTTATTCAGGCCCATAATTAAATGTTAGTACTAATAGAGCCCAGACACAGTAACACAGGTCTTCTTAAAAAGGAGATAGCCTACATATTTAAGGAGTTATAAGATGATATCAATTGATATTCAGCTATATACTGGGGAGTATGTGTTGGAGTAAAACTTAAGGCTCAAACCTCATAAATATATATTGGCAAAGGTGCATTCACCCAGGATAAACATATATCATGTTGTGCTCAATTTTCTAGGAGTGGCATTATAATCTAGTCATCTGGCCGGTTAAATCTTTGACTCAATAATTCATATAATAAACAGGGTTAAATTAGGAGACCTTCCTGGGTATTTTACAGGGGAAGACATGAAGATTATGGGAGATGGAAATATTAAAATGTGCCTATTGGCTTAAATATGCTCATCCATCTACTGACTATACTCTGAAGATTTGGAAATACTATCTTAGATTTTTTTTTGAAACGTAATGGTAAGGGAGAATATCAGAATCATTGAACAATTTTTTGTGGTAGCTATTGTCCATGGGCTTAAGAGGATAGAAAGAGATCCTGTAATATAAATGGGTTTTCTGATTCGATTGAGAACAAAGGATGTGAAATTATAAAAATCAGGTACAAAGGGCGAGGTGGAAGCATCTGGAACTACTCTTATTCCAGCAAGGCAATCAAGCTAAAGCAATATCTAGTTTCTGGAGGAATTGCAGAGAAAAAGTTTCACCATTAAAGATGCAAAAGGTAAATGGATGTTGATTCTTTTTAAACCCCCATTTAGTGTGCCTGTTGGCCAAATGTGAAGAGCAAATGAGTCATGTATAGTGACCATACATTTTTAAATCTTAATTATTAGGTTGGCAATTGTAGGTTTATTTCCCAAACAGATAAGACCTGGTATCACTTTCACCCTCTCTGCTTTTTGTCCCCACTTACAAGTAGAAACAACAATAGAAAGCCAAATACACTCCCCAAACCAATCACATAAGATACCCGTTTTCTAATTATTCCATTTCAGCTTTACCATTCCTACCAAACGTATCTTATGACTTACTTTTTTCTTGCTATAAGGTTTTCCCACTCTCCTGCCTGCCAATAAGTCTTGTAATGCTGGCCAACTCCCTTGCTATAACAAACTCTAAATAAGCTTTATTTGTTTTTATATCAATAGTCTTTGCTTGTTTTTGCAGTTTCTTTCTGAAGCTGCACCAAGACAAGGTTTGCACTTCTCATTACTGTAGACCCCAGCCTTCAACCAGAGGCATAGTGCCCAGGGAGGACCCTTGAGCCTTGCTGCTCCTGGCTTGGTGAGTCCATGCCAAAGAGGAAAGTCAGCCACAGGTCTGAACTCTGTTCTCTTTGCATTGAGTTTCTCAGCTACTTATTCTCAATTGGTTTCTGGATTTTTTATTGGTTTTCATTTGTTAGGTATCTGTAATGGAATCAGGTCATTTCTTCTCATCCCTTTTGTTCTCTGTGTGCTTCCATTTTGCATCGTGCTGAGTAAAAATGTTGTTTGTCATAAGGAGAAGCACACCATGGAACAAAGGCATAGATCCTGTCGGCTTCTTGTCTGAGCTAGCTTAACAGCCCAGTCACTACAAAACCAACTTGCACACACATTGGCCAGAAACTGGGCTGCTAAATGCTGGAGGGCAAAATCTGATTGGACTGTCCCAGAAGGTAACCTAAAAGATACTTTTTTCCCCACAATAAACTTAAGGGTCAAAAAGACCCGAAGGGTAGGGCAAATTTTCCTAAAAACTACACCTAAATCATCTCTAATAAAAATTGACAGCACCATAATTTAATAATATTGACTCAGAAACATGAAACTGTAGTAGATTTTGGGGATAGACTAAAAACTACTTTCCCACAAGATTTAGAAGTTAAATAAGGTGGCAATATAGCGGCAGCCCTTTTATCTCTATTTGTCAATGAAGTTAAATCTGAAATTAATTCAGACATATAAATTAGATTAAGAAATATCCCCTTTGCCTGAAATACAATGACTTGAAAAACATTTTGAAAGGGCTTTAGAACAATAACAAATAAAAAAGTCAGGACCTAAAATAAACATAAAACCCTGCAGCTTGAACAGCTATACTATGTGGCCCACATTTTAACCCTTCTTAACAAGAACACTCATAGATATTCTGAAAAGAAAAGACACTGGAAAAAAGATTGTCCTATATTACAAAAGAAAAACACAAAAACCCTCTATTGAAATCAATGCGCATTCTCTAAGGTAGAAAAAAGTATCCAAGAGCCTATTTTAAACACTCAAGGTGAACTAACTATAAATATAAATAATTAACATTTTCATTTTCTGTTAGATTTGACTTGACTGTTAGAGCCTGGTATATACAGGTGTTACACTCTCTACATTAATTAAACACCCCCAACTTCGTTCAACCTCTTCCTCAGTGTAAACACAGCTGTAAGTATTCAAATAACCCACAGATTTTCTCTATCCTCCAGATCCTGACTATAAACCTTGGATTCTTGACTAAAAAACACTCCTTCCTGTTCTGCGATATGACCACAGAAAATGAAAATGTAATAGGGTATGGTTGGCAGAATAATATTCCTACTCCAAGATGTCCACATCCTAATCCCTGTTACCTATGAATACGTTAGGTTACAAGGCAAAAGATAATGACAGTTGCAGGGGGAATTAAGGGAACTAATCAGCTGACCTTAAAATAGGGGGAGTATCCTGGATTACCCTGGTAGGCCCAATATATTCACAGGATCCTTAAATGTTAGCGAGGGAAGCAGAAGATATTCAGAAAGGGATGTGGCTATGGAAGACACATCATTATTTCCTTTGATATCGGGGGATGATGGCCAATTGCCAAGGAATGTGGGCAGCCTCTCTCCCAGAAAAAGAGTAAGTTATTACAATCTATTGATCAGATTCTAAATTTGAGAGTTTTTAATTTAGAATTAAAGTAGAATCACTGTAATGTGGTACTTAATCTGTAATTACTTCTAAATTTTAATTTGATACCCTTCATATCGTAATAAGCCACCTGGAAAAACATAACGAAATTCAAATATGCCACTGAGAAAATGTAAGACCTTGGTTGGCACCTAGTGTCATGAACAATTCCATAAGCAAGTTTTTTTTTTCTAGTTCTCCCTGAGCCCCCGCTTGATACTACTCTTTTGTGACCAGAAAAGTGCTGTTTGCCTTAGACTAACACTTCAGAAACTTAGTAAGAGTACTCCGAAACTTGTCTGTTACACAGAAGCATTAAATTCTATGAAATCTCTCAAAGCTGAAAATTTTACTTTTTCTCACTATAAACTTTCACACTTCCCTACTTGCCCTTGAATCTCTTCCCTTGTAGAAGTGATGGTGGCTGACTTCCTTGCTATAGTAAGCTCTAAATTATTCTCATTTGGGTGGTCTTTCTATTTATTCTCACGTTTTTAAAAATAAAGCCCAAAACAATCCGAGAGGTTTCTTTGTTTAAACATTGCTCCAATTCATCTAGTTCTTACTGCACTTTAACACGTCCTTTAGTATTTTAAAAGAAGGCATTTAAGACGATTGAAATACTAATTACCAGTCATTCTAATGTCTCTAATAAATCAGGCCCCTAAGAAGCTCTTCTATCTAACAATAATTAGACCACTTTCTCTTCTGTATATCCTTAACACTGAACACACATGAGTTATAGACATTAGACTTATAAATGCCTCATATATATGACTTCTGAATCTCAAATACCTATTAATGGTGAAGGGTTTGCAATCTTTTCAAACTAAACTGGGGCTTCATTAGAACCAATTAATCTTGATAATTTCATTATACATTGGTCAAGACAGTCATTGACTACATATTTGTTTTTCTTTCTTCCTGCAGACATTTTTTTCCCTGACACCTTCTCCTTCTCTTCAGCACTTGGGTTAAAATGCTACTCCCATCATCTATGATCTTGATAAGGCTTGGTGTTATTCCCTACTGTGTAATTTAAAATCACTTCCTCTGTCTGGCTCAATACAGTCAGGAAGCAGACTTGCAATCAAGCCCAAAAAGTGTGTTATATTCTCAGAGCTTTGTATCATAAGCGATCTAATATGAAGATGTAAGAGATGGTTAAGATCTCCTTCTATCAGATGCAAAGCCCTGAGTGGAATGTTCCTACAGGACCCTCGTTAAGGTTGCATTGGTTTCTAGGCATTTCCAAGCCTCGTTCTCCAGAAATCCTTTCTATTCTGTAAGTCCTTAATTATACAACTATTCTTGCTTATTTTTTAAGTCCCCCAAACCTGAATTATATTTCTCATGTCTTTTGTTTTCTTCTTTCTTATAGGCCAAAATGTCTAGCACATGGTTTTATTAAACTTGATTTAAAGACAAATAAAGAGAATAAAATACACAAAAATGCAAATAAAAATCCTTGAAAAATATGTAGAAAGTACACATAGAAGAGTAAATTAGGCTAAAGCTAGCCTCTGGACTACACTAACACTAAAGCTTTTTTTACTGTTTTAATTTTTAAAACTTTATTATAAATTGACAAATTATAATTGTATATATTTATGGGATATAGGATTAAGTAATGATGTGTATACAATAGAAATCATTAAATCAAGCTAATTAACATACCTATCACCTCAAATGTACAATAACACCTTAAAATTTAGAGAGATCATGGAAAATTCAAGTTTATAAAGCAGATGCAATTAAAGTTAAAATTATATTTAAAGGTTTATTAATGTACTAACAGATTTAAGAAGCGAGGGCTATGCTGTGCATAGCATAATGTTACTGTAGACACATTAAATAACAGCAATTTTAAATTAAGTTCCTGTAATAAATTTCACATAAAAATAAATTCCTATGATATTTGCTGCCTACTTAAAAATATTTTGTAAGCAGATATTTTTAATGAAAAATTGCTGAATGGGGGTGACTTAAAGTTTAGTCACTTTAGAAAAAATACCTCATTGATTGGAAAGATGTGATGATCTATAAACTAAAATAACTGCAAGTAGGGCCTCAGAGCCAAAAGTTACAATATTAATGTTAGTTTTTTAGAATTGCTCAGATCTTGGAGTGTACACTGGATTTTTTGCAAATAGCAGAATAAGATTTTGAGACATCTCATATATATATTGACAGCTCATGGTATCCCCAGCCATTGTAGGGGTCTTGTTTTCCTCCTTTTACCTTCCAACCTCTGATACCCTGTATCAAGTTACCTTCTTTTCTTAACTAGGCCACAGACTTAGCTTGATAGATGTTGCCATGTACTTCTGTCTTCCTCTAATCCAGATGTTGATGAATAAAAGTTTTCAGAGCAAACCTCACCTACCTCTTCTTACAAATGAATTTTAATTGAAACACAGCCACACCCATTCATTTACAGCTTTTTCTATGGCTGCTTTCCCACTTCAAAAGCAGAGTGGGTAGATGTGACAGAAACTAGTAGCCCACAAAGCCTAAAAAACTTTTGAACTGACCCTTTACAAAAAAATGTTTGCAGGCCCCTATTCTAATCCATTGTAATTTCTGTAGTAAAGGTAATATATAAAAACACAAACATTGCATGCTACTCCCTTGTCCATACTTGTCAGTGGCTTTCTATTGCTCTTTGGAGAAACTACAAAGTATTTAATGTAGCCAACAGGGTTCTGCTTGATCTCAGCAATCTGGGCCTCTCTGGAGCCATCCTGCCATGTTTCTGTTCACACACTCAGATGCTACTCAAGATGGCTTCTGTGAACCTCACCTCAGAATACTTACAATTGCTCAGAAATGTTCCTTTCTCTTTTGTTGGTTGGTTCTTCTTCATCCTTCAGAGTTCAGATATATTTTCTTTTCATGAAGAAAACCCCTGATACACCAAATAAGGGCTTGTCTCCTGGTATATACTGAACAGAACTATATACTTATCCATTATAACATTTACCATGCATATTTTATATCTATTGTGTATCCCCTGCATGAGAAATAAAAATCCCTTGGAGAAGGAAATATCAGGGCAGGGATTTTTATTTAGTACCTGGTACATAGCCGAGTCTTAATACATATTGTTGGACACATGATTGATTTTTTAAAATTCACCACTCCTATGCCGAGTATTAATCACAGTTTTTTGTTTGTTTGTTTGTTTTCGTTGTTTTTTTTTTTTTTTTTTTTTTGAGATGAAGTCTTGGTCTGTCACCCAGGCTGGAGTGCAGTGGGTCGATCTCGGCTCACTGCAATCTCCGCCTCCCAGGTTCAAGCAATTCTCCTGCCTCAGCCTCCCGAGTATCTGGGGTTACAGGCATGCACCACCACACCCAGCTAATTTTTTGTATTTTTAGTAGAGACAGGGTGTCACCACATCGGCCAGGATGGTCTCTATCTCCTGACCTCGTGATCCACCTGCCTAGGCCTCCCAAAGTGCTGGGATTACAGGCATGAGCCACCGTGTCTGGCCTAATCACAGTTCTTTGAATATAGTATGTGCCCAGGAGATACTTACTGAATAAATGAATATATGTTTTATTTAAACTCTAATTAAACCAATAGGAAAAGAAAACTCTACAAGTTAGAAGTGGTTGGCTTGATGCATTATTATAAAGTGATCACACTGGTGTATAACTGCAACTCAGATCAGGAGGTGAAACATTCCTGCTGCCTCACATGCCTCCTTTATTTTCCCTCTCACTCAGTAGCACCTCTCCAACACATAACTCTTCTAACTTGTAACACTGTGGATCCATTTAGCTTGTTTTAAACCTTTAGGCAAATGAAATCTTACAGTACATGTTCTTTTGTGTCTAGTTCCTTCCACTCAATATTATTCTGTGAGATTCATCCATGTCATAGCTATAGAAGTAGTTTATTCATTTTAGGTGCTATATACTACTCAATTGTGGAATATATTAACATTTATATGTTCCTTTAACTATTGACAAATACTTGGACAGTCCCAGTGTGACACTCTCAAAAACTACTTCTAGGATCATTCTTAAATATAAATTCTGAAACACATATGCATGAGTTTTAGCTGGGTATATTCTAGATTTGAATTATTTACCTGACACATACATACTCAAATTTAACAAATATGTCCACTTCCACACAGATTGTATTAATTTATACTCCCACCAGCAGTTGATAGTTCTAGTTTTTCTATATTTTTGCCTGCACTTGGAAATTTTACTATTTAAAATTTTAGCTCTCCTGTGGGTGGTAGTAAAGTCACATTGTAGATTTAATTTGTATTTGCTCATAACTAATGAGGTTGAGCATATTTTAATGGTTAATTGAAAGCAAGAAAAATGTATTGGCGTGTGAAAAAATATATATGTATCTACCAACATTATTAGTCCAATCAGTTGGGTTCACAGAACAGTTCTATGAGCTAAGACTTTACCACTTTCCCAGAATTAAGAATTTAGAATCTAGTCAGGTGCAGTGGCTCACACCTGTAATCCCACCACTCTGGGAGGCCAAGGTGGGCAGAAGTCAGGAGTTCCAGGTCAGCCTGGCCAACACGGTGAAACTCTGTCTCTACTAAAAACACAAAAATTGGCCAGGTATGGTGGTGAGTGCCTACAGTCCCAGCTACTCAGGAGGCTGAGACAGGAGAATTGCTTGAACCTGGGAGGCAGAGATTGCAGTGAACTGAAATTGCACCACTGCACTCCAGCTTGAGCAATAGAACAAGGCTCCGTCTCAAAAAAAAAAGAATTTAGAATATCTTCCTTTCTTCTTCTTTTCTGTGCCAAAGCATTCTTTCTTTTTAAAGATCCATTTTTTTAATTCACAAAATGATTTGTTTTGAAATATATTTGAAAAAATTTCAAATTATTTTCTCTATTATTTTGAGTTATTTTCACTATTACCCTATATTTGTAGGCCTCTGTAAGTGGGAGTGGTTGTCAGTATTAAAAGTGTGTTTCTGATCAAGTATAAATAATAATCATGCATTCATTTTATGAAGTATGAAGGCCACCAACTAAATGAACAAATGACAATTGTTGAAAAAAACCATGTAATTATTTTGAGTAAAAAAAAATAGTTTTGGATTTATAAATATAGTACTGAGGATATTTATTGAGACATGTTTTCAATATGCATAGGGGGTTAAATGAAAGATCCAAGGAATAAGCCTTCAAGGAATGTATGCACCATTTGAAATAAAATCTGGAGAGATAACAGTAACTGTCCATTTTTTCCTGCTCAACTGCCCTAAAAGAGCTCATGTAGATTTGCCCTTTGTGAGTGATCAAAGTAGTCAAAGCTTGTTGACTACTTTGCCTGGTAAAATGGCCTTTCATTGTCTTAAAAATATGTCAGCATTGCTTGTAATACTGAGTTTTATCTTGTCATCCATAAAATAGAAGGTAAATGTGGTTTTTTATCTACCTTACCTTTAAGGAAACTTTTCTCGAATTTCATTGACCTTTCAGAAGTTTATTGTCTACTCATTACCTTTCTTAAAATGTTCAAAACCTCTAGGGAAATTTTAGTTATGTATTTTTGATGTTCTTGCATGAGACTATGTCATAAAATGTACCTCAAAGGATATATATATAAAAATATCCCTCAAACTGGAAAAAATATATATATTATATACTTTTTCTAATATATAGAACTCTAATATAAATATTTATATATGTTAGGATTTTTATATATTTATCTATAAAGATATTAAATGATATGTATATATCATTTAATATATTTTATTATTTTAATATCTTTACATATAGATATATAAATTCTAAATATATAAATATATTAGTCATAGATATTAGATTTAAAATATATATTTTAAATTCTAATTTATTGAAAATATTTTATTTAAATTTATATACTTAAATTTAAAGAAATATATATATATTAAAATTTAAAACAAAAAACCTGAAAATTCATTTCTGAATCCTCACCAATCTTTATGTCATTAACAAGCACTAAAAAATTTGATGTTGAGCCTAAATTAATTAAGGAGTAGAAAAAATGAACAAATATGACTTAATTCTTTCACCAAAAAACATAGAAAAGCTAGCTGCCATTGCTGAACCTTGGATCACTGCAGGAAAAATGACCAGTGCTGAGAGAGTACAGTCTTTAATTTAGTCTTTATCCATTCACTAGCTTTCTAGTTCTATCAATGATAGGGTTTCAGTGTGGGCCTTTTAGTACTTTACCTCATTTCCTCTCAGTCTTCCTCCTAAGTCAGCCTCAGTTGCAGTGTTCAGTTCCATGCAAGCTCAGATTCCTGCTTTCTGTGCCTTCTCACACACCTGCACAACACATATTTCCATTTTCTGTTTCAGGAGCTTCTCTAAACTACTGGGACCTATTCAGTGTTCATACAACTGAGATATTGATGACCCATAGGGGATCCAGCCACCATTAAGAAACAAGAGTGGGTGGAGGGATACCCTCATCTTCCATGCATCAGATAGACAATTCTTGGCAACATCCTTTATGTTCCTTAACACAGTCTGGTGGAACTGAGCCCCTGTTGCCAAATGCAGTAATCTCAACAGTGCCTCCCTTATACTGACTTTTCTTTCTTCAATATCTTATCTGTTTTCCCCAGTTTCTCATCTCCATTTCTTAGAAAATTCAACATCATCTAAATCTATGTCTTTAGCTTTGATTTTTGAGAATCTACATTAAAACACTAGGTACTGGAAGTGGCCCTAGGAAGCAGAACCTCAGGATGGTATTATTGAAGGATCACTTCTGTACCCCAAAAGTAAGAAAGACTCCATTGTTAGTTCTAAGTGTAGTAACAATAATCCCCAGCAGGTTACATCATCACACTAATTAAAACAATAATCTGAAATGACCTGATGTGAAATACAAGTTAAAGCAAAAGCACTGGCCTTCTCAGTAGTCCTAGAAATTATTTTAATAATTAAAATTGTAAAGATTATGAAGATAGCTGGCTTTTTGTTAAATAACTTGGAAGTCTTAAAGTAAGGAAAGTATAGACTCAGGTCATCCAACTATTAAATCAGAGAATGCTGTAAATGTCACAAAAACTCCATGGAAGCATTTAAAGAAATCACTGTCTTCTGATTCTGGAGGGCAGACTGTGCAGAAAATCAGGCCAAGGATTTAATTGTAAATGGGGTGGACCCACAAAGGAAATTGAATGTACATTCTCCTATGCAAACATCAGGGTACTAAAGGGAGGAGTAGTCCACTGAGATACAGGATGAAAATATTTGGCTGGATGTGCTGATAACCTTGAAAACTCAAATTACCCTCAATGCTTAGGCCACAGGTCTCTTTCCTGGAGGACATTAGTTTCACCTTAGTGAACTATTGACTAATAACTCTTCCATAGTCTGCCCCCGTTTGTTTGTGACAGATCAATAGAAGGGTCAATTTAGCCTAAGAAAATAAATACTATCACTGACCCAAGGAATTATCTTGCTTATGAAATAAAATGATTGAAAGACTTGGGTAATATATATCAGCAGAAACCAGGCAGTCACAGGTGAGGGTCTACCTTAATGGTGTTGGACACAGGGTGTAGCGTTAACATAAGGAGAGTTTATTTGCATGGATCTATCATCATTTAGAATCTAATACTAATATATTGCTGTGATGGCTTCTTAAAACTTGCAATCAATAATGCCTGTGTAAATGAAGTGGAATGCTAGAACTTACTTGGCAGAGTATTGAGGAAGAAATCAGAAGGCTATAGGTGGTTTGAATGTTGACCAGAAAATCCATCCCCTGGTGTATTCTCTCAAGGACACACTCATCTCATTAAGGCAGAGGTCACAGACTATGTCCAGGAGCCAAATCTACAGAGTGACCTGTTTTTGTGTGTCTGTGAGCTAAAAATAATTTTTGAGTTTTTAAAGGGTTGTAAAAGCGAGCAAAGGAAAATACTTGACTGTCCATGGCCTAGAAACCCTAAAATATTTACTAAGTGTCTCTTTACAGAAAGTTTGCTGACTTGTGCATTATGGCAGTAAAGAGTGTACTGCATTCTTGATTAAGTTCTGTGGTGGTTGTTGGTTTATTTTAGGAGAAGCTGCCAAGAAACTGGGCTTTCTAATATCAATGAGACAGATAAGTTTCCAGAACAGCAGAGGCCAAGTGGGAGCGATTAACTGTCAAAAAAAAGGTGAATGTAAATGATACAATGTTCAGCAATAGCGGCAATCAGGTAGGTGCTTTGACTCAGAGAGATCTGCTGAGATGCTTGTTTTACTAGAGGTGAGACAGACAGCAGATTAGGCTGTTGATTGACTTGTGTAGCCAAAAAACATCAACAGCTTGTGAGCAGAAGGTTGATATAAACACCATAATAGAAAATTGTAACTCAGTTCCTGGAATAAAATCAGTTTTCAAACTGAGAGCACATAGATTGAAAAAGAACGTAATTTTCTTGTGGAAGCCCCTCCAATCCTACCACAGGTGAGCACAACAGACATGAGTCCCGATGCCTTCCTCTGAATGACTTCTAGGCATTTACCTAAGTAACTGCATATTGGACAGAGAGTACTCAGACCTTTCCAGGACTGTTGAATATGGAACCTGAGCTGACCCTAACCATAGAAGACCTGTGATGGCATCATCAACCCACAGATAACAGTAGATAATAAATAATATTGGGACTGAAATCTCTTAAAAATAGGTCCAATAGGTTCTCATACTCAGCATCCCATTATTTCTTTTCTTCCCAAGTTTAGCTAAAGTAGATACAAATATATACACTACAAACCAGGAAGTTTGTTTAAAAGTTACCCAATTCATGAACACAATTCTTCCATTTATTTAAGTTTTTTATCAACATAATTTCTTTAAAAAATATTTTTATTGTTTTTTAGTCTGTAATTCTTGTATTTTTGTTATATTTTAAATATTT
Organism: Homo sapiens; assembly: GCF_000001405.40. NCBI lineage: Eukaryota > Metazoa > Chordata > Mammalia > Primates > Hominidae > Homo > Homo sapiens. The sequence continues at coordinate 170,837,308 of NC_000004.12, read as the reverse complement.
TGCTTAATACTATTAAAAATGAAATTTTATTTTGCTTAATACTATTACAAATGAAATTTAAAAGAAACTTTATTTTCAGAATGTCCAATGCTAGTGTACAACAATACAATTGATATTTTTATATAAATCTTATATGGTATTACTTACTTGTTTATTACTTCTAATAGCTTTTTCTTATAGATTCCTTAGGATTTTCTATGAACAAGATAATGTTATCTACAAGTAGAGATAAGTTTACTTCTCCTTTTCCAATATTAAGTAAGGAATGTGAAATTTATTGCATTAAGATAAAATTTTCAAAAGTGTATATATGTAGTTAATTTCTCTTCACCCTAAAGAATCACTGGTAATCCTTTCCCAATTTAACAGCCATTTGTCAGGTTTAAGAAATATTCATCTATAATAGATGATTTTATCATTATCAAGGGAAACAGAGAGTCTATTTTTCATGTTTTGAGATCCCATCTAGTCTTGCATCTATCTATATATATGTATACAAAATTTAATTTTATACATATATATATATATATAGTCTTGGTACAGATGATTTCCAAGCAAACCCTGTCACTATGTAGGAAATTTCTACCTAAGAGATTTTGTAGCACTGTTGTGTTTTCTTCCAAACTCAATGCTAAGGTCATATACATCATATAGCAAATTTATATGAAAATTAGCTTGAAATACTCTTTAATCTAGGCAGTTTTTAAGGCATATGAAGTTGAACTCCCTCTTTTAGTTAGGATCCATGCCCTATTTAATAATGTCTTTTTTAAAACCCCTCAATGGGAAGTTCACACAAATATCTGTAAAATCAAGATCTCTTTTTTTATAAATAAATAAATAAATGACTAAAATTCAGATGTAAAAGTTGTTAGGTATGTTTATATTGAGGTTAGGGATCATATTTTGTTTGTTTGCCTTATCTCAAAAAAGGTGAAAATAATTTGGTCCTTTATAACTTGCAACCATTTGTGTCATACATATTTTGATTGAGGGAAAATGGCAGGTTAGGGAAGAATTTTCAAAAATTCCAAAATATAAATCTCAATCCTAGGTATAAAAAAGATTTGTTCTATATTCTGTGTTTACATAATATAGTTTTATAGATTGATTTTAACATGAGTTCTGTCTTTTATATTGCAGTTTACAAAATGATTGTAGAACTTAATTTTCCATATTAGCTTTCAGCATTCCCTACCCCTTACTGTTTGTTGATTTTAAAGGTTTATTGAGCTCTAATTTACTTATAATAAATTTCATCATCTATTATAAGTATACATTTTAACAATTTTAATAAATTCATAATTGTGCAACCATCATTGCAACTCAGTTTTAAAATATTTCCATAATTCTTTAAAGAATTTAGACTAATTTTATTTTATTTTACATTTTATTTTTTGCTAATTTGCAGATAATCTCTGCTCCCAACCCCAGCCCTAGGCAGCCACTGATCTGAGTTCTGACTCAATAGATTTGCCTTTTCTGGTCATTTTAAAAACATACAATCATATAATATAAAGCATATCATACCTGGCTACTTGAGCTTCATCCATGTAGCATGAATTAGTAATTTATTCTTTTCTACTGCCAAACAGTGTTCCCTTGTATGGATGGCACACTGTTTATCAATTCACAAATTGATAGAAATTTTTATTCTTTCCAGTTTGGTGCTACTATGAATAATAGTACTAAGAATATTTATTTGCAAGTATTTGTGTAGACTTATTTTCATTTCATCAGGTAGATACTCATGAATGGAACTGCTGTATTATATGCTAAATTTATTTTTCACATCTTAGGAAACAAACAAGATGATTTTCAAGGTGGCAAAATAATTTGACATCCTCAGCAGCAATGTATGAAGGTTTCAGTTTCTCTATATTCTTGCCAGTGCTTAATATTGAATATCTTTGGATGATGATGATGATGATGATTGTTTAAACACTAGCATCTCATTGTGGTTTCAGTTTGTGTTTCCCTAATTAGGCATTCACACATTGGTGAAATGTCTGTTCAAATCTTTGGCCCAGTTTTGAGAATTGTGTTGTCTTACTATTAACTTGCTAAAATGTTCTTTTTATGCTCTGGAACAAGACTTTTGCATTAAATTTTCAAAACAGAATTTTGTATATGGGAAAGCAATTAATTTGCCTCAAAACTTCTTGAAAAAATTACTCCTTTCATAGTTATTGTTTCTAATAACCTTTGAAGATTAGGTAATAAACTATTAAATCGTGGAAATAATTCTTTATATACCTTAAAGGATCTGCTAACCATAATCTAGTATGTCTTAAGAGTTATAACTAACACTGCAAAAAATATTTTTATTTAATTATGATTATTTACCCTATATTATTGAAAATTTTTCTTTAAAAAGTTTAGTGTGTGGCTCTGGAGCTCTCAAAGTTCTTCCTTAAACTTCTAATTCTCTGTATCAAGCTCAGTATGCTTTTTTGGTGGAATTTCCAAATTTTATCTTATTTGAGTTTTACATTTAATAGCCATGCTTACCATTAGCTTCTCTAGAATGCTGGCAGAGATGGTGACCTGAAGATTGAATGAACTCTGGCTTGAATAATTCACTTCCAACACTTTCAAAGAAATACCTATAAGCAATATTTTATTTTCCTTCCAAAATTGTGCTGCCTCTATCTCTTCCTTCAGTGCATGCATCTTTCTGCTTTATTTATTTCCACAGGAATTTCAGTTAGTACCAATTATAATCCTAAATTTAAGTACAAAAAGTACCTACATGATGCAGTTAGGTAAAAATCATTGCATATAAAAATAACTCAATTATCTCACCATATGAAAGTAAGACTTTGCCTCATTTATAGAGTGGCTTCTTCACCTTTGGCAGGCATCCAGTGGTTCCTAACAACCAATTCCTCTTGGTTCAAATATGCCATTTTCTGAATTCTAATGTCCGTCTCATCTTATCAGAAACTACTTTCTAAAATTGTAGCCTCCCTTCTCTGCATAGTCAATTTATCCATCTCTCAGATTAATCTTATTTATTATCCAATGATGTTCTAATGTCTCACACTTCAAAAAATATTTCTTTAAAAATTTATGATTATGCTGCCTTCTCTATCAAAATTCTATTGGTCTCTTATCCTACGATTAATTTAATACCAGAAACTAATAGAATGAATTAGATTTTCAACTTCAGTTTGATGTGATCTTATTGCACATTTCTCTTGTCATTATTAATAATCAGTATTCTTTTACAGCCAATAAATACTACAGTCATCTTACTATGTATATTTTCCCATAGAACAATGTCATTTCTAGAGATCCCTGAAGGTTAGGGCAGCATGCTTTGTTCTCTGGCCTTGCTGCCTCTGAATTAAAGGCATTGCCTGCTGGCCTGTACAATTCCTGATTACTAATATCCAAAATGAAACTAGGCAGCCCTATCCCATGGAGCATCTACAATCATCCATCTCAGCCTTTTGACAACAAATATCATTGAGGTTCCCAGAGACTCCCCTGTAGCCTCACTAGTGAGGAGAATATACTCCACGTCTTATATGGATAATAGCCAGGTTGCCTCCAGTAAACCCATTGCTATTTTCTTACATAATTATGCTTTGCATTTGAAAGTTAAAACATAAGTATGTTCTGACACTACATTTCAATCCCTCATCAGTGGGCTTTAAATTCTGGTCATTTCCAACAGATTCTTGTGATGGGCCTCCCCTATTTTTGTTAATATGCTTATTTATTTTTCTGGTTCCATGTTTATTTTACTGAACAATTAAAAATGGAAACATTGCAACTCAACTCTCAAAGCTTTTTGAACCCAAATTAATATCAGTCATTTAAAGATTTCAGGGTTGTATACAAAATATAATTGAAATAATATAATACATTATAATGTTCTAAATATTTTACCGATAAATCAAAGATTTTTCAAAAGTGTACTTTAAATCATGCTAACATTGTTCAAAGGCTTTGAATAATTTCCTTTCAAGAGAGTTCATTTTAAAAACCCTTATAAGAACTACAAAATGTCTCACAGCACTAGAGGTATATGATACTTTTTAAAGTCTAGTAACATAATGATCTCTTTCCTTTCTCCTTATCTTATCTGTTAATCTCCTCAATTTATACCTAATATGACTCATCACATTAATAAATGAGCTCTGGAATTGTAAAGTCAGGGAATCTCTGTTATACAATGAGCTTTTTTGGTAAGAAGTGAAGGACAATCACCTTTGAAGTAAAGTGATTGTTTATCAGAGGAAAAAAATGCAAATGTAGGAGCATATGACTTCTTAAATTCTCTATTATACATGTATACATTGGTGATAAAGTGCTCTGAGGATTAGCAATGTCTAGGGAGATCTGTGGTACCAAACTGTTATAGATTTACAATAGAAAGATGTCTATGTCAAACAAGGTCAAAATGGTTCTATTCAGAGATGAAAATGCTGTATTCTTAATTTGAATTTTATCTTTTTTTCTAGCTGAGTAAAAAAAAATAATTGGAAATTGTTCATAAAATAACATAACAGCAGAAAACTTCTTCAGAATAATTACTTGTAAATTAAGTCATTTGGGATTCATAGTGACAGAAGGTACAAGAGGTTTTGCAAATATTAATAGTATTATGGGGAACTTTAACTCAATATTTTTTCATGGCTGTGTTAGGTGATGACTTTCATGAAACTATCCCTAATGTAAACCTCCTCTTATGTTTCCATGGCTAATATGTGTCAGGCTTTGTGTTAGGCACTTTAAGAGATATGAAAGAACAATATAAAGCCATGTCTTTTAATTTGCTATTTCTTAAAGTAGGTGAAGCATGCACATGGCTAAACCCAATGTCTTCTCTTACAAAAGTACTACTTCTTTGTAAAATCTTATAATATAAAAATTGTATTTGATAAAAAGTTTGCCCCAAAATAAAAAAAGGTAGAAATGGGAAAGTTGATTTGCATTATAAAATAATGTTAATGTTAATAATCTTGTCATTTACGGAGGACCTCTGAAATACCAAGAAATGTAATGATGCTTAATGTGTATCTCTAATTTTCATACTATTTTACCAAGAAGGTGGTTTGTAAAAGTAGTTTACAAAGTATTTCATTGAATAAATGAAAATATGCTTTTTAGAAATGTTAAGTAAATGTCCAAATATATTAACCAATTGTTTACTGAGATCTGTCAGACTTTGTATGAATAAGGATAACCCTAGTTCTTGTCATTAACAAAATCAGTGGTTTGATACAATGTAATTTCATTTCTCTTTCATTTAAAATCTTATATAGATTTTCACTGGTGATATAATGTAATTTTATCTCTCTTTCATTGAAAATCTTATACAGATTTCCTATTGGGAGGTAGCTTTTGTGCACTTTGTGATTCAGAAACCTGACTCTTTTTGTTGTATGACTCTGCCTGATACCCTCTTAGGGCCTTAGAATTCTCTCCATTCAGTGATAGAATAAAAAAGACAAATGGACAAGTTGGATGTACTTTTTAAAACTTCTTACTAGAAAGTGAGCTATGATTCTTTTAACCACCTTTAAAATTAATTCATTTCCATTAATGAAATGAATTACATGGCTACACCTGGTTCCATTGTGGGGAGGGATATAGAAAAGTTGTGACTGGGCAGCCACCTCAAGAAGTAACCCCACATGATAGAAGGCAGAGTGCAATTTTTGGGGGGTAGACAGTAATCTTCATCAGACTCTGAATGCTATACTCTTTCCATTTATTTTCCAAATCAATGCCATTTAATTTAAGCTTGTGTGTAAATATTTTGCTCAGTATGAAAATCTTGCTCTTCACATGTCTAACTGCAATTTATTAATTGCAGGAACATTCACATAAAAAGTCATATGATATTGCTATGATATTGCTTCTCCACTATGATATTGCTTCCTAATAGTTTTATGGAACCATACCAATTTACTTTAATCCCTCTTTTTCCACGGGGGGATATGTTCCAAGAACACCAGTGGATGCCTGCAACTGGATAGTACAGGACCCTATATATACTACGTATTTTCCTATACATTTATACCTATGATAAAATTTAATCTATACATTAGGCACAGTGAGAGGTTAGCAACAAAAACTCATAATAAAATAAAGCAATTATGACAATATACTGTCTAAAAGTTATGGGAATATGATCTCTCTATTTTTCCTTCAAATGCTTTATTGTATGTACTGTAGGTTACTGAAACCACTGAAAGGGAAACTGTATATAAAGGGGAACTACTATATCAGCCCCTATAATTTAAAAATAAACTTTCTTGTCCTTCACATTTCTAGTAGACAATTTTCTAGTATACAAAAAATACATTGCTAACCTTTTCATAGTCAGTTACATTATTTTTTAATTTTTCTAAAAGTAATAAAAAGCATACAATGCATTACTATTATCATAGCTCAAATGTCCTTTGTGTGTGTGTGTTTGTGTGTGTGTGTGTGTGTGTGATTTTGTAGTAGTAAGTTAAATTAGCTGAAATTTTGTTATTTTCTTCCAGTGTTTGCAAACTGCAATCTACTTTACTTGTTTCTACAAATATATATTTGTAAAATATAAATATTTTTATAAAATATAAAATATGTAAAATATTTATATATTTTACAAATATTTATATGTATTTACAAATATATATATTTGTAAAAACAAGTAAAGTTTATATATATTTGTAATAACAAATATATATACATATATATTTTAAAAGCAGATTCTGTTTCAATTGAACTATAAAGGTTTTCTATGGCATAATTATATAGAAAGAAAAATATTAAAATGTACATTTAGAAGAATTTACTCTGAAATCATGTTTGACAAAGTGTCTTTTCTTTTATCCTTTCTTTTGTCTATCACCTAATGAATAGGTATTTCTCCACATGCCTTATTTAAGACTTATTTCATTTTTAATGTCTTTTATCCATATGTATAAATAACTTAGTAAATTATTATATGATGAACACCATTTTAATCACCACTTGAGTCAAGAAATAGAACTTTGCCGGACACTTTCCCTTTTCTATCATCCTTCTCTTTTTTGTTGCAAAAGCAATCATTATCCTGATTTTTGCATACATACTTCTCATGTGTCCCTTTATGGTTTTATTATGCAAATGTGTAACATTGAACAATATGATATGATCTGGCTTATTTAAAAGTCATGGCTTTTATGTCTCTCTCTTTTAATTTGTGTTTCCTCTCAACTTATATTTTGAAGAATTGAGTGCTGTCTAACCTGTTGATGCTCTCAAGTGTTGGTTTTTTGTTTGTTGTTGTTGTTGTTTGCCTTATTATGATTCAGAGTCTTGAATTGACCGATTTGATGCCTTTGGCAGGAGGATTGGTAGAACTGAGTTTTTCTATCAAGAGGCAAATGCTAGCAACAGTTGATGTTCAATGCATAGACCCATTAACTCATTGGGGGCTGCAAAATGGTAATAGTCTATCTTTTATTATTATTGATTAGCTGGAATACACTTATAACAAGATGTTTTTTCTCACTCTGTTTACTAAATAGTACAGTTAATATATGAAGACCAATATACCTGCTTGATTCTCTATTTAAAAAAAGTATCAACATATTGATCACCAACCTCCCAAGTTGACTAGTTTTTTTTTTTCATGTGATTATGCATTCACAGATTTAAACACATTTGATGGGTTTCAAGCCATTATAATTCTAAACCCCATTGAAGATAAAATTCCCCCATCACTGGCGACTGGGAGATTCTTAAAGTAGGTTGCTGAGTCCTTTTGACTTGATTCTGGTAATAATTATTAGCTTTCTTCCTTTCCAATGTGATAAGAAATTCCACGCTAATTTTGCATATTTCTTACCTCAGACCTGAAATTGCTATTTCCACAGGAAAGCTTCATTTCTTTTAGTGAGAAATGTTCATCTCAAGATCACAATTTAGGCTTAGCAATTTCATTGCTGCTACGTTGTATATTGTTTCTAGGGCTTTCCAGTGGGCAGAACTAGAAAATATACACTACACATTTTTAATGATAAATTACCATATAAATTCACACTGACTTTTCTAATTCAAATTCAAATCTATCATATTTTAAACATAATCTTATGTTACATTTTGTCTCTTTCTTCCATAAGAACCCCCATTCTCATGAATACAAGGAATGAAAGAATTAGAATATCTTCTAATCACTCATTTGCTTTAACCCACAGTACACACACATCAGTTTCAGGATCACAATACTTACACTACCACAATCAATTATAATTACTAAACACAGAAAGAGTTCTGTGTATATTCTATTCCCATTCTCACCCATTCATTCATTAATGGTGGTACTATATTTACATTGTCAAAGAATGTAACCATCTCTGCATTCTCTTCCTTTTAACTTTTATCTTGTTCTACTAATAACTATATACTTAATACTATCAGTTATTTTTATTGATCTCACTCGAGTATTTTGGTTGAATGGAACTCATTCTTTCAGAGATACTTCAAGAAGGACTCCTGGAAAATGTTTTCCTGAGAAAACATGTCAATAACTGTTTTCTGTGTCCTTTACACTAGATTGCTGGATGTAAAATTCTTGGCTTACATTGTATTTTGTTGAGCAGTCCAATTTCCTGTGACTTAAAGTAGTACTATCTAAAAGTCTAATAGTTACCAATTTTCTTTCATTCTCTATAAGGTATGTGCCTTGGTTGCCTGGATGCCTAAAGAGAGAATTATGTTTCTGTTTATTTTTAAAGTTCAGTAGTTGTCCTAGGGTATATTTGATGATGGTTATTCTGGCTTAATACTCTCAGACACATGGTGTGCTCTTAGAGTTCCTAGTTTCTTTTTTTTCTTATATTCTTGAAAATTATTGTTTAGAATTTATTTTTTCATTTTTTTTTAAATTTCAAGACTCTTAGTAATTATATAAAGGCTCTTCTTTTTCTGTCTTCAATATGTCCTTTTTCTCAGATCCTTATCTCTTTGTTTCAATTATTTCAAATTTATTTTTGTTGTCTTCTATTTATCTTAGAGCTGTATGTATTGTATCTGTTTACTTTTATAATTCTTTAGCTTCAATTTCCAGTATTTATCTTTCACTTATAATTCTTTCTTGGTTCTGCCATCTTATTTCTGAGTTTTTCACATTCTTATTTTTGTGTTTTCATGTCTTTTATTACTTAATCAAAGTGCTTTAGATTATTTTGCAATAGTTTTATTAGGCTTGCTCAGGTCAAGTGAAAGGCGTTCCTCAAATGTTCTGAGGTACCAAGCTGACTCAACATGGAATGTAAGAATATGACTAAGGCAAAACTCTAGTTAATAAGAAATACATAATTTTTACTGTGGTCCAGGTATTATAATGATTATAATGCCGTTCAACATGATCCTCTGCCCACCATTTCCTGCAATTTGTTTTTGGGTACAGAGATGTTTTAAATATCAAACTAATCTTTGTAACAACTCAGTATGGCATGTTCAATTATTACCCCTGTTTCACATATAAAGAAACTAAGAGCAAGGTTAAACAGCGTGCTATAAATCACAGATCTAGTAGAGCTATCAAGATTTGCTATGTGTAATGTGCTTCCAGATGAAGATCATGTTCTTAGTGATTAAGTCTGAGTGTACAAGTAGCAGACAGGGCCATTTTCTACAAAGCAGACAAAATATGTAACCAAGCCTTCTTAAGGTCCTCTTACCTCAAATTCAGATTCTTTTCACAACTAAGACTAGAACCAAAAAAATAAAAAATCTGATAACTACAATTTTAGAAAGTAGAAACACAAAGGTCAAGGAACCAGGCAGCCTGAAGTCTTAAAGTAAACTTTTTTAACTGGAAAATCTAAAAGTACCCATTCCACTTGAGAAACTAAGCGACTGTCTTTCTCTTCAGACACTGAGATATTAAACTAATCTGCATGCAATACTCATTCACTTTATAGGTGCTTTTGCGGTCAACATATTAACATTGAGCAATTGACAACATTGCCTAACTGCCTTAGCTTAAAAATAATTATAATAACAATCAATTAGGATTTTGACAATTGCCTTGTGAAGGGTCATTCTCTGAATACATCAAGCAGAATATGCTAAAGAAAATTTGAACAATATTTTTGAATAGATATTAATGATAGTTAAAAATTAAACAAATTAATGTATTAATTTGTTTAGAGACAGTGTCTCACTCTGTAACCCAGCCTGGAGTTCAGTGGCATGATCATAGCTTACTGCAGTCTTGAACTCCTGGGCACAAATGATCCTCCCACCTTAGCTTCCTAAATAGCTGGGACTATAGGTGTATGGCACCACGCCTGGCTAATATTTTTCTTTTTTGTAGAAATGGGGCCTGGCAGAAATTTAAATTGATTCCGTGTTATGAGGTATTTGCAATTTTGAGATTACATATGATCACAAAAGAATCAATCAATCGCAAAAGAATACTTGAGTGATTGATGCTTTTTTATGTAAATATTATTTATCCACTCAGGGTAAAATTGCATTAAATAAATCATCAGTAACCTATATCTCACAGCGATTTGAGATATTGTTTTTATGTAAGATATGAGTAGGTGAAGTTTAAGATACGAGTTTACTATATGCCTTGCCAAACCAGGCATACAACTCTTCATGTTTGCTTTTAACCATTACATTTTCAAAAGCATTCACTTCTGCTATAGACTGAATTATGTCTACCCAAAATTCGTATGTTGAAACCTTAACCCCCAATGTAATGGTGTTTGGAGATGGAATCTGTGGGAGATAATTAGATTTATATGGAGTCATGAGGGAGGGGTACTCATGACAAGATTAGTCCTCTTATGAAAAGAGATGGTAGAGTTTGCAGTCTCTGTCTCTGCTATGTGAGGACACAGTGAGAAGGTGGCAGCATGCAAGCAAGGAAGTCAGCTCTCACAACAACCCAACCGTTATTGCAACTTAATCTCAGACTTCCAACCTCCAGAACCGTGATATGATAAATTTCTGTTGTTTAAGCCACTGAGTCTATGGTATTTTGTTATGGCAGCCTAAGATGACTAAGGCACAGTATCATTTCCAATTTTGGCAAACGTTTCAGTCTTTGTATTATAATTAGAGCTGTTTTCTTTTTTCAGATTTTTCACAATAGATTACCTCTTCACTTATATTACATTTTATTTGTGATGTCTCAGAAATGCAACCTCAGCTCTGTCTGAATTTTGTGACTATCAGATAATGTTAAAATATCACCATATATGATATAGCAATGAAAACCACAAGGGAAAAATTGAAAACATAATTACATGCTCTCTCAAAAAATGTGCATCTTACATTATGGTAATTATTTTACATTGTCCCTTGACCAGAATTTCAACAATGTGTTGTTTTACCTTTTAATTTAAAATTATTCTTCAACAGCCTTAACATAAAACAACATATCTACTAAAAATTTATTTTTAAATGAATTAGTTTACTATACTACTTGATAATTTTTGAATTTCAAAAATAGTTTACTATTAATTGCCTCAACACTACCTTGGGTTGAATACTAACAGAAGCTAAGTAGTTAAATTCAAAAAATAGAATGGAAATACATTACCTTAGTTCATTCAAGAAGAAATATATTGATGAAAACAAAATCCAGTTACTTCAAGATAGTAGAGGAAAAATACATGTCTTTCAATATTTTTAAAAAAGAATTTTCATCATTTCTAGTATATTACTAGTATATTACTATTGCATGAATATTAAATTTTTAGTATCTTACTAAAAGTTTTTGTATATTATTACTGCATGAGAATTAAAATGTGATGCCTAGAATATTGCTTATATGATCAGGTTACATACCCAAATATATGAATTAGAGCATATTTAAGTCTGCTACAAACAAGTTTGAATTTCTTATGTCACGGGATACTTAAGGTGTCAACTTCCAGTTCTCCCTGTTCTATGAAAATGACATTTTCTTATAAACGTATCTAATTAAATTAAAGTCTGAATATGTGGCATAACATTACACAGTATCATCCAGTAAAAACCGTATACTGGAAATCATAGGTTCCCCTATCCGTTTCATTTAGAAAAGCTCAAATTGTTTAATGTTGACTAAATAAGAGTGAGGAGTTCCCTACTCTCAGAAGGAAAACATGACTATGGCAGAGTACATTTTTAAACATATAATGAAATATAGATCTATTTGTATCCATTTTACATTTAATTTTTTGGTTTTCCTTTGAAAATTTTAAGTGACATTTGGAAAGCAAAATGACTGAAAGTAAAATGACTGAAACAACCTATTGGATCTCTTGTGAATTATGGAGTGATCACTCTCAACACTGCTTGCAGGTCTATTAGGGACATTGAAATTATTCAGAATGTATATGTTTATTCTTAAATATATGTAGGTATAAGTAATAAAAATGATGTTATTATCCATCATTATATTTTACAGTTTTAAAAATGTGGATAATATGCATAGTATATTATAAGACAATTTAGAAACATAATCTATAGGTATTTATATAATGAGGTGAAGCTGACATTTCTACAATGTAAATTTGTGATGGGATTTTCCTAATTCTGTTTTTAATTTAAGAAAACATGAAGAAAAATAAAGAAAAATAGGTAAGAACTGTTGATAGTAAAACTTCAGCTAGCAGTCTTCTAGTCAAATATAATATTTTGCTATGTGAAAATATTAACCCTGAAAGAGATAAATCATCACTGTGCATTCTCTTGATATTATAGAAACTCAACCCATTTTTTTACTTTTACAACAGTATGTAAGTTTAATCTTTATTAGAGTTAGTTTATATTAAATGGTAATTTTATTTAATTTCAAAAAGCATTTGGAAAAAATAAACAATATGAACTTGAAGCTTTTTATATTATGAAATTTTTGTGCTTATGAGAAAATTGTTGCCATTATTAAATGAATAATTTTAAATTGTGAGTTTGTATTAGCATGGTTCCAGAAACCTTTTACTGACCATATTATATCCTAAAAGATGGCTACTAAAGATCTTGGTTGGATCAAATTTACAACAGACTACATTTTCAAACACATACATGAGTCCACAGTGACATGCACACCCAACAATATAAATAATGGTATATATGGCATGTCGAACAAGTACTATTTAATATCATATTGAATTAGTTCATTTTCACACTGCTATAAAGAAATAACCAACACTGGGTAATTTACAAAGGAAAGAGGTTTCATTGACTTACAGTTCTTCATGGCTAGGGAGGACTCAGGAGATTTACATCATGGCAGAAGGCAAAGGGGAAGCAGGCATCTACTTTGCAAAGCGGTGGGTGGTGGGGGGAGTGAGTGCAAGCAGAGGAAATGCCAGATGCTTATAAAACCAGACGATCTCGTGAGAACTCACTCACTATCACAAGAACAGCATGAAGGAAACTGCCCCCCGTGATTCAATCATCTCCCTCCCTCAACGTGGGAAATACAATTTGAGATGAGATTTAAGTGGGGACATAGAGCCAAACCATATCACATGTATTTTATTTAACTTTACTCTTGGAAAAATTTTACTTTTGTTCTAAATGAATTTTAACATTTATCAATTCTGATTTATTTTTCAACTATTGATGTATTTTTCAGCTTATTTAATGTTATGAAAAATAGTAGTTAAAAGAAAAAACACGTATCACCAAAATATAAAATTATACTATTAGATTTTATTTTGTTTCTCGTCACAATTTGAGAATGAGAATAATTGCTTAAAATTTAAATTTTAACATGAACCAAAGGGGAAAGTTGAGTAGTAAAAGCAGCACAGTGAATGATAGCTTCTGCGTCAGTCAGTGCTCAGTCAGGGAAACAGAGACACTATGAGCATTATGAATTAAGGAATTTATTATAAGGAACAATTATGGGAGGAGGTAGAAGAGTAAAGCTTTGGGAGATCTGGAGTGTCAAAGGAGCTCTCTGAAGCAAGGTGACAAGCCTAAGCCAAGTATATCAAGTGACAAATGTGGGGAGGGGAAAATGGGATATCATGGTGAGGTCGATTAAAATAATGGACTATGGAGTCACTAGCATTGTGGGTCCCTAGCCAAGCATCTCATGGTGGAGATGAGGCTGTTGATGGTCAGGAGGTCCAGCATTTAAGAAGAAAGCAGGATGCAGACAGAAGAGTGAGGTCAAGGTGAAATATACTGAACAACAGTTCTACACTTCCCTGTCAGTGTATCTGGTCATAAAAACCTTCAAGACCCTCTCTTCAAACCTCACACAAATTCTTTTCTGATCAACTCTAAGAAAGATACAATAGAGGAGAATTTGGGAAAAGTAGTTTGCAGCTTTTCTCATGAAAAAATTCAACCCAGTGTAATCGTTAATTGAATAGAATGATTGTTACCAAATATATTAATGCTCTTGTTTAAAATTTTAGAACAATTAAGCATGCCCCTAGAAAACACTGATCTGGGATTGACAAATAATATTTAGATAAGGACAATGTCAGGAACCTTAGCGCTAAATTATCTATTCCAGATTCATTCATTTTTTCTGTAACACACTTTATTTCTCCCTAAAATGTGAAAAAAAAAAAACAAAGAAAATGTTGGGCTTATAACAAGCTTGAAAGATTACCAAAATATGCATTTGTAAATAATAAATTTAACATAACCACATTACATAAACTTTGGAAAATAAACCTAACCTCTGCACAGTCCAACTATTTGGTGATATTTTTCTGTTTTATCTTTTATTTTTATATAAATTTTACATAATTATAATAAGTACACAGAACTATCAAATAATTTAATTGCTTCTCTGTGCCATCCTCACTCAAAATGCTCTCATCTAGCCCCGTATCTTTAAGCCCTGTCTACATTAAATATCTCCAACTGTGATTTCTCCCATAACCACCATACTCTTACATCAAAATACCTATTTGACATCTGCATTTGGATACCTAATAAGCATCTCAAACTGATTATGCCTGAAACAAGTCTCCTGATTTCCTCCTAAACCTGAACATACTCTTTTCTCTCTCCACCATCTAATAAATAATTCAGTTGGTTGTTCTGGCGAAAATCTATTTGTCATCTATAAATTCTATTTCTTGCACCCAATCAATCAGCAAGGCTTGCTGACTCATTTAACATATATCCTCGGTGAGATAATCTATTGCTGCTACTGCAGTTTAAACTACCAACATTTTAGCTAAAATATTGCAAAACCTCCTGACAGATTTCTCTGTTTCCATTTCTACTCTCCCACAGTTAGTTCTCCATATTGTAAGTAGAGTGATCTTTCAAAGACGCTAATGAGATTAACATCTTTCCTGTTCAAAACTGTCCAAAATATCTACGAAAAAGAAAAAACATCAAATACTGTTTTGTATCCAGATGTGACACGTCTCCCTTACCTGTATCTCTCACCTGGTCTATGGTACTCTGCCTTAGTTATTCTGATTAGAACACTGGCCACGTGATAACTGTGTCCTCCCTCCACAGCATTCCCCAGTGGCTACCTTTTTAATTCATTTAGGCCTTGGCTCAAATTCATTCCTTCATGTTAACCACTTCTGGCCACCTTATTTAAAAGATTCCTTCTCATTGCATCCTCAAGATTTCATATCTCCTTGCCTTTCCCTGTTTTGTTTTTGTAAAGCTACCACTACTTCACATTGTATTATTCATGTATTTGTTGGCTAACTCTCCAATAGATGTGTGTTTCTTGATGACAGGACCTTCCTTGTCCACCATGATCTCACCAGGGCTTTGAACAATCTCTGTATTACAGGAAGAGTTCAATAAATACATATTAGATGAATAAATACATGTATACATTATATAAGTAAGAGGGTAGCCATATAATATTTTATAAATAACATAGTTTTAGAAAGAAATTTTTAAAAATAAAAGTTTTTCAGAGAAAAGTTAGATATGAAAATTGGGATAACTTAGTGACATCCATGATTTCAGTGTGACAGAATGTAGACTACTACACTTATGCTTTTGAACCTTTGAAAATACGCCATATTAAGGAAAGGACTCCCAGTTTATTTCCACCAGAGAGAAGACACATGATAAGATTCTTCAAGAAACAGGATAGCAAAAATTTTCATAAATTCTCCCCAGCAACCAGATTCCTACAAAGTCTGTTTAACTGATATTGACATTTAAAAGACATTTCAGAAGGAGCTATGACTACTTGAAGCAAACACATGCTGATTAATCTTAGTAGCTTATATTACATTTACTATTTTGTTTTCTTAAACAAATCACCAAAAAATTGCATTCAGAATTAACCAGTTAATTCATTTTCAAAATAAATGTGTATATAGCTTACGTCTTGATATTTGCTATATATATTGGTTGTTTCCTTCACAATATGCACTCACATTTCATTACATGAAAAGATGGAAAAAACAAAAGGAAGTCTGTATCAAATAGACAATTTTTTTCCTCCACGTTTTTCTTTTCATTAACCCATTTATTTCTATACTTAGGTTTATTCCCTGTACTCTATATTTATTCAAGATCCCTGCCATGTTTATAGGATAAAGGATTGAATTTTTGAAAAATACAGATTGTTATGGCATCCCAGAGGAAAGAGAAGCTATAACTATCAGTTCCGAATCAGAAATAACATTTTGTCTTTTTTGTCTTTGATAGATGGACCAAATTTCTTCTGGCATAAATAATAGAGGTTGTGAAACAGTGTTTATACTAAAGCAAGGATGTAAATGAAGACTTAAGTATGTGCTAAGACAGGCAATTAGATATTAAAACTGAGTAGTTGATTGGGTGGTTGACAATACACAGGGTACATAGACAAAACAGAGAAAAGTTCAATCATTTTTAGTGTTTAAAGTGCCTTTTTTCAAATTGCAATTTTTTTTTTCTTTGCAGGCAGCGGAATCAAGTAAGAAAGAAAAGAAAAGAGGCAGGTCATGAAGGAAAATTTATGTAGGAAACAGAATATAGAACCCTTAGGGTCCTAAAGCTGAGTGGTAAATGAGAGCAAATAGCCATAAATTCATGGAAGAGCACTTACATGCCCTAAATATTATAGACTATTTTAGTGTGGTTTAAAATGATCATAAAACTAGAAATTCCTATTTTTATGTGTGAAAAAGTTATAATTCAAATGTTCAAGTTAGTAATATTCCAATATGTTATTTTAAATGAAAATACCAAGATGTTGGGTTTCATGTGTCATACCTGTTTCACAGTTCTCTAGGTGGAAGGCTCAAGTTGAAGAACCCATATAGCACACTAAAATATTAATTATGTGCCTTAGCTTAATTATTTAAACAAAAATATAAGAAGTATAATTCAAGTGAAAATTATAACATGATTTTTTTTTGACAGAGTCTCGCTCTGTTGCCCAGGCTGGAGTGCAGTGGTGTGATCTCGGCTCACTGCAAGCTCCGCCTCCTGGGTTCACGCCATTCTCCTGCCTCAGCCTCCCGAGTATCTGGGACTACAGGCACCCGCCACCACACCCGGCTAATTTTTTTTTTTTTGCATTTTTAGTAGAGACGGGGTCTCACTGTGTTAGCCAGGATGATCTCGATCTCCTGACCTCGTGATCTGCCTGCCTGGGCCTCCCAAAGCGCTGGGATTAGAGGCGTGAGCCACTGCGCCCAGCCTAACATGATTATTTCAAACAGAAAATAGACATGGTGATATAGACTATGAATCATTTCGACCAGTTAATTTCATATTGCATTTCTCTCTCCTATTCTGATGACTAGTGAGTAGCTATAGAGTTTTATTTCGTTTTGATCTTAGTGTGATTTTCAAAATGTAATTGTATCCCTATAGTCATTTACGTTGTTTTAGAGCACGTTTATTACTCTTCCACAGTAAAATATTTTTCCAAGTACTCTTAAAAATACTTTATTATGTTAGCTATCATGTAGTTCCATTCCTTAGTTATAATATCTAGTAAGATTTTACCACATGCATTTGTTACTTTACACACTTTTTGTTGTACATCTTGATTAATAAATTTAGTTGTGTTAATGAAGCCATTAAAAAAAGTAAAACCAAGTTTATTAGTTTTCCAGTGCTGTGTAATAGAATACTACAAGTTCAGTGGCTTAAAATATTCTCCCTACACTCATGTTCACACTAGTCCTATTTATGATAGCTAAGAGGTAGAAGAAACACAAATGTTCATAAACAGATGAATGAATAAAAAAAATTGTTATACTTATGCAATGGACTATTATTCAGCCTTAAAAGAGAAGGACATTCTGACACATGCTACAGAATAATACTTGAAGAGATTATGTTAAGTGAAACAAGCCAGTCACAAAAACAAATACTCTCTGATTCCATTTATATTAAGTAGCTAGCGTAGTCAAATTCACAGAAACAGGAAGTAGAATGGTGGTTGACAGAGGATTAGGGGAGGGGAGGAAATGATGATTTATTGTTTAATAAGTAGAGTTTCAACTTTCCAAGACAGAATTTCTGGAGAGTCGTTATATGACAATACAAATATTGAACTATACATTTTAAAATGATGAAGATGGTAAATTTTACATTATCTATTTTTAACCACAATTAAAAATAAAAATTTTTAAAACGCACCCTGCCTTTGGAAAGCCACTAGACTTCAGTGAGAATTCATTGTGCTTAATAACCTCAACTTTCTCTTTTATTTTATTTTCTAATGTTGCCATAGCAAATGGCATTTTAAAACTAGAGAAACAACACACAGATGCCATATATAAAAAGAGTAAAAGATTTGATCTCGTGAAAATTACACGTTTATATTACACATGACCCAGAAAGGTAAAAGGCAAAACCATAAATACATCTAAAGGACCAGTAAAAATTTCAAAGATTTTCAAATTAAAATCAAATAACATTTTTCACCAATCTGATTAGCAAAAATTAAAAGATTATGAACTCTAAATGTTGATGAAGTTGTGTGAGAAGGCATCACTGACTGTTGATGGAAGTATAAACATATGAATTATTTTGTAAGGCAACGTGGTAGTATTTGTTACAATCTTTAATGGGCATATGCTTTGATCCCGCACTCCTTCAAATCCATCCCAAATAAGTTTTCTTAAGTATGTCCCAAATCTCTTTGTAACCATATTTATTGTCAAGTGTTTATATTAAGAAAACTCTATACAAAGTAAAACCCAATACACTGGGTTTAACCTTGGGAGTAGGGTGGGAGCCAGGAAGAAAGGAGGTGTGCTTAAATAAATTACAAAATGTTTTCTTTCTACAGAATGTTGTGCTGCCATTAAAATGAATGGGGTAGATCTCTACATACTGACATAGAAAGGTCTCAATAACACTTGGGTGAACAGCTCAATTATAGAAAAACTCTTAGTTTGATCCCATTTTTCTTTTTTTAAAAAATGTAAGCATATAAATGTGTATATAAAGTTATAAAATAGATGGACTTTACTAACATTGCTTAACTCCATGGAGAAAAGTAGGCATTGAAGTATCATTAAAGGAAGACTTTCAAACTTTTTTAATATACTTTTCTATTGTTCAATATGGGCATTCATTTTCTATTGTTGCATTTGTATATAACTTGCATGCAAAAAGTAAACACTAATAATAAATAATAATTACGTATTTTTAAAAATTTATCCATCTATTATCTCATGGTTCTTTGGTAAGAAGTCCAAACATGACTTGACCAGATTCTCTGTTCAGGAACCCACAAGGCTAAACTCAAGGTATCATCCAGTTGCAGTTCTTACCTGGAGCTCAGGATCCTTTTCCAAGTTACATGGTTGTGGAAGGATTCAGTTCCTTGTAGTGGTAGCACTGAGGTTCCCATTTCCTTGCTGGTTGTCAGCCAAAAGGCCACTCTCAGTTCTAGAGGCTGCATATTTCTTGTCACATAGCCCCCACGAAGAGTTTGAAGAGTTTGTGAGATGGAGGTTTTCTTTCCTCTAGGCTACCTGGAATGTATCACTCACATTTCTTTCTCTGCAACCACCCTAACTAAACTCTCTGCAGTTAGTGGCTAGCATAATTAGGTCGGGTTCATCCATGATAATCTCCCTGTCTTAAAATTAGCTGTGTGTGCCATATTGCATAAACTGATTGTATTAGTATGTTCTCATGCTGCTAATAACGACATACTCGAGGTTGAGTAATTTATAAAGGAAAGAGGTTTAATTGACTCACAGTTCACATGACTAGGGAGGCCTTGCAAGCATGGAAGAAGGTGAAGAGGAAAAAAGACACATCTTATGTGGCAGTAGGCAAGTGAACATGTGCAGGGGATCTCCCCTTTGTAAAACCATCAGATCTCATGAGACTTATTCACTATCATGAGAACAGCATGGCAAAAAAATTGCCCCCATGATTCAATTACCTCCCACTGGGACCCTCCCATGACACACGGAAATTATTACAATTCAAGGTGAGATTTGGTGGGGACACAGAGCCAAACCATATTATTTTACCCCTGGCCCCCCACCAAAAGCCTCATGTCCTCACATTTCAAAAGCAATCATGCCTCCCCAACAGTCCTTCAAAGTCTTAACTCATTTCAGCATTAACTCAAAAGTCCATGATCCAAAGTCTCATCTGAAACAAGACAAGTCCCTTCCACCCATGAGCCTATAAAATCAAAAGCAAATTGGTTACTTTCTAGATACAACGGTAGATGGTAGTACAGGCATTGGATAAATGTTCCCATTCCAAATGGGAGAAATTGGCCAAAACCAAGGGGCTACAGGCCCCACGCAAGTCTGAAATCCAGTGGGGCAGTCAAAACTTAAAACTCCAAAATGATCTCCTCTGACTCCATGTCTCACATCCAGGTCATGCTGATGAAAGAAGTGGGTTTCCATGACCTTGGGCATCTCCACCCGTGTAGTTTTGCAGGGTACCTCCCCACTCCTAGCTGCTTTTACAGCTGGCGTTGAGTGTCTGTGGCTTTTCAGGAGCATGTGCAAGCTGTCAGTGGATCTACCATTGTGGGGTCTGGAGGATGGTGGCCCTCTTTTCACAACCCTACTAGGCAGTGCCCCAGTGGGGACTCTGTGTGGGGGCTCCAACCCCACATTTTCTTTTAGCACTGCCCTAGCAGAGGTTCTCTATGAGGGCCCCACCCCTGCAGAACACTTCTGCCTGGACATCTGTGCATTAGCATACATCCTCTGAAAGCTAGGCAGAGGTTCCCAAACCTCAGTTTTTTCTTCTGTGCCCCCAGAGGCCCAAAACCACATGGAAGCTTCCAAGGCTTGGGGCTTGCACCTTCAGAAGCCACGGCACAACCTGTACCTTGGCACCTCTTAGCCATGGCTGGAGCAGCTGAGACACAGGGCACCAAGTCCCTAGGTTGCACCCAGCAGGGGGACCCTGTACCTGACCCACTGATCCATTTTTGCCTCTTAGGCCTCCAGGACTGTAATGAGAGGGGCTGCCATCAAGGTCTCTGACATGCTCTGCAGACATTTTCCCCATTTTACTGGTGATTAACATTCTTCTCCTTGTTGCTTATGCAAATTTCTGCAGCAGGCTTGAATTTCTCCACAGAAAATGGGATTTTCTTTTCTACTGCATCGTGAGGCTGCAAATTTTTCAAACTTTTATGCTTTGCTTCCTCTTGAACACTTTGTCACTTAGAAATTTCTTTCATCTGATACCCTAAATCATCTCTCTCATGTTCAAAGTTCCACAGAACTCTAGGGCAGGGGCAAAATGCCCCTACATAGGATAGCAAGAGTGAACTTCACTCTAGTCCCCAACAATTTCCTCATATTTTTCTGAGACCACCTCAGCCTGTAATTTATTGTCTATATCACTATCAGCATTTTCGTCAAAGCCATTTAACGAGTCTCTAGGAAGTTCCAAACTTTCCCACATTTTCCTATCTTCTTCTTAGCTCTCCAAACTATTGCAACCTCTGCCTGTTGCCCAGTTCCAAAGTCGCTTCCACATTTTCAGGTATCTTTACAGCAGCACCTCACTCCTGGTACCAATTTACTGTATTAGTCTGTTCTCATGCTGCTAATAAAGACATGACAGAGACTGGGTAATTTATAAAGGGAGGAGGTTTAATTGACTCACAGATCCACATGGCTGGGAAGGCTTACAATCACAGGAGAAGGTGAAGGGGAAGCAAGACACATCTTACATGGAAGCAGTCAAGGAAGCATATGCAGGGGAACTCCTCTTTATAAAACCATCAGATCTCATGAACTTATTCACTATCATGAGACCAGCACAGGAAAAAAAACCATTATTCAATTACCTCCCACCAGGTCCCTCCTATGACACATGGGGGTTATTACAATTCAAAGTGAGATTTGGGTGGGGACACAGAGCCAAACCATATCACTAATTATTAACCAGGAGAGAGAAATCCATCACATTTGTATCCTTAAGAATGATGCAGTACATGTACACCAGAGTGCAGAGATTTGGGGAATCAACTTAGAATTGTTCCTATTCCACATGCATTTTTATCAAGTGCAACTTACCTTTTATAGTCTAAGCCACAATATAGTTTTTTCATCTATATAAATTATATTCTGGTGTTTCTATATGTTATTATAGATTTCTCTCTGCATTGCATTTACTCGAATATATCATAGTAGCACTTACCACGGAATCCCACATTTAGAAGTTTTTCAACTTTGAGAATTAAATAGTAGCTGAGTGAGTAGAGTATACAATATAAACAAAAGTAGTTTATGACTTAGAATTAAAGGAAGACATATTAAAAGAATTTTCTTCAGGCTAAGAATTATTAGTGCCCAAATTGACTAAAAGGTTATGAATAAAAATATAACAACTTGGTGACTTATCTGGTAGAAAAAAAAGTATATATTTAACCAAGAAAGCTGCATTAAACCATTAACAGAAAGTAATGCAGATGTTCTTGTAAGGACAAAACAGGACTGGCTAGTCAAACCTGAGGCTAAGATGGGTCTGTGGGGTTCTTCTCTGTAGACCTAGAAGGCAGCATCAGAAATGTGTTGCTGGCTTTTGCAGGTGTTGCTAGAGTAGAATCTGGTTTGGCATATTTAATAAGATAGGCTTGTAAGTGCAATAGTTGACTTTTAACTGGCAACAGCTACCAAAACCACATACTATCTGTGAAATCAAATGTATTTATGAAGTTTGACTTCAAATTGCCTAGGCTATAAAATCCAAGAGTTTTCCTGTAGCAACCTAGACAGGAAAGCAAGTGGCAAGAGGATTATAGCAAATAGGAACAAATACATGGAAAAAGTACTCCCCTTTGATTGAAGAGTCACTGTCTGAAAAAGGCAAATTTCAGTTTCAACAAGCAAACGTTGTTTGAGAATCCATGGAGGAAGATTTTCAGATTTAGTGAAGATGGTAGGGTGGAAAGACTTAATTTCCTTCTTGAGAACAGGAGAGTGGCCAATAGTGAGGCTACTTACAGAACTCATTAAATATGCTGACCTAATAATTAATTCCCTATGGTGTTAAAAGAGAAGCACTAACAATGCCAGTGACCTGTGTAAAAAGGATTAAGGCTACAAGTAATATAACTATCACTAAAAGTGTCAGTACCATACAGCAGAGTGTGAAGATAAGCTTTTTCTCTCATTATTAGCTTTCCCAGGTACACTTTTTGAAAAATAGAAAAAAAAAATAGTCCTAGTGGTCAGGATTTTTATACCTTTTCTACTTTGAGGTAGTTTCAGTGATTCTTAGTTAATTAGCCTAGTAATGGCCAAGAATACTTGACTTAAGGCTAAATAAACAGTTACAAATATGAAATGTCCTCAATTTTTAAGACAAAAAACTTGTAAATGTATGTCTGTAAAAATTGTACATATTTTTATAGAAAGTTTATTTATTTGGAAAAAGGAGGGGAGTCTCAAATTTACATTATTTTTTTCATAACCTTTGGAACTTTGCAACTTCTGTAAAATAAGAGTTGA
The DNA here is from genome assembly GCF_000001405.40 of Homo sapiens. NCBI lineage: Eukaryota > Metazoa > Chordata > Mammalia > Primates > Hominidae > Homo > Homo sapiens. The sequence goes on along the minus strand of NC_000004.12, from coordinate 170,813,459 downwards.
AATTACATTTTTTATAAGTGTATCTCAAATACTGTAAAACAAATTTTCAGATTATAAGTTTTAAACCATTATGCAACTAACCATTTTTAAAATGAACAAGAGAAAAATCTTACAAAATGTAACTCAAAATACACTACGAATTGCTAAATGTATAATCTTCTAAAAAAAGTACTTATTCTGAAAATGAAAAAGCCATGACATAGACAATGACTTGGAAAATGAGAAGGAATAGACTCTGCATTTGCTATTTTCTGAATTTTCCTAATGTTGCAGATTTTTTGGCAGAAGTTAATGTTATTTGGGACTAAGGTTTAAAATGTTAAAATGGGAAATATTATATTGAGCCACTACTTGTTTAATCAACACTGGCTACTCATTGCTTTTCCAAATGTATACATTTAAAAAATAAATGACACAATGCATATAGATTAATACTAAATGTCATTTAAAATCAACTTGAGTCTTCCTTGTGCATTGGTAGTAGATATTGTGAGGTGGTGAGTCTCCTGCTCTCTCTCCAGAGAGAAAAGAAAAGTAGTTTTTCTCCAAACTTGGGAATGTTGGTTTAGTAATTTCTCTCTCAATGAACATAGTGGCCAGAAGAGAGATTGACTACTGCATTTTGAATATGTATATTACATTTTAGACAAACTTGAGAAAGCCAGACATCTATGGGGAAAGGAGATGAATACTATCTAACCTCTAGAGTCAGTTAGAATTCATACAATTTCAAAACCTTCCCACTGACAAAAACTATAAGTGTGAAAGTGAATTTCCTTTGTTTAGTATTAAAAAAAAATGTGTTCTTTAAGATAATTATCAGAATATTTTCTACTATTGTCAAACTTTCTGATTTGCTCCTGACCTCTTGCTTCATGGCCTTAGCATTGGTTATTCCTAAGCATAAAATGGCCTTCTCCCAGAAATCCACATGGTTCATTTTCTCCAGCCCTCTACACTTTGCTCAAATGTTTTAAGACTATGTATATTTATGTTATTCTGTTCATTCCACAGGGTTAGAGAATATACACAGCATACACTTTGATGGAATTACCATGAAGCAATGGATTTAACTTAGCTTCTTGTTCATGCTTGCCAAGAATGAAACGGAGCATTCTCTCCAAATTACATAAAAAGTATAGGTAATTTCCTAGTTCTAGGTTATTTGCATATGTAAGATACTCCTATGGAAGCATAAGTATAAAAAATATTTGAGATATAATTAATCTTCATAGGATAAGTAATAGTTTTGAATGGATGATTCAGAAGTTTTAGGACATGCTGTCAACTTTTAAAATTGAAATTAGCTATATCATTTTATATAATTTACTATTGTTTCTTTTCTTCCTCAGAGTTCACTTAAGAAACACTTAGTTGGAAAATGACCCCTTGAAACCATTGTTCTTGAGTGTCAGAATTAAACTCCAAAATGTCATTATTATGTTCAAACTTCATATGACCTGATCTAGGTAATTTTAAATGTTCTTTATTAGATATTAAATACTATAGTGTATAAAACAAAATCTAAAAGAATTGAGCTTCGTAATTTAGAAATAATAGATTAACACAAATGTTTTACCTTTTCATTACAGAATCTTCAAACACATATGAAATACAGAAAATAGTATGATAAACCACTATACATCACCACCTAATTCAATAATTATCAACTAGTCAATCTTATCCTTTGGTTATTTTGAAATAAATCTTAGACATACCATTCAACTGGCAGAAATTTAAAATATAATAATAGCAAACATGCAAGAAAAATTTTCAATTACGTTTTATATTTCTAAATGTAAAACAAGAATGCATAGCAGCAAGCACAGAGAATATTCAAGAAAAACTAACTCATTTCAATCACTCTTAAAATGCATATTATATCATTAATTTAATTTTTTCTGCAAACTAAAACTCATTACTACAATATCTATATTTATGTCCCCAGTAGTCAAACAGAATATACAGGACAATTAATTCTTTACCTTGTTGTTTTTCTTTCATTAAATGTTTCAGTTATCTGTTATTGTATAACAAACGCCACCAATACTTAGTATTTTTAACATATAATAATGTACTATTCCTCATTATTTTATAAATTGACTAATCTGTTTTCTGCCAGTCTTGCCTGAGGTCTTTCATGAAGCTGCATGGAGGTGTCCAGATAGAACTGGGGTTGGAAAACTCTCTTAAGGGCTGGAAAGTTAATACTCTCATCGTTGCAGGCCCTGTGGTCTCTCTTTTAACTACTTAACTGTGATTTTTAGCTGCAGGCAGCCATAGACAGTATGTAAATGAATGAACATTGCTGTGCTATAATAAAACTTTATTTACAGAAACAAGTGGTGAACCAGATTTGGTCCAACCGCTATATTTCACAAGCTCCTACCTTAGAGTATTAATGATTTATTCATTTAACAAACTTATATAAAATTTGACTATATATATATATATATATATATATACACACACACATATACATATGTATATATACACCTCACTGTTGTACTGACTGGTCAAATTTTATATGTATATTTATATAAAATTTTATATATATTATATATAATTTTATATATGTTACATATAAATATATATTATAAATTATATATGTTATATGTAAATATATATTTTATATATGTTGTGTGTGTGTGTGTGTGTGTGTGTATATATAATTGGACCAATCAGTACAGCAACAGTCAGGTATCAGGAGAGTTACTCCCTTTACACTTAGTTGTATATCTGTGGAATACGACTTGAAGCTGACCTGAGACTTAGGTCATATCTTATTTATAATTGAATTATTTACAATATGTAGTACAAGAGGGCTGCCACTTTGCGTAAATCTAATAATATCTTGCTTACATTTTCGTGAGTTAAGTGTAATGAACTGTGATTGAATAAAATATTTTTATATCATGCCAGCCTAACAAATAATTTGTTAATGAAGACATTATTTTTATATATTTTATTGTAAACATTTTTAAATATTGTATTCTAAGTTGTTAGATTATGTCGTACTTAAATGTTAATGACTGTATATTCTGTGAAATAAAATTTTTATCAATGTAAAACAGCCAATTATGGCACTTTTGAAAATTTCTTGCTTGAATGAGGAAAGGATTCCCTATTTAATAAATGGTGCTGGGAAAACTGGCTAGCCACATGTAGAAAGCTGAAACTGGATCCCTTCCTTACATCATACACAAAAATTAACTCAAGATGGACTAAAGACTTAAACGTAAGACCTAACACCATAAAAACCCTAGAAGAAAACCTAGGCAATACCATTCAGGACATACGCATGGACAAAGACTTCATGACTAAAACACCAAAAGCAATGGCAACAAAAGCCAAAATAGAAAAATGGGATCTAATTAAGCCAAAGAGCTTCTGCACAGCAAAAGAAACTATCATAAGAGTGAAAAGGCAACCTACAGAATAGGAGAAAAATTTTGCAATCTACCCAACTGACAAAGGGCTAATATCCAGAATCTACAAAGAACTTAAACAAGTTTGTAAGGAAAAAACAAACAACCCCATCAAAAACTGGACAAAGGATATGAACAGACACTTCTCAAAAGAAGACATTTAAGCAGCTGACAGACATATGCAAAAATGCTCATCATCACTGGTCATCAGAGAAATTCAAATCAAAACTACAATGAGATATCATCTCATGCCAGTTAGAATGGCAATCATTAAAAATCAGGAAACAACAGATGCCGGAGAGGATGTGGAGGACTAGGAATGCTTTTACACTGTTGGTGGGAGTGTAAATTGGTTAAACCATTGTGGAAGACAGTGTGGCGATTCTTCAAGGATCTAGAACTAGAAATACCATTTAACGCAGAGATCCCATTACTGGGTATATACCCAAAGTATTATAAATCATGCTACTATAAAGACACATGCACACGTATGTTTATTGCGGCACTATTCACAATAGCAAAGACTTGGAACCAAGCCAAATGTCCAACAATGATAGACTGGATTAAGAAAATGTGGCCCATATACACCATGGAATACTATGCAGCCATGAAAAATGATGAGTTCATATCCTTTGTAGGGACATGGATGAAGCTGGAAACCATCATTCTCAGCAAACTATCACAAGGACAGAAAACCCAACGCTGCATTTTCTCACTCATAGGCAGGAGTTGAACAATGAGAACACATGGACACAGGGTGGGGGACATCACACACCAGGGCCTGTCTTGGGGTGGGGGTTGGGGGAGGGATAGCATTAGGGTAAATACCTAATGTAAATGATGAGTTGATGGGTGCAGCAAACCAGCATGGCACATGTATCTCTATGTAACAAACCTGCACGCTGTGCACATGTACCCTAGAATGTAAAGTATAATAAAAAAAAATCCACAAATGGAAAAGACCAAATTAACTTGCATGAGAAAAATCTCAGGGAGGCTCAAGACCATATTTAAATATTGCAGAAATTTAAAGGAACGAGAATAAGTTAAAATTATTTTCTACAATTCCATTTTAAAGACTCAAAATCATAAAAGTTTCCATATAATAAATAAAACTAAATGTGCCCTCTTAAAAAAAAAAGAAAATTTCTTGCTTGAATATTTATTCCATTTTAAATTATTATTTTGGAACAGTAGGTATGTTTATGATAATATTGAAGTATTGATTAAACCAATGCATTAAAAATAACCATAATTGAATCAAGAATCAACAGAAAATTTTTGCTTTGCTTTGTTTTGTTTTCAAGTGAACTTTATTCCTATCTTCATTTTACAGATGAAGACAATAGAGGCTTACAGAGTTTAAGTAACTTGTCCCAAAGTCACACAGCCCATGATGGGGAGCCTGTCTCTATGTCCGGATGGACCTGGCTCTGAAGCCACACATTACCGCCTCTCACAAGTTCCATCAAGGTGAATTCAAATACTCAGACTTCCACTTAATAGATCATTACACTAGTTATAGCTGCCACTCACCCCCAGAAAGTAGCTCCAAACAGAGGAATGTTTAGATGCTTTCATTAGTTCTCTTTTATTTTCTTCAACTTTTATTTTACCTTCCAGGGTACATGTACAGGATGTGCAAGTTTGTTACATTAGGTAAACGTGTGCCATGGTGTTTTGCTGCACAGATCCCGTCACCTAGGTATTAAGCCCAGTATCCATTAGCTATTCTTCCTGATGCTCTCTCTCCCCAAATGCCCCCACAATAGGCTCCAGTGTGTGTTGTTCCCCTCCATGTGCCTATGTGTTCTCATCATTCAGTTCCCACTTATAAGGGGGAACATTCAGTTTGTTTTTTTTTTTTTGTTTCTGCATTAGTTTGCTGAGGATAATGGTTTCCAGCTCCATCCATGTCCCTGCAAAAAACATGATTTCATTGCTATTTATGGCTGCATAGTATTCCATGGTATATATGTACCACATTTTCTTGATCCAGTCTATCATTTATGGGCATTTGTGTTGATTCCTTGTCTTTGCTACTGTGAATAGTGCTGCAATGAACATACGCATGCGTGTATCCTTATAATAGAATGATTTATAATCCTTTGGGTATATACTCAGTAATGGGATTGCTGGATCAAATGGTATTTCTCCCTATAGGACTTTGAGGAATTGCCACACTGTCTTCCACAATGGTTGAACTAATTTACACTCCCACCAACAGTGTAAAAGCATTTCTTTTTCTCCACAACCTCACCAGCATCTGTTGTTTTTTCACTTTTTATTAAATGTCATTCCTGGCGTGAGATGTTATCTCATTGTGGTTTTGATTGACATTTCTCTAATGATCAGTGATGTTGCACTCTTTTTCATGTTTTCCAGCCACATATATGTCTCCTTTTGAGAAGTGTTTAGCAAACATGCTAAAACCTCAAAATTCTGAGTGCCTCTTCTCCAAATAATCACAACACTTCGCCAGCAATGGCACAGAACTTTGCTGAGGCTAAAATGGCTGAACTGACAGAAGTGGGCTTCAGAAGATGGGTAATAACAAACTTTGCTGAGCTAAAGGAACATGCAAAGGAGCTAAGAACCATGATAAAACAATACAGGAGCTGATAGCCAGAATAGCCAGTTTAGAGAGGAACACCAATCTGATAAAGCTGAAAAACACAACACAAGAATTTCACAATGCAATCACAAGCATCAGTAGAAGAATAGAGGAAATGGAGGAAAGAATCTCAGAGCTTGAAGATTATCTTTCTGAAATAAGACAGGCATACAAGAATTAAAAAAAAATAAACAGGAGTGAACAAAACCTCCAAGAAATATGGGTTATGTAAAGAGACCAAATTTATGACTGATTGAGGTTCCCGAAAGAGTTGGGGAGAATGCAACCAGTATGGAAAGCATACTTCAGGATATCATCCAGAGGAACTTCCCCAACCTAGCAAGACAGGCCAACGTTCAAATTCAGGAAATGCAGAGAACCCCAGTAAGATACTCCATGAGAAGATCAACCTCAAGACACATAATCATGAGATTCTCCAAGGTCTAAATGAAAGAAAAAAAGTTAAGGTCCGCCAGAGAGAAAGACCAGGTCACCCACAAAGGAAAATTTTAATAGTCTAATAAAACTTAAAGACACTGTAATTTTTAAGAGTATATATGGTAATAATTGTAGACTGTAATAATATAGAGAGGGGATTCTTTTAAAGTATCAATGAATAAATAAAATTCAATAAATGATTTTTAAAATTTTAGAATGATATGAAGTATTCCAGATTGTTAAAACAAAAGTTGAGAAGTGACTCACATATTTCATAAATTCAAAATGGCATTTTTTTACATTTTTTGTTTTTTAATAAATCTTGCCTGAATCCATACTTTTATATTTACTTATATGCTTTAACAGATCCCATTTGTCAGACAGCAATTAACACATAGCTATGATTACTTACACACAAATTTGGTCACAGCTGTTTATATTATTGTAACTTCAATTCAGTTATGTGCATAGTATATAAAAAGTCTGATCTCTCAAGAGAAGGGACTTCACCAGCATACGGAACTCTCAAAGAAACATGAAAGGGGAAATATTTCCTTCATATGAAAATATTTTTTTCTCAGAGCTCAGGGAATATGAAAGAGAAATGAAGTTGGTTAAAATTCATCTTGACTGGGTATCTGAGACATCTATTTAACCCAGCAAGTACTTTAGCTTTTGATGTACTGCATGAACATGTATCTGAACAACTAAAGAAATAACCTTGCCAAAATAGAGTGACTTGATTATCATTCGTTATAACATAAGTGTAAAACCAATAATCCTTGTCATTTCAGTCAACAAACATTTTAGGGGACCACTTGAAGAGAAAACATAAAAATATTTTGTTTATAACTTCTGATAAGATCCAAAATGGACCCACATCAAAATTTGCAGAATGAGTGTCATAAATTGAAAGGAAAAAGCACAAAAGATAGTGAAGCATTGCATTGCTTAAGCAATCCAGAATCACTAAGACAGATGGATGACATTGTAATCTGTGAAATAAAGTTGTCAATATCTCTGAGTTGAGAAGTAATTCAGAAGGTTCTGAATCTAAAACTGAATATAGAAATTATTTATGCATAATTTAATAATTAAAAGTATTTAGGAATAATTTAACCACATTATTTTGTGTGTATTTAACATATAATACCTCCTAACGTTTATAATCAAATAGAGCATTTTAGAATTCAGATAATCTGATAAGTAACACTTAAATCTTCTTTACAGTTTATTTTGGCTTTAGCTATACCTTTATAACAATGTACAATGAAAGAACAGTATTCAAGGCTACATAATGAAACAGGAGAAGTTCCCTCATCATCCTTGCAGGGCGTGTGATGGGGTGTGTCCTGCCTCTTAGGTGCCCTTCTGCTCAGACCCCTAGCGGGAGCATGCAGACGGGCAGGTCATGGGGAGGGAGCGTTTTTGGGCTCCGACTCCGTGGCAGCATCTAGAGTTGAGTGTTTACAGCTCCCGAAGCCCCAGTGGGCATGTGTTAACAGTGTACTCTTTTTTTGCCCTCTGCAGGTGGCTTGTGTTAATCAGCTTAACTAGACCCTCTGCCTTATTGCCAAGCACAGAGGGCTTTCTGTATCCCAGGTTCTTACCTGGTGTACTGGAAAAATAGGATTTGGAGGATGGGTGCAAGATCTTATTGAGTGGAGGTAGCTCTCATTGAGGTGGATGGGAGGCCAGAAGAGAGATGGGTTAGAAAGGTGGTCTTCCTCTGAAATCTGGCTGCCCAGCGGCTGGACTCTCCCCTGATTGCTTCTGGCCAAATTCTACGCCTCCCACCGTCAATGGCCTGCCAGCATCTACCGGTGCCTGTCGGTGTGCTCTACCGCTCCTCTGCTCCTCTGGATGTCCAGCTGCCTGTGTATGTGCCTGCTAGGGTCTCGGGGTTTTTATAGGCACAGAGTGGGGGGCATGGCGGGCGACAGTGGTCTTGGAAAATGCAACATTTGGGTGCGAAAGCAAGAGTGCTTGTCCTCACTTAGGTCCATGGGTACAGGCCTGAGGGTGGAGCCCTCGCCAGGGACCTTGCCTTTCTCTACCCAGCACTTCTCCGCCACCCCTCCCATATCATTAACATATAATTTTGTGATAGCAATTTGATAAACTATTAGAGTTTTCTTGTATTTGATTTTAAAATCTGAGTTTTTAATTTATAGTTTATTATGTATTTTTGAATATATGAATCTTTGATTTAACATGCTCTAATTTTCAAATCAGAAGAAATAACATAAAAAGATATGCTTAGAAAAGTCTTACTTGCATTTCTATTCTTCCCATTGAACTTCTACTCTACATATATTCTGGGAATCTCTGATTATTGGTTCACAGAAATCTTCCTCATTCTTATTTATATTTGCATACTACTCCATTACAAAAATGACCCTAATAAATTCAACTTGTATCCTGTGGATGGGAGTTTGGATTGTTTCCAACATTTTGCTATTGTATGTAATGTCACAATTAATGCATTTTTTTCATTTATTCAACTCTACACCTCTACGAATAAAAGTTGTATTTATAGTACATTTTTTAAGGTGAAATCCTTGGGTCAAAGGAAACGTCAGTATATATTTTTATTAGATATTGCTAAATGCCGTTCAGCAGCTCGTGATAATGCCTTTCTCTGTAGGTTCTCCAATTGAGTGTAGTGTCAAATTTTTAAAATTTTTACTTGTATGATACATGAAAAGTAGTATTTCAGTGAAGTCTTAATTTTTTTTAATGCTTAAGGACATATGTAAACTTTTGTCTTGGAATCTTATTTTTATGTCTTTTGCTCATGTTTCTACCTGATTTGTATTTCTATTCTCATCTAAACTTTAATAATTATTCATCAGTTTCATACAAATTTCAATATTTTCTTACAGTTTTCATTTGCCTTTTGACTCTATGTGATTCTCTTGATATATTAGAGGGAAGATATTTTCCCTTCTTTCACTATATCTGCTTCACTAGATTCAACAAAACAGAAAAGATCCAGAAAAGGAAGGAAAGGGTGAGTTAAATTAATCGGTCATCATCTCCTGTTCAACACTGAGAAAAGCAAAGGGAAATTAATTTTCAACATGATCTGAATTGAAGTTATAAATGAGACCAAACAAGATAGAAAATGCTTTTAACTGAAAATAACTAAAAGGTCACATTTTAACCCAGAGTATTATTGGTGAGTGGAAAAGAAGGCTCAGGGAGCATGTTTGAAAGCATGAATAAGGTGCAGAGAAAAAGAAATGAATAACAATAAATGAGAAAACACTCAGTTTGGTAATGTACAAATTGCAAACTGTTTATAAACTACATTATATAGTGATATACAGAGAGAGGAATTTTAATTAAATTACACAAAAAGTAATGTCTTTCCTTCAATGAATAGAATGCATGCACTTTTTATCTTTAGTTACTTTTGTCTACACTTTCATTAGATGAATTACAATGCGCTTGCATCATTTAATGGTCACACACAAAAAAGCATTAAAGTATTAGTCAAGTCAAATACAAAGCTATAACTCAAGGTGGTCATATGAAATATGACAATGCTGGTGTTATGTTTATATAATTTGTACTAGTCATATATCCCCATGTGTTTAATAAAAATAATGCTCTTAAAAATTATCAAATTGGCCTAGGTGATAGAAATAAATTGCTTTCTACTCCATAGTGGAAACCATATTGGTTATAAAGACATATTAGTTTTATAATTTATCCACTAAATTGTTAAATATATTTCAAGAAGAAAGTCTAAGTTTCTATAGGTACTCCGAAACTCACATATTAATAAAGTTTAAATATATATATAATTTCAACTATTATATATATATATGCAAGCCATATAAATTTAGTGAATGTGGAAGACATGAGTCAGCTACCACTGTTGCTGGTAAAGGGCATACTATAATATGTATACCTAGAATCATAAAGCCTATATAATATATGATGAAAGCAGAAGAGTTGATTGTTTAGTATATTGTAAATGTATCATATAAAGAAAAAGCCATACAATATTCAATGTAATTGTAGAAGTCTTTCAAAATATTTATTAATATAAATAATCCTTCTAAAAAGTGATGGCTTGAACATTTTCTTTTTAGCAAAAGAGAGTTTATAAATTACATTGTAATATCACTTTGGAATTCATCAAATTCTTCTCTGAATAAGAGTTATCTTAATCAGTACTGATTAAATTACCCTAATTTTTAATAAAGACCACAGACATGAAACAGTTATGGAAAGAGACAGTAAATGGTAAGCCAAAGGGGTCCTTAAATTACTATCAGAAGTAACCCCAAACATTTCATGTTCAAAGAATTATCTAATAATATAGCATGGTAGGTGGTAAATGAGCTAATAAAGTAAGTAATATAATTCCATGTTGGAGTCCAAACACAAGTGTTAAAATAACATTTAACATTAAAATTGCAGTAATTTATATAAAATGCTTGTCAGGAAGAGATCATATTGTGTTATAACAGAAATTATAGCAGGAATAATCTCATTATTTGTGTGATTCAGGTAGTTTGAAATTCTAGATACAATATTTGGAAAATGTAAAATTTATATGTACAAAATTTTGTATTATAATGCAAGGCTGCAAAGGTAAAGTGTATCACGAGCTAGTTCATTTGTCATCTGAATGCTTACCAAGGTACCATAGTTAATGAAAATAATTAAGGCCCAAATTCAACTTATTCCAATTTAAGTATACTTTTTATTTGGCCAGTGACTTTTAGTCACATTTAGTAAAAAATTGTCAAGTATTCCTCATTTTTTTCCTCAGTCTCAAAACATATCCACCTGGTCATTTTTACTAAAACGTTTTAGTACTGTGTCCAGCTGTGGACATTTCTCAAGGTTTGGTTACAGCCTTCTGCTTTTTTCTACTGTATTTCTATCCAAGTGAACTTGGTATTCATGTCTTCAGAAAACTCTTCCCAGTCTTCATGACAAAGTCAAAACTCCCCTATAATGTGCTTTCTAACATCATGAACCTCTCCTTTATAAGCATATTTGCAATTGTAATTTTATATCTCTTCTCTGTGTGGGTTATTTACTGCTCATTTCACTCACCAAATTTAAATTCCACCGTGGCAGTAACTATGTCTGCTCTTCTTTAGTTTTTCATTCCTATTATATAGCATAATTCCTTGTGCACGGGAGATAGCCAAGAAATACCTGCTGAAACCATGAATAACTGAACAATGAGTCCTTTTTCTTAAGTCATTCACATCTGTTAGTGACACCTCAACTTTCCCTTTTTTCATATTTGAAGGACATAAAGTTATCCGTTTATTTTCCCCATTTCACTTCCCATTTGAAATTGTCACTTAATATATTTGTTCTTCAGAAAGCCTGCAGCAACTTTTAGCCTTCACATCACTTTTATTCTTCTTGTTACTACAAGCATATTATTTACAGTATTTTATTTACTTATTCTAGCAAACACCCCTCAGTGTTGGATTATTGTAGTAGGCTCCTAAATAATCTTTCTCTCCCTTCCCTCTCTTCTTTGGATTAAATATGATATTTTATATCTGCTGCCATCAATTCAATTTTTAATCTGTTACTTACCAAACAATGGACAAACAACTTCACTTATAAGTTACATTGTAGTATGCGGTATGTAACTCACCTAATTTATGATTTCTTCACAACTTATACCTCTTCCTCAATAGATTTTTGTCCTCTCCTTATTTGCCATATCCTATGGTCTTTTGCCTCTATTTATCATGCCCAATCAGCTCAAAATCATTTCTGCTCTCTGCAATACTTTTTTCTATGATATTTTTTAACCATTATAAACCATGATATTTATGAATTATCACAATATGTTTCAAAAAAAATGAATTGTTTGAATTCTTTTAAAAAGTGTTAAGGAGAAAAAGTCTAGTTGTTTAATGTGTTGGCTATATGTAATAGGGAGGTGAAACACTAAATAGAATTTATCTTAAGAAATATTGTAATCAATCATGAAACTTAAGAAAGAAATTGTATGTGTAAGCAAGCATTTACTATTCAGTCAAATAGTTCATAAATAGTAATAAAGTAACATTAGTAAATTTCATCCAGTGTTTGATATTTAGAAAGTGATGCTGATGTTAATATTTCTAATTCAATCATTAGATGTTTGTTAATCATATAAATCCAGTGTTTGATGATGGATAAGAGTACTCACTTTTAAGAAAGGAGCAATTTTTACTAAATTTGCAAAGAAATCTCCTCCTTGGAATTCATGCACACCTCTGGCTAAAGGCTAGAGGCTCCACTATTTTAAAACAAATGATTTGTTAGAAATATTTAACTTTGCTAGCAGAAGCTTGTTTTTAAATACTAGTCACACAAATATACAATCAATAATTATTATATAATGTAACTCAACAAATTAAATTTATATGGGAGGTCATGAAGTTTTCTTAAAGTGAATTGTGTCTGTCGTTTATTAAAAGTATACTCTGATTAAGCCCTTTGATGAATTTTATTAAGTTACTTCAGTTTACTTGAATGACATTAAAGAATTTGAAGTCATGCATGTTGATTACTTAACCTTGTTCATTTACAACATATTTTGATGTGCATCAGTACTAAACTAATCTGAAATTGTAAAAATGACTATAAAAATCACATTAGCAGAGTAACTCATTAAATTTTAGAACTCCACTCATTTCTTCTTAATGGTGATAATAATCTCTGTACTTAATCAGTTTTATAATTTCTATTTTATTATCCAAAATGTACATGCTCATCAAAAAATACAAACAACTTGAAGGAAAAGGGTAAAACACTTCTGAAGGCTATTTTTCCATGATATAATTCAAAATTTTGAGCTATAAATTAACTCACTGCTCTCACTTTCTAATATTTATGAAGGAGAAGTAAAAGTAATCAGTATTCATTATTATATTCATACACACACATAGTGATTATTTATCTTTGATTACCTTGGTATTATTTCAGCTTTTTGTTCTTTATTATTTCTTATAACACATACCTTCTCCTGGAGTAACTTCCTGCTACCTAAAACACATCCTTTATAATTCCCTTTACTGTGGGTCTCCTGGTAGTGAGCTCTCTTAGTTTATGTCAATGCCATTGTTCCTCCAAATATTGTCACCAATTATAGAATTCTAGGTAGGCAAATTTATTTCTTCCAGCAGATTGAAGATATTTTACTGTCTCCTGGCCGTCAGATGTCGGCCAAGTGAAGGTAATTGTTTTGGTCTGCTTTTATGTTTTTCTCTTTATCTTCAATTTTTCTGGATGTCAATTAAATTTGTGGGTTTCTTCTTGTTATCTCATTGATATGTTGTTTTTCAGTTTTATTCATTTGTTTGCTTGTTTGTGTTTAAACATACACTCCATTGGCTAATTCCAGTAACTTAGCATGCCTCTATTAGAAAAAGAAAGACCATTTGTCTTTTGTTCATGATTTTTAAGTCCTGTTTTGGTATATATAGAAGAATTTAAATCCCATCAATAGTATATTTCTATAGGTATAAAAATAATAGTTGTACTTGTTTATTTGCTTTCAAAAGAATCATGCTTCCCCAGATTACTGAAAATTTGATTGTCACATTTCAAACTTGAAATTACTATACAATATGGGAAAGTATTTCCAAAGATATGTAATGAATTTACTACAGCTTATCACACTTAATTTTGTACTTGTTTTTATGTACCTCAAAATTTAATGGTAAAATACTTGATTAGTTTATATTACAGTTTGAATTTATTTTTTTGATCTCAACATTTGATTAATGTTTTTCTTTGAGCTAACAAGATTACTAAAAGTTGTATTATATTTTAGGTAGAAAACTGCAATGTATACTTCAGGTAGAAAGTAACCATGCAACTTTAAAAATTATCTTTATGCCTAATTGAATATAGAGTGTAGGTTATTTTTGAAAATTAGAGTATGTCTTAAATTAAATATGTCCCTAGTCATCATTAAAATCACTGAGACATCTATACAATGAATTTGAAATAGCTTCACAAATAACCATTCACTTGCCTATTAAAAGGAGACCTCTTTAGTGTCTATTGAATAATAAATATGTATATTAAACTTATATTAATTCTACGTAATTCTAAAATTTTGTTAAAAATAAGTCTGGCAAATCATTAAGGAGAATGGTTTTGTAGAATGTGTACCCACTTAATGCATTCAGTTGTTCTAATATTTTCTCATTACTCTTGTTTTCCTGTAAGAAATAGTTTTACCACTTTTAGGAAATCAAAAATTATTTGTACATAGAAAAGCTGAACATTCTAACATTATTACCATCAAGTCTCATTTTACCAACCAAGGGGACATTTTCTTATTTAAACAATCTGCTTGCCTTCTTTCAACCCGATTTCCCCAATGACTTATTTTTATTATTATTATTTTTTTGAGATGGAGTCTCCCTCTGTCACCTAGGCTGCAGTGCAGTGGTGTGAGCTCAACTCATTGCAACCTCTGCTTCCTGGGTTCAGGTGATTCTTCTGCCTCAGCCTCCCCAGTAGCTGGGATTACAGGCGCATGCCACCACGCCCAGCTAATTTTTGTGTTTTTAGTAGAGACAGGGTTTCACCATGTTGGCCATGCTGGGCTCGAACTCCTGACCTCAGGTGATCCGCCCGCCTCAGCCTCCCAAAGTGCTAGGATTACAGGCATGAGCCAATGCACCCAAGCAATGACATACTTTTCTTATTTGCAGCCATCCAATATATTAGTAAATAAGAATTTATTTTACAAAACTAATGTACAGGAAAGGTAACTATAATTTAAATTTCTAAATTAATATGATGTGAGCACCTCACTTACTCATCAATAATACTAAGATGGATGTGGATTAAGTCAATCTTGGGTGTTCCTGTCCATTTATACTGAATAGTACAGAATTCCAGGAGATTTATGTCATCTCTAAAAAAATGGAAAAAGGCCCTAGTATGTGTGATGGGCATTGCTGTACATGGTTATGTACATGGTAATGGGCATTCTTCTGCTACAACAAGCTACAAGCCTTTTACTCTGTTTTCTGTGAAACCATGACATCTTTTAGGACAGAGGTTTGCCCTTTTCAGCAACTTCTCTATGACAGAAAGGTCAGAATTTCTCTTACGCTTTTTATAATGTTGAACTTACTCATCACCTGGCCAAAGATTTTCTTTAAGTCTTTGTAAAATTAAAACACATAATTCCTCCTTCTGGCAAAAAAAAAAAAAGGTCTATACTTTGGTGTTAAAATCTAAACTTTAGACAAATTAAATTGAACAGAGTTTATTTCAGCAAAGGACAATTTATGAGTCAGGCAGCACTCAGAACCAAAAACGGTTCAGAGACTTCTGCCCAGCAGCATGAGCAGTGAGCTTTTACAGTAGAACGCAGAAACAAAAGTGGGTAAATCACTGGATTTGCTATAGCTAGGGAACTGTCTTTTAGGGGCATGGTTTAGGCATTTGCCTTATTTGCACATAGTATAATTAGTTGGCTGCCTGGGATTGGCTGAACCTTTGCTCTTTGGGATTAGCTGAAACTATACTTTTAAGTTAAGCTTTAAGTTAAGTTAGGTTTCAGTTTATTTATGTACTAAGTTAGGTTGCACTTTGTTACATAGAAACTGGAAATACAGAGGCAGCCTCAGTTTAATGGCTTCCTGTTTATTTTAGTTTATTAACCCTCCCCTTTTGATCAGTCTCTCAATCTTGAGAAACTGACCAAAAACTTGGGTCTTGATGACATTCTCTGTTACCATCGAAAGGGACTTATTTGTTATGGAATTTACAAGTCATGATGTCAAGTTAGTTGAGTAATTACTTATGTTATTTTCAAGTTTTTGGTGCTAAAACCGGAGTGAAACCGTTTGACACACAGTAGATGGCTACATACAAACATTTAAGACTCTTATGAGGATATAGCTCACTAGGGAGACTACCTGGTAGGGATAATATCAAATGGTTGAAACGTGCTCTTTAACCGAGGCCCCCATGAACAAAACTGATTAAAAACAAATACATCAAAGAATCAGCCAGAAGATAAATCTATTTATTTAAAACAAATGAATTGTCAGTTTTTTTTTTTACAACTGAGTTTCTACTACACTAGATATATGTATCCAAGTGCAACAGGAAGTGTTAGCTGTTACACACACTTTCCTTTCTCCAGCCAACCGACAGTCTAAGGCAGTCTTGTCATCTAACACAATGTTTTCAAGGGAGTTTACATGATTCTGTTGAACAACTATAGTCTTTATGAGTAGAGTCAGCTCTACTACCTAATGTTTGAAGTAGATTTCTAATCATAATTTTATATATATATATATGAGACAGGAAGCATATACCAAAAGATGTAATTGAGAGAAATTAACACATTCTTCCGTATTCTATAGTGCAAATTAAGATGTATAGACCAATGTTCAGTTTTCGATTATGGAGTAATTGTAGTATTGTTAGAATTCCTATTTTACAATAATCTCTTATTTCTGCCTTTTTGAGACATTTATTTCCTACTTATTGAGTGAAGTTGCCCTTTTATATGGCTTATTGTTAAATCCTCCATAGGCAAAAATAGTTCTCGGAGGGGCACAAAGAACAACTGTGGGACACCTTGT